>NW_017852933.1:642371-963557 GCF_000001405.40 Homo sapiens | reverse complement strand
GGTGGAGTATAGCTGAACTTGAGTGTCTCTAAGCCAAGCTGGACAGCTGTATTGCAAGAATGCATGCAGCTGCTCCAGCCAACAAGCCAAATGTTCCTCAGCTGCGGCCCAGCCAACGAAAGAAGGGATGATGGAACTGAGGAGGAAGACCAAGTCAAGGGAAGCAGAGACATCTCTTTTACTGTTCTACACAGAGAAAGGGAATGACGTGGGTAAGTTAGAGGCTATACAGGTGTCTGGACAGCCCCCTGGCCCTGGGGGAGCTGTAAGGGCAGCAGGTACCGTGGGAAGGAGACCCCTCCTGCTGTCCCAGGACCTAGGCACTGGTGCCTCTGGAGCAAGCCGTACTCAACTCAGTTCTCCCAGCCCTGGGAAATGGACATGCAAAGTTTTGACAACAACCAGGGAATGAGAGAAGTCAATATTGAAGATGAGACCTCCTGAGATTCTTGGGCACTCCAGCTCTGTCCACTAGGGGCAGTTTCCTTAGCTCTAAGGCAGATGGCAAGGGATGGAGATGATTCCCCTAGGCCAGCCTGATTCACTGCTGTGAAATGGTGCAGATCCCAAGAACAATTCATTGCTAGGCAGGAGGTCCCAAACAGCCTTTCCCCATCCACCCAACAGCTCCCTTTCTACCTCTCAGCAAATTGCACTAAGGACTTTTACAACTGACTTGATTGACAGAGAAATTGACATGAAAAAGGGAGCAGTGGGAGATTCAGGGGGAGGGAAGAGAGGTACACAGGGTGACCATCTTAGTTCATTTGTGCTTGGAATACCCAAGGCTAGGTGATTTATGAAGAAAATAGGTTTTTTTAGCTCAGGCTTATGCTGGCTGGAAGTTTGGGCATCTGGTGAGAGCTTCAGGCTGCTTCCACTCATGGTGGAAGGCGCTGGGGAGCTGGCATGTGCAGAGATCACATGGAGAGAGAGGAAACAAGAAAATGGGGAGGTGCCAGGCTTTTATTTAACAGCCAGCCCTTGCGGCAAGTAATAGAGGGAGAACTTACTCGCTCCCCACCCTCTCACCAGAGAGAGCATTGATCTATTCATGAGGGATCCGTTCCCATGACCCAAACACCTCCCATTAAGCCCCATCTCCAACACTGGGGATCACATTTCATGAGGTTTGCAGGGGCTCAACCATCCAAACTATAGCAATGACCTCACTCTGCTTCTTCTAGGCTCAGTGTACAAGAAGTACCCTCAAGGAAGGGGCTTGAGAAGGACTAGCTCTTCTATTGACTTACCCAGAAAGGATACAGTTTGCTCAAGCCAAGAGGTATTAAGTCACCCATACTAGCACATGCCCATTAAGCAATAGAGTAGTTCTGTCCACCAACCATTACTTCTAGGATGGGGGGGCATAATCAGAAATGAGAACAAGCCAGGCACAGTGACTCACACCTGTAATCCCAGCACTTTGGGAGGCTGAGGTGGGTGGATCACTTGAGGTCAGGAGTTCGAGACCACCTGGCCAACATGGTGAAACCCCATCTCTACTAAAAGTACAAAAATTAGCCAGGTGCAGTGGCACGCACCTGTACTCCCAGCTACTTGGGAGGCTACATCATGAGAATCACTTGAAACTGGGAGGTGGAGGTTGCAGTGAGCCAAGATTGTGCCGCTGCACTCCAGCCTGGGTGACAGAGCAAGACTCTGTCTCAAAAAAAAAAAAAAAAAGGACAAACCTGATAAGAACAATTGCTTACTGTGGCAGATGGGATAAGGGTTAAATAGACCTAAATTCAAAATCTAGGTCTGCCACTTCCTGCCTGGGTGACCTTGGGCAAATCACCTAGCTATACTCAATCTCACTGCCTTTGTAAAATAAGGACAATTGTGCCAGTCAAATAAGATTGATGTGAAGATTCTTTAAAGTGAAATCAACAGAAATCCCACTTCTTGTGCATAAGGGGATAGTTGTCCCACAGCTATTCAATAAAAGCCTGAGCATGGTTCTGATTGTGCCGATGGCAGATGCCATCCCTGGCTGCTTTGAGCCTGCCCATTCTTGTGTCCCTCATTGTGACAAGGAGACTGAGATTATCCTAATTGGCTTAGAGTCTAAGCTTTAGACCAATCAGGGCTTTCCACTCAAATATTGTAGGTGGGGTGCTCACTTCAGCAGCACATATACTAAAAAATGTTGTAGGTGGGGTTGAAATGGATGTTAGGGAAGTAACAGTGTCCACTAGACTAGGGTCTGGGAGGTGCGCGATAGATTTTGTTCTTCACCCCCACTATTTCTTTCTTTCTTTCTTTCTTTTTTTTTTTTTTTGAGACAGAGTTTCACTCTTGTTGCCCAGGCTGGAGTGCAGTAGCACTATCACTGCAACCTCCGCCTCCTGGGTTCAAACGATTCTCCTGCCTCAGCCTCCCAAGTAGCTGGGATTACAGGCATGCACCACCACTCCTGGCTAATTTTTTGTATTTAGTAGAGATGGGGTTTCACCATGTTGGCCAGGCTGTTCTCAAACTCCTGACCTCAGGAGTTTGAGAACCACCGCTGTCAGCCTCCCAAAGTGCTAGGATTACAGGCATGAGCCACCGCGTCCAGCCTGCACCCCCATATTTCTTGTGCATTTCTCCCCCAAAGCCAGGGAAGGAATCTGCATGGGATGGATGCTCTGTGAGGACCTGGGAATCCCACATTTCAAACATCATACAGGTTTCAAACATGAGGTTCTCATAGACCAGTCAGATGATCATTCAGTTGAGTCTGAATTGCCTAAGATAATAGTTCTTTCCTTTATTCTAAAGTGGGTGGCAAAATATGGGCTCAAAAAATTGAAGCTGGAGATTTCCAGATGCATGGGTCCCAACTGCACTCATCAAAAGTCAGGACAGAGGTCAGCATCCGCCAAACACTGCAGCATCTTCCCCAGCGTTGAGATCCATGTAAGTCACAATTTTCATCATCGTCTTTTTTTTCTCCCCCAACTCAGCTGCAAATGGCAGAGAGCAGTGTAGGGCACTGTGGCCTCTATTTCTGCTTGTAGGAACTGCCCTCCTCCCCAAAGTGGGACTCCCCTCACCAAATAGGAGATGCAAAATCCTGTTGGAAGAAAAGCCAACTTCCCAGAGGGCCTAAGATCCCATTCCAGGGTTAGATGAGCTCATTGGAATAAGAATTATAAACAATTGCCGAGGCCAGGTGCGGTGACTCCTGCCTGTAATACCAAGTGCTTTAGGAGGCTGAGGTGGGAGGATTGCTTGAGCCCAAGAGTTTGAGACCAGCCTGGGCAACATAGCAAGACCCCATCTCTGAAAAAAAATTAGATTAGCCAGGTGCAGCTGTGTGCCTGTAGTCCGAGCTACTTGGGAGGCTGAGGCGGGAGGATTAGTTGAGTCATGGAGTTCAAGGCTGCAGTGAGCCGTGATCACGCCACTGCACTCCAGCCTGGGCCATGGGGCAGGAGCCTGACTCTTAAAACATAAAAAGGAAAAGATAGGAAAAATAGCAATTGCTGAGAAGATTGGGCCGTGGCTGAAGTGTTCACCCATAAGAATGCTGTACCCCAATACTGATGATGGTTCTGTTATGGCAGCAAATAGGGGTTGTGATAGGAAGTGAAGGGTTCTCTTTTCTATTTTCTAATTTTGGGGTGATTTTTTATTGCTTTGACACTGGAACAAGTAAATTTAGTACAGAATGAAAATCTGATCATTTCTCTCCTTGCCCTCTTATCCTACATTGTCAAGATTAGGGGAAACTAAAAATAGCCACAAAATTCAAAATTATTCACTAGAGGAATATAGGGTCATTCTAGCATGTTGCCCCTCTCCACCTGAAGTCATCTTTCAGTTCAAAATTTATGAACTTCTTACCCCACCATTTAGAGTTTTCTATTTTAAAATTTAGAGATTATTGGCCAGACGCAGTGGCTCATGCCTGTAGTCCCAGAACTTTGGGAGGCCAAGGCGGGCGGATCACCTGAGGTCAGGAGTTCGAGACCACCCTGGCCAACACAGTGAAACCCCGTCTCTACTGTAAATACAAAAATTAGCCAGGCATGGTGCTGTGCACCTGTAATCCCAGCTACTCAGGAGGCTGAGGCAGGAAAATCGCTTGAACCCGGGAGGCAGAGGCTGAAGTGAGCCGAGATCGCACCACTGCACTACACAGCCTGGGCAACCGACTGAGACTCTGTCTCAAAAAAAAAAAAAAATCAGAAATTATTATGATTTTTATTAATATAGCAACTGCATTTACCAAAAAAAAAATCTTAATTCCCTACTCCTTTGTAGAACCATAAATCCACTAGTTTAATAGAAGAAAAAAAGGCTTTAAACAAAAAAAAAAAATACACTTAACAGATGGTTGTTTTTTGTGGGTTTTTGTTTGTTTGTTGAGACAGGATCTTGCTCTGTCATCCAGGCAGGAGTGCAGTGGTGCAATCACAGCTCACTGCAGCCTCTACCTCCCTGGGCTCAGGCAATCCTCCCACCTCAGCCTCCCCCAAGCAGCTGGGACCACAGACACATGCCACCACACCAGCTAAATTTTCTGTTTTTGGTAGAGATGAGGTCTCCCTATGTTACCCAGGCTGGTCTTGATCTCTTGGGCTCAAGCGATCCTCCTGCCTCGGCCTCCCAAAGCGCTGGGATTACAGGCATGAGCCACCGTGCCCAGCCAACAAATATTTTGAGAATTGTTAACCACAATGGAATAAACAATTTTAGGGGGTGATGGGGATATGAAGAAATGACTGATGGGGTGGGTGCTTGCCTCTGCTTGCCTTAACCCAGGGAGTGGTGAGACACATCCAGTGGACGCCCAGGGAGATGGAGGTGTACATCAGGCACTTGGAGAAGGTGTTAAGGCGCTATGTCCAGAGGCTGCAGTGGCTGCTGTCCGGTGAGCCTGCCCACTGCCCTGAAGGGTGGAGGAGCATGAGGGGATGTAGAAGGCTAGCCCCAGGGACCCCAGTGTCAGTCCTTCCAAAGCCAGGCCTTCAAGAACTGCAGATCAGAGGATTAGGCCAGGAACATCATCCACATACAACATGACACTGGGAGGCCGGGCGTGGTGGCTCATGCCTGTAATCTCTGCACTTTGGGAGGCCAAGGTGGGTGGATCACCAGTCAGTAGTTCGAAACCAGCCTGGCCAACATGATGAAACCCGTCTCTACTAAAAATACAAAAAATTAGCCAGGCATGGTGGCGGGCACCTGTAATCCCAGCTACTCAGGAGGCTGAGGCAGGAAAATCGCAGAGGTTGCAGTGAGCTGAGATCGCGCCACTGCACTCCATCCTGGGCAACAAGAGTGAAACTCTATCCAAAAAAAAAAAAAATGACAGTGGGTTCAGAGGACAGGCAAGGGGCTGGATAACAGGGAGGTGGAACATGGGCCAAAGAGCCCCAGCGGGAGCTCACACGCATCCCAGCCTGCTCTGCAAGGCCACCTGCCACACCTTGCCTTCCTGCAAGTGACAAGGGGCTCACTGTCAAAAGGTTTGCTTTAATATTGACTGCGCCCCAGCAAAACAGCCCCTGGAGATGCAGATGGTAAGGGGAACTGACAGAGCAGAAACCCTCTGTTTTGTTTTGTTTTAGAAACAGGGTCTTTCTCTGTCACCTAGTCTGGAGTCCAGTGGTGCAGTCATGGCTTACTGCAGCCTTGAACTGGGCACAAGCAATCCTCCCACCTCAACCTTGCAAGGACCTGAGACTACAGGCACGTGCCACCATGCCCAGCTTACTTTATTTATTTTTTTTAGATACAGAGTCTTTCTATGTTGCACAGGCTGGCCCCGAACTCCTAGGCTCAAGCTATCCTCCTGCCTCAGCCTCCCAAAGTCCTGGGGTTATAGGTGTGAGCTACTGTGTACCTCTTTACAGAGAGCACCAAGTCCCCTCCAGGAGAGGTGAATGGACAGGGTTGGGCTGTGGATTAAGAGACGGTCTGGAAGCATCAAGCCCAAGAAGACAGGCAGACAGCTAGAACTGGACAGGAGGGGATTCGGGCTATGGGGCCTGGAGGGTTTCTGGGGCATCAGGAGGAGGGAGGAAGGGAGTCCTATATAGAGATCCTACAGGTGGCTTTGTACGTGCCACTCAGGGTCCTGTGTAAATTCATTAGGTCCAGTCCTCTGCAGTAGGACCTGGTATAGACAGTCCATGGACAGGGGCGTCATGATGACTGCTGCTTCAGGTACAGTTGTCAGGTCAGAGGCTGAGCTGGGACAGAGAAGGCGTGAGCCTCTCTCCACCCTCGGTTCACATTACCCCTGGGAACGGTGACATAAAACCAGAGATCCAGCGATTTCTTTTGTAGTATGAATCCCCCAGCTCACATACCAGTACACACCCAAACACCATCTAATATTTTAAAACAATGTCATGGTACTATTTAATCCAATCACTTAACTTTAAGGATAAGGAAATTCAAGCCCAGGAGGTTATAACCGCTTGTGCAACTCATCACAGACAAAGCCAGAGCTGAAATCTCGATCTCCCAAAGCCCAAACCACTGACCAGGTCTGTCCTTGGACAATCGACCCCTCCCACAGCACCACAAAAGCCGTCTCTCAGTGGGGTGACATCCAATCAATGATCAGGCAGGCAACAGGTGTCACAAGACTTTATACTTGATAGATAGAGTGAGGGAAACCACCCAGGAGGAGGGACCCCTCACTCCCTCCCTGCCTCTTCCCCACCTGTCTCGGAGCAGGGAGCCGCCGACTGTTTGGCACCGTTTTGGAGAGCAAAGTATGCATATTGCTGGACACGTCAGGGTCCATGGGCCCCTACCTGCAGCAGGTGAAGACAGAGCTGGTTTTGCTGATTTGGGAACAGCTGCGGAAGTGCTGTGACAGGTAGGAGGCGAGGGCTGATCAGGAAGATCAAAGGGGCAGTTCCTGGGGCTTCCCTGGCCAAGCACGCCCCCTCTTCTCAGTGCCAACAGGCCTGGAGTTTCTGAGATGCTCTTCTGAGTAACGCGTTTGAGTAGGAAAGAGCACTGTATTCTGCTCTGCTGTGAAGGAAATCAGTTTTTAGAGGCCGGGTATGGTGGCTCATACCTGTAATCCCAGCAATTTTGGGGGCCAAGGCAGGAGGATCACTTGAGCTCAGGAATTCAAGACCAGTCTCAGCAACAAAGTGTCATCCCATCTCTTCAAAACATTTAAAAATTAGCTGGGTATGGTGGTGTGCACCTGTAGCCCCAACTACTTGGGAGGCTGAGAAGGGAGGATCACTTGAGCCCAGGAGGTTGAGGCTGCAGTGAGCTATGATTGCACCAGTGCACTCCTGCCTGGGCAACAGAGTAAGACCCTGTCTCAAAAAAAAAAGGAACGCAATTTTTAAAAATTAATTTCAGGCCTAGGGACAATTGCAAGCACAGCAAAGGAACTACCATGTGGCCTTGAAGTATGGCTTTCAGCTGAACTTGATTTGTTTTAAATTATTTAATGATTTAATTTTTTTAATTTTTGTGAACTTGATTTTTGAGTGGAGGAAGTTGTTTATTTTCCCCATCCAGAAGGGTTGACCCGAAGGGGACCCCAGGGGACTCTCATCGTAGACTAGGCCTCGTTCTTGCCTTAATCAGAGTATACATTTATTGAGCACTTTCTGTGCACCAGATGCTTTACACGCATCATTTCATCAACTCTCACAATGAGCCCGTGAGGTGTTGCTGTTATCGGCCCCCATTTTTCAGAAAAGGAAGCCAGGACTTCAAGAGGTTAAGACACTTGCTGAAGATCGGGTAACCAGTCACTGGCTGAGATAGGATTGTTTGGGTTGTTTGTTTGCTTGTTTGTTTTGAGACGGGGTCTCACTCTGTCTCCCAGGCTGGAGTGCAGTGGTGTGATCATAGCTCGCTGCAGCCTCAACGTCCTGGGCTCAAGTGATCTCCCACCTCAGCCTCCCAAGTAGCTTGGACTACAGGCGCACACCACCATGCCTGGCTAATTTTTTAAAAATCTTTTTCGTAGAGATGGGGGTCTCACTATGTTGCCCAGGCTGGTCTTGAACTCCTGGCCTCAAGCAATCCTCCCAGCTTGGCCTTCCAAAGTACTGGGATTACAGGCACAGGCCACTGTGTCTGGCTTGGGCTGGGATTTAAATCTATTTCTGTCTGCATTCAAATTGTCAGTGTGTACCCTCTCATTCTCAAGAGGCCCCACAGCCCTCTCCCTGAGGGGCCACAGGGCTCGTTGTAGGGGTCTTCAGTGACGAGCAAGAATAGTCCTCATGAGGGTAACTTATCTGAATTCAATCTAGACAGGCCTGTTCTAACCAATCTCTTTCTCCCCTTCTCTGCCCCTCACCTCCTCTTTTCCTCCTCCCCAGTTTTAACCTGCTCAGCTTTGCAGAGAGCCTTCAGTCATGGCAGGACACGCTGGTGGAGACCACAGATGCAGCGTGTCATGAGGCTATGCAATGGGTGACCCACCTGCAAGCTCAGGGCAGCACCTCCATCTTGCAAGCATTGCTGGCAAGTCCCACCACGGAGCCCGACCTTGACGCAAAACAAATACCATCATCCCCTATGCTGATGCTGCACGATGCTTTAGGATTTACAAAGGGCGCTTTATAATTTACAAAGCACTACATCATTTCATCTTCCCAACACCCGAGTGAGAAAAGGATTCTCAATGTTCTCACATTATAGATGAAGACACAGGCTGGGTGCGGTGGCTCACACCTGTAATCCCAGCACTTTGGGAGGGCAAGGCAGGTGGATCACCTGAGGTCAGGAGTTCAAGACCATCCTGACCAACATGGTGAAACCCCGTCTCTACTAAATACAAAAGATTAGCCGGGCGTGGTGGCACATGCCTGTAATCCCAACTACTTGGGAGGATGAAGCAGGAGAATTGCTTGAACCTGGGAGGCAGAGGTTGCAGTGAGCCGAGATTGCACCATTGCACTCCAGCCTGGGCAACAAGAACGAAACTCCATCTCAAAAAAATAAAAATTAAAAAAAATAGATGAAGACACAGAGGCTCAGAGAGGTTAAGTGACTTGCTTGGGATTAACCAGCTAGGCAGTGAACCATGCTATTTCTCCTAAACCTCAGCAGCTTCCTTAGTCTGTCTGAGGCTGAAAGAGAATCTCAGTCTTTTTGAACAGGTCAGTGGCATCCAATCAGATGCATTTTGGCAGAGGCGGCAGCAGGCACTACCTTTAGGCATTTGGTTCTTGTGTTCTGGGTGAGCCTCTCCCCTGAGCCTGACAGCCTTCCTGCGTTCTTTCAGAAAGCTTTCAGTTTCCATGATCTGGAAGGATTGTACCTCCTGACCGACGGAAAGCCAGACACAAGCTGCAGCCTTGTCCTAAATGAAGTCCAAAAACTCAGGGAGAAAAGAGATGTGAAAGTGCACACCATTTCCTTGAACTGCTCAGACAGGTGCGCAATATGGAGTCTGACTGAGTTTTATTCTTTTTCCACAGCCACACATCTCAGCAGGGAGATCCAAGCCCCTCACCTAATCTAGCTGCTCACTTAGACACGGGTTTCTCCTGGGCCCTAATCCTGTAAATCAGAAATTAGGAGAAGCGGCCGGGCATGCTGGCTCACGCCTGTAATCCCAGCATTTTGGGAGGTTGAGGCAGGTGGATCACTTGAGGTCAGGAGTTCAAGACCAGTCTGGCCAACATGGTGAAACCCTGTCTCTACTAAAAATACAAAAATTAGACAGGTGTGGTGGTAGGCGCCTGTAATCCCAGCTACTCAGGAGACTGAGACGTGAGAATCACTTGATCCAGGGAGGCAGAGGTTGCAGTCAGCGGAGGTTGCACCATGGCACTCTAGCCTGGGCAACAGAGTGAGACTGTCAAAAAAAAAAAAAAAGAAAGAAAAGAAAGAAGTTAGGAGAAGCATTGTTTTTCTAGACGGCCCAAGCCGGTGTCACACCACAGGGTGAAAACCCCTCTCTTTACCCAGATATTTCCCTCTGACTTCCTCCAGCCTGGAAACACATTTGCAAGGGATTCACACAGTCATTTTACAGTCTCCCTCCTACTCTTCCCTGGGATCACATTTGTGAATATTTAGGGGACATTTAGGGGAAAAGCCAGAGAGAAAAATATTAATGTAGCATTGTCATGGTTATTTTTTTTTATAAACGATCACTATAGACCATGTGCTATGACCGGGCACAATGGCTCATGCCTATAATCCCAGTGCTTTGGGAGACTGAGGTGGGAGGATCACTTGAGGCCAGGAGTTCGAGACCAGCCTGGATATCATAGCAAGATTCCATCTCTACAAAACAAAATAAAAATGTGAAAAAGAACACATGTCAGATAAGACATACTCAGCTCCTTCAAAAAAAAAAAAACTTTATTATTAGCAAAACAGACTGCATAGGGACACATTTTATCTCTTGGTCTAAACCATGAGCCCCATAAGTGTAATATGTGTGTCCTTTACAGGCCTAACACATAGTAGGCACTGGATAAATGTCCCATAAATAAATGGGGGCTAGGCTGAGCACGACGGCTCATGACTGTAATCCCAGCACTTTGGGAGGCCAAGGCAGGCAGATCACCTGAGGTCAGGAGTTCGAGACCAGCCTGGCCAACATGGCGAAACCCCGTCTCAACTAAAAACATACAAAAATGAGCCGGGCGTGGTGGCAGGTGCCTGTAGTCCCAGCTACTCAGGAGGCTGAGGCAGGGGAATCGCTTGAACCTGGGAGGCTGAGGTTGCAGTGAGCCAAGATTGTGCCACTGCACTCCAGCCTGGGTGACAGACTGAGACTCTGTCTCAGAAAAGAAAAGAAATGGGGGCTGGAGTGTGTGGGCTGTGTGGTTTCAGGGGGTCCAGGCTAAATGGTGACACTCACACGGGGACTCCTCTTCCCTCAAGCAGCAGCAGTTGCTATAGCTGTCCAGAAGCTGGTGGGGAAAGTGTCCTCTAATGGTGGTCTCCATGGGACAAGCCACGGCCCATTGCCAGGCTGATTTCTCTTAAGCCCCACGGACTTAAGTTCCCCATGGACGTGGGGAGTCACACGAACTTGCCTGGTCAGTCAGCCTTCCCACCAGCCCTCTGTCCCTTCCTTCCAGAGCGGCGGTTGAGTTCCTGAGAAAGCTGGCTTCCTTCACCGGCGGACGCTATCACTGCCCTGTGGGTGAGGACACACTCTCCAAAATTCACAGCCTGCTGACCAAAGGCTTCATCAATGAAAAGGTAGGTTGCAGAGCCACTGAGCATGAGGTCTGTTGAAACGGCTCGATAAAATATCAACAGGCATGGGGTTTTCCTTCTTGAACTCCTGGGCTCAAGTGAACCTCCCACCTCGGCCTCCCAAAATGTTGGGATTACAGGCATGAGCCACCACGCCCATCCTGGGTTTTCCTTCTGACGAAAAAGATCTCTGCTTTTCGTTGAGACAAAATATTAGCTGAAAAGGATTGGGTTTCCCTGCTGCTGTCCTTTTAGGCTGACTCTCCTCAAGGCTGGGAAAGAAGCAGGATTTGAGGGTGTTATATTTCCTGATGGTCAGGCCAGTTTGCCTTTGTTGGAAATTTATGTGGCTTTATGTAGATAACCTCTTTTAATATTATACCCATTTAACAGGTGAACGAGAGGGCCAGCAAGGTTTAAGAATACACCTAAAGCTGGGCACGGTGGTTCACACCTGTAATCCCATCACTTTGGGAGGCCGAGGTGGGTGGATCACTTGAGGTCAGGAGTTTGAGACCAGCCTGGCCAACATGGTGAAATGACGTCTGTACTAAAAATACAAAAATTAGCCAGGCATGGTGGCATGCACGTGTAATCCCAGTTACTCGGGAGGCTGAGGCAGAATTGCTTAAGCCTGGGAGACCCAGGTTGCAGTCAGCCGAGATTGCGCCACTGCACTTCAGCCTGAGTGTCAGAGCAAGACTCCGTCTCAAAACAAACAAACAACAACAATAAAAACTAGTCAGAGGAAGTGGTATAGCTAGAGCCCCAAGACACCCATGATCTTAAACTTTGTGCTTTAATTCCTGCATATTTGTGTCTTCTGGGGTTCAATTCATTGAAATACAGACATTCAAGTTATCTGTTAAGCAATAGATCTGGCAAAGTCATAGGTTATCTATTAAGTAATAAGTCTAGTAAAGTCATAGATTTCAATGATCCACTTCTGACTTAATAGGAAAATTCTGCACTTATTTATACCTTTTAGGAATGCAATGTTGTCAGTGATAACATTCCCAGCGCAACAAATTATCAAGTAAGACAACCAATCAGAATTCCAGATTTCTTTTCAGAGGTTAAAGGTTACTTTCACAGGACATGGCATAATTTTTTTTTTTTTTTTTTTTTGAGACAGGGTCTCATTCTGTTGCCCAGGCTAGAGTGCAGAGGAACAATCACAGCTCACCACAGCCTCCACCTCCTGGGCTCAGGCAATCTTTCCACCTCAGCCTGCAGAGTAGCTGGGATCACAGGTGTGCCACCACGCCCAGCTAATTTCTTTAATTTTTTGTAGAAACAGGATCTCACCATGTTGCCCAGGCTGATCTCAAACTCCTAGGATTAAGTAATCCTCCCGCCTGAGCTTCCCAAAGTGTTGGGATTACAGGTGTGAACCGTCAGGCTCGGCTGGCATAATCTTTGAAGCCTGGGTAGCCTTACATGACTCCTTTGGTTCAACTAGCTCTTCTAGGGACAAGTATTATAAATAATACAGAGAACTGAACAAATTGGTAAAAGTAATGAATATTCACCCAAGCGTCCTTATTACACAGGAAAACAAGTGATGATATGTTTAAGGCTCTCAGCTTAATTCCTTATCCAATCAGATTCTCTGAATTGTTTTTGCATGCAGAATGGGATTGCTGTGCTACTACTGCCAGGCAGAAGGGATGGCTTCCTCTTTTTTCTTTTTCTTTTTTTTTTTTTTTTTTTTTTTTGAGATGAAGTCTTGCTGTGTCACCAGGCTGGAGTGCAGTGGCATGATCTCAGCTCACTTCAGCCTCTGCCTCCTGGGTTCAAGTGATTCTCATGTCTCAGCCTCCCGAGTAGCTAGGATTACAGGTGCCTGCCACCACACCCAGCTAATTTTTATATTTTTAGTAGAGATGAGGTTTCATCATGTTGGCCAGGCTGGTCTCAAACTCCTGACTTCAAGTGATCCACCCGCCTCAGCCACCCAAAGCGCTGGGATTGGTAAGATGTATTTTTAAGGATAGGTGGCGAAATTTTATTAGTTAACATTTTTTTTAAAAAGCATGCCTCAGCCGGGCGCGGTGGCTCACGCCTGTAATCCCAGCACTTTGGGACGCCGAGGCGGGTGGATCATGAGGTCAGGAGATCGAGACCATCCTGGCTAACAAGGTGAAACCCCGTCTCTACTAAAAATACAAAAAATTAGCCGGGCGCGGTGGCGGGCGCCTGTAGTCCCAGCTGCTCGGGAGGCTGAGGCAGGAGAATGGCGTGAACCCGGGAAGCGGAGCTTGCAGTGAGCCGAGATTGCGCCACTGCAGTCCGCAGTCCGGCCTGGGCGACAGAGCGAGACTCCGTCTCAAAAAAAAAAAAAAAAAAAAAAAAAAAAAAAAAAAGCATGCCTCAGCCAGGTGTGGTGGCACATGCCTGTGGTCCTAGCTACTTGGGAGGCTGAAGTGGGAGGATAGCTTGAGCCCAGGAGGTCGAGGCTACAGTGAGCCGTGATCACGCCACTGCCCTGCAGCCAGGACAACAGAGCAAGGCTCTGTCTCTAAAATCAACCAAATAAAAAGCATACCTGTAAGTCTACTTCACTAGAAGAAATGCAAAAAATGGCTGAACAGATTCTACTGAATAGCGCTGAGATAAGGAAACGGTGTCATTTCTGTTCCACTGGACCAGAGTGGGGCCACTTTCACTCAGATTCTGACACCATCGTACTTTGCCACCGTCCCCTCCCTACACTGACTCTCAGACACCATATTTCAAAGTTTCCCCTTTGCAGAATGACTGTCTTGATAGGTAGTGAGCTTCCTGACCCTGGAGATATACAAGCAGAGGCTCACAAGATTTCCTGCACTGGATGGAAACCAGAACGTGATTAGCTCTAAAATGCTTTTCCTGAGATTTTGGATTTTCAGCTCCCATCCAGTCATAAACTTCACACTCATTTCCTCTTTTCAAGGATCCCACATTGCCACCATTTGAAGGAGATGATTTAAGGATCCTGGCCCAGGAGATCACCAAGGCCAGAAGCTTCCTCTGGCAGGCCCAATCCTTCAGGTATGCCCTTCACGCAGCCTCTCCGGCCTGCCATGTGGCTACAGCCCATGCAGACCCCGGACCCCATCGAGAAGGGCCGCACCCATGATGGTACCCTTGCTCCAAGGGTTCCTGCCCTGCTTCTCCCAGCCAGCCCAGAAATCTGGGCACCAGGGAGACCATCTTTCTTCATCTCCTGCCCACCAGATCCCAACTCCAGAAGAAAAATGATGCAGAACCAAAGGTCACTCTTTCCTAGAGAAGTGTTCTCAGGTAAGGGGAGGGGCTAGACCCCATACTACCTGAGTGTGCACTAAGCACCAAGTGGCATGCTCTATTTTGTGGTCAATAATAACTTTGGTTAAAAAATAATGATTCCTCTAAACAGAAAAGTCATCCTGCAAAGGACCACTCACTGAGCAAATCTCAGCCCCGAGGGCAGGATGGGATGAAATGCTGTGACCTGCAGGAAACATGATTCCTGGTACCAGGACTCTCTGGAAGCTGAGGAAGGAAAGACTTTGTCTTTTGTGTGAGGGGCCATTCCCGGGTCTTAATCTAACTCTCCAGCCCTGTCCCGCAGCGCACTCTACTCTCCAGCCACTAGATTGTCCCTCTCTGGGAAGCCCTAAACCAACCCCCTGCCTAAATGGTGGTGCTTCTTGCAAACCAACCCCCTGCCTGAACGGTGCTTCTTGCCCCCTCTGCCTGGAGACTCCTGCTCATCCATCAAGGCACAGCTCAAATGACATCAGCTCCCTGGGACCTATCTAGAGCGAGGGGCCTCCAGTCTTTCTCTTGCAGCATCCTGACCACGCAGACCTCTCGCACTCAGCACTCTATGTCACGCCACCTTGCTCGCTGATCTAACTCTTCTCCTTGATGGTGAGCTCCTTCGGGATGAGACTGGTGTCCCAGGATCTGCAGGTCCCCAGAAGCTGCCACATAGGAGACACATGGTGAACAGTGAGCAGGCGGCTGAGCTGTGAGAGCCTAGCTCTGGAAAGCAGCTGATGGGGTGGTCTCCACCCTGGTTCATAAGAGGCTAATGCAGAGTCACAGTCAGCCCATCCTGGGGGAAGAAGAAACAAGTGAGCCTCAGCACCACCCTCCATCCCTGCCCAACCAAACTGAAGTGAAGGCTGCTCATCTGGGTTCATTTTCTAAAATTAAAAACAATTAATTTTATTCTACTAATAGGATCAACATGACTTTAACTGTTTGAAGTGATCATTGGCGTGTGTGTGTGTGCATAAATTTTTAGTGACATAAAACTTTATTAAAAGACTCATACCATAATAAAGAATTTCAATAAGAAAAAGATAAACATCCATTTTTTTGTTTTTTTTGGAAACAGAGTCTCGCTCTGTTGCCCAGGCTGGAGTGCAGTGGTGCAATCTCGGCTCACTGCAACCTCCGCCTCCTGGGTTCAAGCAATTCTCCTGCCTCAGCCTCCTGAGCAGCTGGGACTACAGGGGCCTGCCACCACGTCTGGCTAATTTTTGTTTTAGTAGAGACAGGGTTTCATTATGTTGGCCAGGCTGGTCTTGAACTCCTGATCTCAGGGGATCTGCCCGCCTTGGCCTCTCAAAGTGCTGGGATTATAGGCGTGAGCCACTGTGCCTGGCCCATCTCAATTTTTTTTTTTTTTTTAGGCACAGTCTCACTCTTTTTGCCCAGGCTGGAGTGCAGTGGCACGATCTCAGCTCACTGCAACCTCCGCCTCCCAGGTTCAAGCGATTCTCCTGCCTCAGCCTCCCGAGTAGGGTAGCTGGGATTACAGGTGCCTGCCACCACGCCCAGCTAATTTTTTTTATTTTTATTTTTAGTGGAGACGGGGTTTCACCATGTTGGCCAGGCTGGTCTCAAACGCCTGACCTCAGGTGATCCGGCCCGACTGAGACTCCCAAAGTGCTGGGATTACAGGCATGAGTCACCGCGTCCAGCCCATCCAATTTTTAAAATGGACAATAGGTACATGAAAAGGTGCTCAACAGCCTTACCTGCCAGGGAAGTGTAAATTAAAACCACAGTGAGATGCCACTACACTCCCACTAGAATGGCTAAAATAAAAAAGACTGGGGTTGGGCACAGTGGCTCATGCCTCTAATCCCAACACTTTGCGAGGCTGAGATGGGAGGATTGCTTGATGCCAGGGGTTCAACACCAGCCTGGGCAACATAGCAAGACCCCATGTCTCCAAAAATTTAAAAGAAATTAGCCAGGCATGGTGGCCCAATGCATGTAGTTTTAGCTGCTCAGGAGGCTGAGGCATGAGGATCAGTTGAGCCCAGGAGTTTGAGACTACAGTTAGCTATGATTGTGCCATTGCACTCCAGCGTGGGCAACAGAGTAAGACCCTGTCTCTTAAAAACAAACAAACAAAAAGACAAGATGGCCAGGCATGGTGGCTCACACCTGTAATCCCAGCACTTTGGGAGGCCAAGGTGGGCGGATCACATGAAGTCAGAAGTTTGAGACCAGCATGGCCAACATAGTGAAACCCCGTCTCTACTAAAAACAACAAAAATTAGCTGGGCATGGTGGTGCACACCTGTAATTCCAGCTACTCAGGAGGCTGAGGCATGAGAATCGCTTGAACCCAGGAGGTGGAGATTGCAATGAGCTGAGACTGGGCCATTGCACTCCAGCCTGGGCAACAGAATGAGACCCTGTCTCTAAAAACAGAACAAAAAAAGAACTACAATATCAAGATGTGGAACAGTTGGAACACTCATATTCCAATTAGGGTAGGGGTTGGGGTAGGGACGTATAATTTGACTCAATAACTTTGGAAGACTATTTGGCAATTTCTACTAAAGTAAAACATATGCCTACTCTATGATCTAGTAATTCCACTCCAAGGGTAATGAGTGCATATGTTAGACAAAAGACATATAAGAATTTTTCCAGCAGCCTTATTCATTAGAGCTCAAAATTGGAAACTACCCAATGTCCATCAGTGGCAGAATGTGCAAATAAAATCTGATACATTTTACAGTGAAATATTATGCATCAATTTAAAAAGAATGAACGGCTCATGTGGTGGCTCACACCTGAAATCCCAGCACTTTGGGAGACCAAGGCAGGTAGATGGCTTGAGCCCAGGAGTTTGAGACTAGCCTAGGTAACATGGTGAGAACCCATCTTTACAAAAAAATACAAAAATTAGCCAGGCTTGGAGGCATATGCCTGTAGTGCCAGCTACTCAGGAGGCTGAGGTGCAAGGATCACCTGAGCCCAGGAGAGGTTGAGGCTGCAGTGAGCCTTGATCATGCCACTATACTCCAGCCTTGGCAATAGAGTGAGACCCTGCCTGCACCCCCAAAAAAGAATGATCTATACAGCTATATTCAACAAGATGCATCAGTCTCATAATATTGGGCAAAAGAAACCAGACACAAAGGAGTACATACTGTATAAAGTCATTTATATGAAGTTCAAGAACCAGCCAAACTCCTTATTGGTGATTGAAGTCAAAATACTAGTTACCCTGTGGGATGGGGGACACAAAGGGGACATCTGGTGTGATGAAAATATTCTATATATTGATAAAGGTAGGAGTTACATTGAGCTATACATAAGTAAAAATTCATCAAGTTGTTTAAAAACACTCAGTTGTGGCCAGGTGCGGTGGTTCACGCCTGTAATCCCAGCACTTAGGGAGACCAAGGCAGGCAGATGGCTCAAGGCCAGGAGTTCGAGACCAGCCTGGCCAACATGGAGAAACCCTGTCTCTACCAAAAATACAAAAATTAGCCAGGCATGGTGGTGGACGCCTGTAGTCCCAGCTACTCGGAGGCTGAGGCAGGAGAATCGCTTGAACCCGGGAGGTGGAGGTTGCAGTGAGCTGAGATCGTGCCACTGCACTCCAGCCTGGCAACAGAGACTCTGTCTCAAAAAAAACGAAACTCACTTGCTAAGGCTTGATGAGACCCTGCTTTGGCCAGGCTCTGTGCTGGGCCCAGGAAGGCAGTGGTGACCACAACCCCTGCCATGGTAAATCTCAGTCTGGTCCATCTTGCACAGCTGCCATTTTGGGTCACGTCTGTAAATACAGAGAAAAGGGCCTGTGGTGGTTGTATTCATTTGCTAGAGCTGTCATAACAAAGTACCACAAATTGAGTGGATGAAACAACAGAAATGTATTCTCTTATTGTTCTGGAAGCTGGAAATTCAAGATTAAGATGCCCTCAGGGCCATGCTCCCTCTGAAGACACTGGGAAGGATCCGTTCCAGACTTCTCTCCTCCATTCTGGTAGTTCCTTGGCTTTGGGCAGCATAACTACAGCCTTCACATGAAGCTCTGCCTATGTGCATGTCTCTGTTCAAATTTCCCCTCTTTATAAGAACACCAATCATACTGGAGTAGGGGCCCACCCTACTCCACTATGACCTTAACTCATTACATCTGCAGTGACTTTATTTGGAGAGTTAGGGTTAAGTACATGGGATTGGGACTTCCACATATGAATTTTGTGAAGAACACAATTCAACCCGTCACAGATGTAAGTTATGCTTCTCTTTGCAAGACAATATCAGCAGCTGGTACTGGGGAATATGAGTTCTCTGGCCCTGTTGGTGGGAGAAGAATAGGCTGGCCTTTGTGAATGGAAGGTTGAACCAAACACATGGCTTATGAAGTGGGGAAGGACAGGACCTAGGTTCAAATCCCAACCTCCCATGTAATGAGGAGAACAGCTACCATTGTTTGCACACTGATTGAGCCAGCACCATGCTCAACATTTTGCATAGAGCATGTTAGCCATAAACCTCACAGCATGACAACTATAAAGTGCACATCATTTGCAGTTTACAGATGAGGAAACTGAGCCTCGTAGCTGCTCAAAGACACACAGCAAGAAAGTGGCAAAGCCAAGATTTAAATCCAGGACTGACCCTATGGCTTTTCCCCACCACATTTGGAGCCCCTTTTCTGAACCTGTTTCCCTGTCTCTAAAATTGAGCTAAAACAGAGTTGTGAGGATTAAACAAGATCTCTTACCATCTGGCTCATAGAACATGCAGACTAAGATTTTGTTTTTCTCTTCCCCACACCTATGCCCACAGAGGGTGTTGTATGGGTGGAGGCTTTTTCAGTTGCCCTTTTCAGAGCAAAGTGACCAGCCCTTCCTGCTCTCAGCCCCTGTGGCTCCATTACAGCAGTTGTGAGCTCTTGGGCACATGCCTGACCCTCCAATACTGCCACTTGAACATGAGTTTTCTTTTACTGAGACAGGATCTCACTCCATTGCCTGAGCTCTCCAGCATGAGACTGCAGTGGCACAATCACAGCCCACCATAGCCTCCACCTCCCAGGCTCAGGTGATCCTCCTGCCTCAGCCTCCCAAGTAGCTGGGACTACAGGCACATGCCACCATGCCCGGCTAATTTTTTTTTGTAATTTTTTGTAGAGATGGGCTCTCACTATGTTGTCCAGGCTGGTCTTAAATGCCTAGGCTCAAGTGATCTGCCCACCCCAGCCTCCCAAAGTGCTGGGATTACAGGCATGAGCCACCACACCCAGCTGAACATGAGTTTTCAAAGGATGATATGATCCAGCACTGAAGAAGCACCCATCAAAATAGAATGATGTGATTGATGCATAAATCAACAGAGATAAGTGGAAGATTGCAAGACAGGGAGAGTAGATAGATGGGTAGAAGCAAGGAAAGAAAGATATATGTAATGAATTAGATGGGTGGAAGGTTGGATGGATGGAAATTTGGATGGATAGGTGGAAGGATAGATGATGGAAGGTTGGATGGACAGGTTTAAGAATGGATGGATGACAGGTTGTATGGATAGGTTGAAATACAGATGGATGGAAAGGACAGGTTGAAATAAAGATGGATGGAAAGCTGGATGGACAGGTAGAAGTACAGATGGATGGAAGGTTGGATGGATAAGCAGAAGGATGGTCAGGGAGAAGATTGGATGGATAAGTGGAAGGATGGATGATGGAAGGTTAGATGGATAGGTGGAAGGCTGGATGGATAGGTGGAAGGCTGGATGGATGGAAGGTTGGATGGATAGGTGGAAGGATGGATGGATGGAAGGTTGGATGGATAGGTGGAAGGATGGATGGATGGAAGGATGGATGGATAGGTGGAAGGATGGATGATGGAAGAACTTTTTTGGTTTTTTGTTTTTGTTTAAATATTTGCAAATCATTTATCTGATGAAGGATTTGTATCCAGAATATACAAAGAACTCTTAAAAGTCAACAAATAACTCAACTGAAAATGAGCAAAGGATTTGAACAGACACTTCTCCAAAGAAAACACATTAATGTGCCAATGAGCACATGAAAACATGTTCAGCAGCATTAGCTATCAGGAAATTCAAATGAAACCACAATGAGACACCACTTCACACCCAGTAGAATAGTTAAAATTTTAAACATAGATATAATAATAAGTGTTGGTAAGGATGCGGAAGTATTGGAACCCTATACACTGCTGGTAGGATTGTAAAATGGTACAGCTACTTTAGAAAACAGTTTGGCGGTTCTTCTCTAAACACAGAGTAATCATATGACCCAGCAATTCTGCTCCTACATATAGATGAAACCCTTTTTCTTGGGGTTCTAGGACGACTTGGCCTGCAGGACAGAGCCCGGCACGCAGGGCCTTTGCGTCTTTTCCCACAAGAAGCGTGGACCATTTCGCCCATCCCAGCCCTACTGGCTTCAGTTTCCCCTCTATGAGAGCCCGCGGGTCTCCACCTGAGAGAATGCAGGTGCTCCCGCGCCGGGAGTGGGCGGGCAGAAGAGCGGGCGGGGGGCGGTCCGGATGCCTCGTCCCGCCCCGCCCCGCCCCTTTCTGCCCTCCTCGGGAGAAGGAGGTGGCCCGGTGGCCCTGGCGGCGCGGAGACTGGCGCAGCGCGGGGAGCACGCAGCGCCGCGGGAGCCCGGGCCAGGTGAGCGAAGCCCGGACGCGGGCCAGGGAGGGACGCAGGTGCTGGAGGGACAGGGAGGGTGAGGGAGCCAAGAGGGGAGGGGACCCCCACCCTGGAGCTGCCCGCGAGCCCAGCGCTCTCAGGGTCAGTCCCTGATGCTCCCCACCCTTTTGCCAGTTCCTTCCACCAAACCCGCTTTTGGGGTCCCCATCGACCTGGATTCCGGCGGAGACACTGTCTGTGACTCCATCAAAGTTTCCTCATGTTCTCTGGGCCTCAGTTTCCACCTCTGGGTAATGGGAACCATAGCCTGTACTTCACTGAACTTCCAAAAGAATGAGTGAAGCCATGTCCAGGGTGGGTCTGGCGCGCGACCATAGCACAGCCAGATCCCGAACACGCCCCAGAGATTTTGTTCACCCAGCAGCATTTGCTGGCCGCCTGCTTTGCGCCAGGCACTGTTCTAGGTGCTGGGACACTCCAGGGAATGAAATCCTCCTGGAGCTTTGCAATCTAGCCTCGCAAGGCATTCTGGCGTCTGTTTTCTCATGACCACCCTGTGAGGAGCCAGAGCAGCCAGAAATATTTGGGTCCATTCGCGGTTGTGGGTACTAAGGTACAGTGAGGTTTTAAGGCCCTTACCCAAGGGCACACCCCAATAAGTGAGTATCCAAGGCTGAGTCCAGCCTTTGCCACAAAAGGCATCCTCTTAGGGTAGAAAGTCAGCTCTGGTCCCATAGACCCTTCCCCAGAACAGAGTCCTCTGGGCCTGAGTACAGGAGGAGGGCTCGCTGTGGGGCTGCATCCTCTCCTCTCCCTCTCGGGGATTTAGGCCCCTGCTCATGATGGTTTGCAGTCTCTCTCATTAAATCCATGAGTGGGCTGGGCGCAGTGGCTCACGCCTGTAATCCCAGCACTTTGGGAGGCTGAGGGTGGCAGATCACTTGAGACCAGGAGTTTGAGACCAGCCTGGCCAAAATGGTGAAACCCCCGTCTCTACTAAAAATACAAAAATTAACCAGGTGTGGTGGCGCGTGCCTGTAGTCCCAGCTACTCGGGAGGCTGAGGGAGGAGAATTGCTTGAACAAGGCAGGCGGAGGTTGCAGTGAGCCAAGATCACACCACTGCACTCCAGCCTGAGCAACAGAGTGAGACTCCTTCTCTAAATAAATAAATAAAGCCATGAGTGTTCGTGCTTATACGGGGCAGGACTGTATTCCTCACCCAGACATTTGGTGAGCAGGGCAGTAACAGAGGAAATTAAAAATACAGCCCCTCTAGCTGCCAGAGTCCCTGCCCTGTGACCACCACCAGCAAAAAAACATGGGGCTCATCAGTCCAGTCACTCAACAAATACCCGTTCTTTCATGCAGCCAGTATATGCCATGCAGGGCAGAGATGCACCTATCTGTATATGTAGGGCCTGGCGCACAGAGGTCCCTAGCACATGGTTGCTGTTGTTACGGTTAATGATCACCTAGCCCTGGTCATCCAGCCTCATCCTCAGGTGGAGAGGGAGGTCGGGAGGGGGGTGGGGGGATGGACGATGGTGACAGTGACTGACAGCCTGGCTTGCCCTGAGTCTAGACTGAGGGCTGGGCACAGTGGCTAACGCCTGTAATCTCAACACTTTGGGAGGCCAAGGCAGGAGAATTGCTTGAGTTCCAGGAGTTCACTACTAGCCTGGGCAACAGAGTGAGACTCTGTCTCAAAAATTAAAAAAAGATCTAGGGAGCTGGATGCGGTGGCTCACACCTGTAATCCCAGCACTTTGGGAGGCTGAGGTGGGAGGATCACTTGAGGTCAGGAGTTCAAGACCAGCCTGGCCAACATGGTGAAACCCCATCTCTACTAAAAATGCAAAAATTCACCAGGCATGGTAGCATGCACCTGTATTCCCAGCTGCTTGTGGGGCTAAGATGGAAGGATCGCTTGAGCACAGAAGTTTGAAGCTGCAGTGAGCTATGATTGTGCCACTGCACTCCAGCCTGGGCGACAGAGAAAAGAAAGTAGTCTGAGGCTGCAAAGAACAGGATCCTCAGTGCTGTCCCCCTAGGCCCATAGACCAGACCCTAAAGCCTGCAGAGGGATTGGGCAGAACGTGTGGTACCAGCCACCCACACTACTGTCGGACCTTGGAGGACCAGAGGCGTCAGGCATCAGGGTGGAGACAGGCACAGCACTTGGAGTCATGTGCAAGTTTCCAGGGTGCAGAGTCCTTTTGGATCCATGTGGATTCTCCTCCTCCTCCTCTTTCTCTTCCTCCTCTTCCAGAAGGCTCTCCCAATCTCCCCAGTCAGAAAGCAGCCACCTCCCAGTCTGGTGAGGTTCCCGCTGGATGATTTGCCCTGTCTTCCTTTGGTACTCCATGGAAACTGGAATTTTAAGGAACTGGTAGATAAGTCAGGAATGCTTAATGTCAACCTCAGTTACACAGCGTGACTTTGGGCCTCAATTTTCTTAGCTCTAAAATCCAAGTCTTGGCTGCCTTGTCTCTGACTCTGTGCAGAGGACAGCAGCCACACTGGAGTTTTTTGTTTGTTTGTTTGTTTGTTTGTTTTTGAGACTGAGTCTCATTCTATTGCCCAGACTGGGGTGCAGTGGCACCATCTCAGCTCACTGCAACCTCCGCCTTCCAGGTTCAAGCAATTCTTGTGCTTCAGTCTCCTGAGTAGCTGGGATTACAGGTGTGCCCCACTACACCCGGCTAATTTTTGTATTTTCAGTAGAGACAGGATTTCACCATGTTGGCCATGCTGATCTCCAACTCCTGGCCTCAAGTGATCCGCCCACCTCAGCCTCCCAAACTGCTGGGATTACAGACGTGAACCACCACGCCGGGCCCACACTGGAGATTCTTGAGATTCTGAAAGGGGCAGGTTCCCTGGGAACTCAGAGAATTTCTAATTTCCACCTGGAGTTCCCCTCAGTCCTAGAGGTCTAATAATTTATGTGACTTGAAACGATTCTAGAGCATTCTTTCTTCTATTTTTTTTCCCACAGGTGGTCGGTTTCTGGGTCTGCATGGCTCAGTAGAGGATGAAGTCCAACCCCCCACGCTCCTCCCTAGAGGCCTGCAAAGCTGCAGGCCAGGGTGAGAAGAGCTGCCCTGTCTGCCAGGCCTGTGGAGAGGTCTCAGGTCCAAGGTCTGGCTCAGGGTCTGAGTCAAGGCCTGCACCAAAGCCTGGTGCCATTCCAGGGCCTGGACTGGGGCCCAAAGCTATTCCAGGACCTCAGGCGGGTTCTGGTACTGTTCCGAGGCCTGGTGCTATTTCAGGGACTGGACCAGGTCTAGGGCCTGGGCCAGGAGCTGGGTCTGTACCTGGGCCAGGAGCTGGGTCCGTACCTGGTCTAGGAGCTAGGTCCGTACCTGGGCCAGGAGCTGGGTCCGTACCTGGGCCAGGAGCTGGGTCCGTACCTGGGCCAGGAGCTGGGTCTGTACCTGGACCAGGAGCTGGGTCGGGACCTGGTCTAGGAGGTGGGTTGGGACCTGGTGTAGGAGCTGGGCCAGGAGCTGGGTCTGTACCTGGGCCGGGAGCTGGATCGGTACCTGGGCCGGGAGCTGGATCGGTACCTGGGCCGGGAGCTGGATCAGTACCTGGGGCAGGAGCTGGGTCTACACCTGAGCCAGAGCTAGGGCCTGGGCTCAGACAGGGGTCTGGGACTGGGCCCAGACCCAGTGAGTCAACAACAACCCCAACACCAGCGCCGCAGCAGAAGACTCAAGCCAAACCTACAAAGGCTGCCAGGCAGAAGGTTCTAGTGACTGGAGGAGGAGGCTACCTGGGCTTCAGCCTGGGATCCCACCTAGCCAAGAGCGGCACTTCCGTCATTCTGCTTGACCGCCGCAGACCCCAGTGGGAACTGTCCCCGGAAACCAAGTTCATCCAGGTACAAGGAACAAGGGTCTTAATAGACTGGGGCAGTGGTGATGGTCAGGGGACAGTGTTTGATGTGAAACCTGTGGTGTGGAGTTTAGGGGCACACTGTTTGAAGCCAGACTGTTTGAGCTATAGCTCTGGCTCTGGTGCTACCAGCTGGGTAGCTATGGTCACAGAAAGGGGACAATAGTAACCAACACCTACTTCACAGGGTCTCATTGGGAGTTGATGAGACAGTGCACATAAACCTAGCACAGCCCCTGTCACCTACAGAGCGTGATGAATGAGCACGGGATGTTGCTCACGGTGCCCTGTAGAATCATTTAGTGAATCCTGCCCCACCAGCCTTTCCTGATGCTACAGAGGCTTGGCCTGGGCTGGGTCAGGGGGCCAGTTCTGAGACCAGGCAAGGTGCAGAGGTGTTATCTCTTGCCTTGGACTTGAACCCCCTGCCCTCATCTCTTCTTCCTCTGGTGCAGGCTGATGTCCGAGATGAAGAAGCCCTGTACCGTGCCTTCGAAGGGGTGGACTGTGTCTTCCACGTGGCTTCCTATGGAATGTCCGGGGCTGAGAAGGTGGGCTCCTCACACACAACACCTGGAGTTAGACAGAGTGGGGTTCCAGTCCTGGCTCTGCCCTCACACCCATGCATTCCCTATCATGCTTCACCTATTATAGGAGGGACTTGGGCTACTCCCACCCTGCATCCTGCATCCATGACACCAAATACCAGTTCTGCCATTTTTTTTTTTTTTTTTTTTTTTTTTTTTTTTTTTTTGAGACTGAGTCTCACTCTGTCACCCAGGCTGGAGTGCAGTGGCACAATCTCAGCTCACTGCAACTTCCATCTCCCAGGTTCAAGTGGTTCTTCTGCCTCAGCCTCCTGAGTAGCTGGGATTACAGGTGCCACCAACACGCCCAGCTAATTTTTGTATTTTTAGTAGAAACAGGGTTTCACCATGTTGGCCAGGCTGGTCTCAAGCTCCTGACCTCAGGTGATCTGCCCGCCTTGGCCTCCCAAAGTGCTGGGATTACAGGCAGGAGCCACCGCACCCGGCCCCATTTCTGCCATTTTATAACTGTGTTATCTAGGGCAAGTTTATTTAACCTCTTTGATCCTCTTTCATCATCTGGAAAGTGAGGATATTACTATTGGTAATATCACAACCTCTTCAGAGAGCAATGTAATAGTATCCACCAAAACATATGTATACCCGTTGCCTCAGAAATTACACTCATTTGTGTATTTGCAGCATTGTTTTTAATAACAAAACACCAGAAATAACCTATCAGTTGAGGACTATTTAAATAAATTGTGTTTTACAGTCAAATTCTATGCAGCCATTCAAAAGAAAGAGGTAACTCAAAGTGTGCAGATTAAAAAAATAGTTTCCAAGGTGCAAAGCAGTGTTTGGCATTCTCCTGTTTGTTTCCAAAAAAAGCTAAAGAAACTATTTATTTCTATAGTCACACATGCTTATATGCTGATATTAATAAGAATAGATTATCTCGAGAAACACCGGAAATTTAACAGTGGCTGCCTCTGGGGAGGGAAAAGGAAGATTTGGAATCAGGAGTAGGAGGGAACCTTCTTTTTCACTATACACCCATTTTACTGTTTGAATTCTTTTTAACCTTGATCGTGTTGCCTATGAAACAAAAACAGCCACAACAAGAATAAATATAGAGCCAGGTGTGGTGGCTCACACCTGTAATCCCAGCACTTTGGGAGGCCAAGGTGGGAGGATTGCTTGAGCCCAGGAGTTCGAGACCAGCCTGGGCAACATAGTGAGACCCCTATCTCTATTTAAAAATAATAAAAGTAAATTTTATTATTTTTATTTATTTATTTATTTTTGAGACGGAGTTTCGCTCAGTCACCAAGGCTGGTGTGCAGTGATATGATCTCAGCTCACTGCAGCCTCCACCTCCCAGGCTCAAGCGATTCTTCTGCCTCAGACTCCTGAGTAGCTAAGATTACAGTTGCACGCCACCACACCTGGCTAATTTTTGTATTTTTAGTAGAGATGGGGTTTTGCCATGTTGCTCAAGCTGGTCTCAAACTCCTGACCTGAAGTGATCCGCCCACCTCGGCCTCCCAAAGTGCTGGGATTACAGGCATGAGATACCACACCTGGCCAAAAATTTTTAAAAGAATAAATATAGGCTGGAAGCAGTGGCTCATGCCTGTACCCCCAACATTTGGAGAGGCCAAGGCAGGTGGATCACCTGAGGTCAGGAGTTTGAGACCATCCTGACCAACATGATGAAACCCCATCTCTACTAAATACAAAAACATTAGCCAGGCATGGTGGTGCATGCCTGTAATCCCAGCTACTTGGGAGGCTGAGGCAGGAGAATCATTCAAACCCGGGAGGCAGAGGTTGCAGTGAGCCAAGATTGTACCACTACACTCCACCTTGGACAACAAGAGCTAAACTCGGTCTCAAAAAAATAATAATAATAAATATAGCTTAAAAATAAGCATGGAGCTCATCTCCTGGTGTGATGAGAATTAAATGAGATCATGGATCAGGAAGTTCTTGCCCTGTTCCTGGCCCACAGGAGCCCTCACAGCGGCCTAATTTTTGTTTTTCACATCCCAGCTCCCTCGTGAGGGCCCAGCCCATATTACCATGTTCACCTTACAGATAGGGAAACTGAGGCTTTGAGAGTAGGAAAATGACCCAACAGGTTCTGAGCCCATCTTCTGTGCCAGGCACTGTACCAGGTCCTCTCAAGTGTCTTATTGAGTCCCGCCCACCACCCAGGGGAGGAGGTTGGCCCTCACTTTACAAATGAGGTTGCTGAGGGACAGATGTGTGGGCAGAACCTCCTCTGGCCACCCAGGAAGATGGTGGCAGAGCCAGGCACCCACACTCCAGGTGGGCCTTCGGGATCCCTGCCTCTGAACTGAACATCCTGCTGCCCTGTCCCACCTGACCCCAAGCTCAGCCTTCCAGCCTCAGCAAGAAGGCATGGGTAGCACCATGACTTTCTCACCTGTCTTGTCTTTTAGCTGCAGAAAGAGCAGATTGAGTCTATAAATGTTGGAGGCACCAAACTAGTGATTGATGGTAGGTGCTCAGAGCCGGGTATGACCTGCTGTGCCTCTCCCCCTCTCTCCCTTCTCCTGCTGCAGGCCTGGCTCCCAGGGTGTAGGGTCAAAGGGAGGGCCTGTGGGCAGCGCATCCTTCGTGCACTGCAGACCTCCCCAGGGCCCTGCATGGGTGTGTCAGTGTGGCCTTAGCATGTCTGGGAACATGGGGACCAGAGTTACCTCTCAGGGCTTAGGGACTGGAAAAAGAAAAGTTGCCGAAGCTGGCTGGGCGTGGTGGCTCATGCCTGTAATCCCAGCACTTTGGGAGACCAACAGGGGTGGATCACCTGAGGTCAAGAGTTCGAGACCAGCCTGGCCAAAATGGTGAAACCCCACCTCTACTAAAAATACAAAAAATTAGCCAGGCGTGGTGGCGGGTGCCTGCAGTCCCACCTACCTAGGAGGCTGAGGCAGGAGAATCGCTTGAATCTGAGAGGCAGAGGTTGCAGTGAGCCGAGATCGTGCCACTGCTCTACAGCCTGGGTAACAAGAGCAAAACTCCATCTCAAAATAAATAAATAAATAAAATTTAAAAATAAATAAATAAGTCTGGGCGAGGTGGCTCACGCCTGTAATCCCAGCACTTTGGGAGGCCGAGGCAGGTGGATCACCTGAGGTCGGGAGTTCGGGGCTAGACTGACCAACACGAAGAGATCCCATCTCTACTAAAACTACAAAATTAGCGGGGCGTGGTGGCGCATGCCTGTAATCCCAGCTACTCGGGAGGCTGAGGCAGGAGAATCGCTTGAACCTGGGAGGGGGAAGTTGTGGTGAGCCGAGATCGCGCCATTGCACTCCAGCCTGGGCAACAAGAGTGAAACTCCGTCTCAATAAATAAATAAATAAATAAATAAACAAACAGATAAATAAAAAGTTACTAAAGCACCAAAATCGCAGACCCATGTGTGGGCTGCCTGGGCATGTCCTGCCTTATCCCGTATGTCTTTGATTCTAGAGTGTCTTTTTCTAAGTCTCCATCCAGTGAGACCTTCTTCTGACCTGTCTCTGGCAAGGTAGCCCAGGGGTCCAAGCCACAATGAGAAAGAATAAGGAGCAGACCTGGCTCCCAGGGGCCCACAGAGCAGGAACTTGACCTGCACCCTAAGTTAAGGGCAGGAGACTCTTCCCTCCTGAACAGCTGTAGATTCTGGGAGGGTCCTGGGGGTCCAAGTTGTGTGTTGAAAACTTGGTAGAGATCTGCATGACACCTCCTCAGCCGACTCTATGCTCACTTGTGTCCCGTGTGTGTCTGTGTCTTTGCATGTGTGTGTGTGTTTATTTGTTGCTATGTGCACCTGCTGCTGCAGTCTGTGTTCGCCGGCGGGTTCCAAGGCTCATCTATACCAGCACTGTCAATGTTGCATTTGGAGGGAAGCCCATAGAGCAGGGCGATGAGGACTCTGTGCCATATTTCCCATTGGACGAGGTACCTGTCTTCCGGGAGAGGTGGGCAGGACCCGCGGGCCCGGGACCCACAGCTCAGAGGGGAGGGATGGGTGGAAGCAGGGTTGGTTTCACAACTCAGGATACGTCCTAGCAGGAAGGGGCTCCCAAAACTGGGTGGCGTCAGCACTCTCCTGTTTCAGTTGGTCACACCTGCAGGGGCATTGAAATCAGACAGGTCTGGCCTTAGCCTCAACCTGGCCGCATTCTACCCATGTGACCCTGACCCTGAGCAAATCACTTAAGCCCTTTGAGCCTGTTTTTTTTTCTTTTCTTTTCTTTTGTTTTTTTGAGACAGAGTCTCACCCTGTCCCCAGGCTGGAGTGCAGTGGCGTGATTTTGGCTCACTGCAACCTCTGCCTCCTGGGTTCAATAGATTCTCCTGCCTCAGCCTCCCAAGTAGCTGGGATTATAGGTGCATGCCACCACAACCAGCCAATTTTTGTATTTTTAGTAGAGACAGGGTTTACCATGTTGGCCAGGATGGTCTCCATCTCTTGACCTCGTGATCTGCCAGCCTCAGCCTCCCAAAGTGCTGGGATTACAGGCGTGTTGTTTGTTTGTTTTGTTTTGTTTTGAGACAAGGTCTTGCTTTGCTCTGTCACTCAGACTGGAGTGCAGTGTCATGATCTCAGCTCACTGCAACCTCTGCCTCCCGGGTTCAAGTGATTCTCCTGCCTCAGCCTCCCCAGTAGCTGGGACTACAGTCGTGCGCCACCACGCCCAGCTAATTTTTGTATTTTTAGTGGATACAGGTTTCATTGAGTTGCCCAGGCTGGTCTCGAACTCCTGGGCTCAATCAATCCTCCCTCCTGCGGCTGTCAAAGTGCTGGAATTACAGGCATGAGCCACTGCACCCGGACAAGCCTCTGTTTCTTCAACCCAGTATGGTAACACTATCACCATGGGGTTGTGCAGAGCAGGAAATAAGATAACCGATGTGAAAATGCCATGTGAACACAAAAGAGCCATGTGTAGGTAATTCATCCAGCATGTGTCCAGCATCAGCCTTGCAAGGACAGGTGTCTGGGGCTGGCAGGAGCCTCCCTGAGTCGGCTGCCCCTGGTCATTGTTACTGCTCCGAACCCAGTGCTCCTCTGCTCCTGTGGCTCTGGAAGGAGATGCACTGTTCTCCCACCCAGGGGGAGAGGAAAGGCCATGGGGCTCAGGGCCTGGCCATATCCCAGTGGGAGTCCCCAGGGAAGGTGCAGCCCTGGGGCTGGGCAGGCATTGCCAGCAGCATTGCTGACCCTCTCTGGTGGTTCTGTTTTTCCTGGCCTCTGGCAGCACGTAGACCACTACTCCCGAACCAAAGCCATCGCCGACCAATTGACCCTCATGGCCAATGGGATGCCTCTCCCAGGTGAGTATCATGGGGCTCTGCTTGTACCAAATGCACCTGCCCACTGCTGCCTCCTCCAAAATACATGTGTGATTCATGCTAACATGTGTCTGAGGCCCACCTTCCTTCCAAAGGACGGTTTCCCAGGGCCTTGCCCATTCATCATTCAGCACATTCTGAGCACCTGCTGTGTGGCTGCACCCCACCAGGGATACAGCCCAGAAGAAGTCAGGCCCAGTGTCTGCCCTTACATAGCTCACAGCTAGGTGGGGAAGAGACTTGAGCAAACCCAAGTCTCTCTCTTTTCTCCTGCACAGGAGTTGATCCAGTTTTAGGGGCCCTCTTTAGACAAAAGAGTACCAAATTATGAGTGTGGAATGAGATATAACACTTTGGAAGGGCCTGGCAAGGGAGAGGCCCAAAAGCTCAAGCTTCAGCAACTTCCCAGTAGAGTCTACCTTGGCTGTCTTAGTTATTTATTTGTTTTAGAGATAGGGTCTTGCTCTGTTGCCCAGGCTGGAGTGCAATGGCACAATCATAGCTTACTGCAGCCTCAAACTCCTGGGCTTAAGTAATCCTCCTGCCTCAGCCTCCCAAGTGGCTGAAACTGCAGGTGTGTGCCACCATTCCAGGCTTATTTTAAATTTTTTTGTAGAGATGGGGTCTCACTATGTCATCCAGGCTGGTCTCAAACTCCTGGCCTCAAGTGATCTTCCTGCCTCGAACTCCCAAATGCTGGGATTACAGGCATGAGCCACCATGCCTGGCCTTGGCTGCCTTTTTATATTGCCTCTTCTGGTTATAGATGAGTAATAGTAGAAGGCAAATAGTCCGTATTTCTTGAGTGCACACTACATGCCAGGCCCTATTTTGCATGCTATTTTTTTCTTTCAAATACAATTATTAATCTCTTATTTTTTTTTCTTTGAGAAGGAGTATTGCTCTGTCACCCAGGCTGCAGTGAAATGGTGTGATTTTGGCTCACTGCAACCTCTGCCTCCTGGGTTCAATAGATTCTCCTGCCTCGGCCTCCCGAATAGCTGGGACTACAGGTGCATGCCACCACACCTGGCTAATTTTTGTATTTTTAGTAGAGATGGGGTTTCACCATGTTGGTCAGGCTAGTCTAGAACTGCTGACCTCAAGCGATCCACCTGCCTTGGCCTCCCAAAGTGCTGGGATTATAGGCATGGGAGTCTGTGAGCCACCACACCTGGCCCCATTCTTTATTCTACTTTTCCCTTTATTTTAATTTTATCTCATTTTTTTATGGATTCTCCTCCCACAGGTTGCTAACTTTATATGCAAAGGTCTGATTAACCCTTCACAGTACCCCTTTTAGGTAAAAACCATAGATATCCCTTGCTTTCTAAGCTTCAGAACCAAATTTATTCAAATAAATTTCGTGCTATCCAAATTATCACTATTTGGGCCGGTACAGTGGCTCACGCCTGTAATCTCAGCACTTTGGGAGGCGGAGGTGGGTGGATGGCTTGAGTTTAGGAGTTCGAGACCAGCCTGGAGAACATGGCAAAACCATGTCTGTACAAAATATATATATATGTATATGGGCTACGTATATATATGTGTGTGTGTATATATATATATATATATATATAGCTTTCTAAAATTCAGAACGTAAAAAGAATCAGATAACTTGGTTTCCCTTCACTATCAAAACTATCTAAACTTGAGAGCCAGGTGGATTTGGAGAGTCGGAGGCTTAAAAATTATAATCCTCACTGGGTGCGGTGGCTCACACTTGTAATCCCAGCACTTTGGGAGGCTGAGGCGGGCGGATCACAAGGTCAGGAGTTCAAGACCAGCCTAGCCAATATGGTGAAACCCCGTCTCTACTAAAAATACAAAAAAATTAGCTGGGCATGGCAATGCGTCCCTGTAATCCCAGCTACTCAGGAGGCTGAGGCAGGAGAATCCCTTGAACCCAGGGAGCAGAGGTTGCAGTGAGCCGAGATTGTGCCACTACACTCCAGCCTGGGAGACAGAGCGAGACTCCATCTCAATAATAATAATAATAATCCTCAATGTACAGGTGAGAAAACAGACAGATGAACTGACCTCACTCAAGATCATCCAGCTGTTAGGTGGTAGAGGTGGGATTTGAACCCCAGGAGAGTTTAACACCAGAGCCTGGGGCCTAATCACTGTGCAGTGCTGCAGCCCCAGCTGAGCAGGTCCCTGAGCATCAACTCTTTTCCCTAAAATCTTCCCCACCCCCAGCCCCCACCCTACTCCCCATCACCCTGGGCCAGTTAGGCCTGGACCCCTGATTCCAGTAGAAATATCCAGCTGTTCTCCCAGGAGTTTCAACCTTGTGCAGTTGAATAATATTTTCTCTACCTGGGGCCTCTGCCAGCCAGCCCAGTAGCCTGTACTCTAGACACCTAATCCTCCAGCCAAGAATTATTTATATGAGCATCTGCAGCTTTCCATGGTCAGGAGAGTCATGGATACCCTGGCCCTCCGTGAAGTAGCTGTTCAATGCCCCGCCTGCCAACGTCAGCTGCAACCCGACCTCCCCCCACTATGCCCAGGTGACCCAGAGTTTAAAATTAGCTGCAAGCTGTTTACAGGAAATCTCACCCAATATCTGCCTTCCAGGAGTCCCGCTGCAGTCACCTGGGGTCATTTCCACTCCCTACTATCCAAGCGGGTTCCTGAAACTGTTCTTCTGACTCGGCGCAGAGGTCCGTAGTCCTGGGAGCAGAGTCCTGAGGCGTGCAGATCCTAGCTCAGTGTTAATGCAGTTATGTCCTCCCGTCTTCTGTCTCTGGGTGTGTTAGTATCCTGTGGCAGCTGTGACAAATGATGCCACCCAAACTTGATGGCTTAAAACAATAGAAATGGGCCGGGCATGGTGGCTGACACCTGTAATCCCAGCACTTTGTGAGGCCAAGACGGGAGGACTGCTTGAGCTCAGGAGTTCAAGACCAGCCCGGGCAACATGGCAAAACTCCATCTCTACAAAAAAATACAAAAATGACCTGGTGTGGTGGTGCACACCTGTACTCCCAGCTACTCGGGAGGCAGAGGTGGGAGGATCACCTGAGCCCAGGGAGGTCAAGATGGCAGTAAGCTGTGACCCTCTCTCAAAAACAAATGAACAAAAGACAATCGTTTCTTCTCTCACCATCCTGGAGGCCAGAGTCTGAAATCAAGGTGTCTGCTGGGCTGTACTCCCAGAGGCTCAAGTAGGCTACACTCCTTCCTTTTTTTTTTTTTTTTTTAGTCTCCCAACCACTTGGGAGACTAAGGTAGGATGATTGCTTGAGCCTGGGAGGTTGAGGATGCAGTGAGCCATGACGCACCACTGCATTTCAGCCTGGGTGACAGAGTGAGACCCTGTCTCTAAAAATAATTAATTAAATAAGTCATTTTAGGCTGGGCACAGTGGCTTACGCCTGTAATCCCAGCACTTTGGGAGGCTGAGGTGGGTGGATCACCTGAGGTCAGGCATTCAAGACCAGCCTGGCCAACATAGCGAAGCCCCTCCTCTACTAAAAATACAAAAATTAGTGGGGCGTGGTGGCAGGTGCCTGTAATCCCAGCTACTCGGGAGGCTGAGGCAGGCGAATCACTTGAACCTGACAGGTAGAGGTTGCAGTGAGCCGAGATCGTGCCATTGCACTCCAGCCTGCGCGACAGAGCAAGACTCTATTAAAAAAAAAAAAAAGTCATTTTAAATATTTTCTAAAACTCTTTTTTAAAAATAGTTATAGTGTTCTATAGCACTATATAGTGACTATAATTAACAACTATTTATTGTGTATTTTCAAATAGCTAGAAGAGTGGATTTTTTTTCTTTGGGACAGGGTCTCGCTCTGTCGCCCAGGCTGAAGTGTAGTGGCGCTATCATGGCTCACTGCAGCCTCAAAGTCTTGGATTCAAGTGATTCCCCCACCCCAGCCTCCAAGAACATTGGGCCTGTAGGTGCACACCATGGTGCCTGGCTAATTTTTTTTTTCTTTGTCAGAGATGGGGGTCTCGTTTTATTGCCCAGGCAGTAGATGTGAATGTTCCCAAGACAAAGAAATGTATTAATAGATATGCTCATTACCCTGATTTGATCATTACACACTGTATGCATGTAGGTAAAAACCTTAGGTATCCCTTACGCTCTAAACTTCAGAGCCAAAACATCACACCTTACCCCACAAATATGTACAATTATTATATGGCAATAAAAATAAAAGAAAAATTTTTTAAATCTTAAACATGAATTATGAGGATAAACTGAATACTTTGTAGGTGTTATTTTATTTTATTTTTTAATAAATAGTAGAGACTCACTATGTTGCCCAGGCTGGTCTCGAACTCCTGGGCTCAAGCAATCCTCCTGCCTTGGCCTCCCAAAGTGCTGGGATTACAGGCGTGAGCCACTGCTCCCAGCTAGTAGTAGGTGTTCTTAAGACAAGACTGACATATGTCTGTGGCAGCCCTTCAGACTGTAACCCCAGACCGCCCCAGGAGATACATGTTCACCTGCTTCTGCCATTTGGGTCCCTCCAGTGGAGAATTTGGGAAGCCCTAGATTGAGCTCTGTCAGGGTCTGGGGAACTCCGCTGAGATAGAGCAGTGAAAGGGGTACAGACCCCGGCTCTTTCCTTTCTCCATTGATTGGAAAGTGTAGCAGCTGCTGCCACTTCCAAAGCACCCATTTTCCATGTGAGGAAACCAAGGCTGAGCTGGCTAAAAGACAGGGTTCACTGTTTGCCTTACTGCTGAGAAGCGGAGGTATTAGTGGAAACGGTGTGGACTTCAGGTCCCCATCTCAGCTCCACTGCGCTGATCTGTGTGACTGGAAGCAAATCACATCCCTTCTCTGAGCTGTGGTTCTTTTATCCATAGGCAGGGATTATAACATCTCCAACCTTGGCGTATCAGAGCACCAGGAACATAGAAGGACCTCTCTGAGAGTCCTTGTCTCTTAGATATCTATTATATAGTCCTTATCTATACATAAGGACCTCTCCTGGTCCTTATCCAACTGCTGATTAGAAAAAGGGAGAACAAGGCCGGGCGCGGTGGCTCATGCCTGTAATACTAGCACTTCAGGAGGCCAAGGCGGGTGGATCACCTGGGGTCAGGAGTTCAAGACCAGCCTGGCCAACATGGTGAAACCCCGTCTCTACTAAAAAATACAAAAATTAGCTGGGCATGGTTGTGGGCACCTGTAATCCCAGCTACTTGGGAGGCTAAGGCAGGAAAATTGCTTGAACCCGGGAGATGGAGGTTGCAGTGAGCCAAGATTGCGCCACTGCATTGCAGCCTGGGCGGCAGAGCAAGATTCCATCTCAAAAAAAAAGAAATAAAGAAAGAAAAAGAAAAAGGAAAAGGAAAAGGAAAAAGAGAGACCAAGAGCTATGGGCATGAGGGCATGTGCATCTATGTGCATCTGTAAAATGGGCACAGTAGTACTCTCAAGGGGCATCAAAGAAAATCACTCTGCCGAGTGCTTGGTAAACAGACCGGCCGTGCAGATGTTTGCATCTGGCTCTTACCTTTGTGACTGCACTGTGAGCAATGGGAGGGCAGGGACCATTTATTGGTCATCCTTACATTCTTCACAGGATCCATCCAGGGTGGGGGGCAGGGGGATTGGAGGTGGGAGTGAGACTCTGAATAGTGTCTGTTGAATGACTGACTAAGAGAATAATAAATTGAACGAGGAAGCCCCTGGGCCGGTCTTCCCCTCTAGCCTGTCCAGGTAAGCACCAACAGATGGAGGTGGCCTCTCTCTCCCTCTCCCTGTGGGCTGCTCCTCCCCTGACCCCTGACCACGCTTCCCTGTGTGCTAGGAGGAGGCACTCTTCGGACGTGTGTGCTCCGGCCTCCAGGGATCTACGGCCCTGAAGAGCAGAGGCACCTGCCCCGTGTGGCGGTACGTCATCCCCGCCTTCAGGACCCAAGTCAGAGAAGGATCCTGGCTGAGGTGTACACTGGTCGGGCCCTCCCAGCCCCTGGTCGCTGCATCAGTCTCGAGGCTAAGTGTCCTGAGCCTGGAACCCTCAGTTCTACAAGATGTTCCTGCCCCCACTGGTCCACAGGCCCCTTGGAGCTCCTGGCAGGAACAGAGCTCTCAGAGTGTACCAGCCAAGCCAAGGCACGGGTAGAGGAGCCATAGAGCTGTGACCCCAAAAAGGCAGAAGAGAGCCTGTTGCCCTCACTCCCATGTGGGCTCCCTGAAGCCTGGATGGTTTATTCCATGCTGAGAGCACAAGTGTCTTCATACAGAAAGCCTCTAAAGGGTCGGGTGCCAGAAATACAGCTACAAGGGGCTATAGGCCCTGTCCTCGAATTTCTCAGGGAGACAGACACCACAGTCACAGCTTCAATGTGGGGAGGGCTGTGGAGAGAGGAGCACAAGAAGATGGGCCTGGCAGGGGAAACCCAGGAGGGCTCCCTGGAGGAAGTGATGTCTGTGTTGTTTGAAAAAAGAAAAAGGAATTAACCAAGGAAATGAAGTGGTAGAGAGAAGATAGGCCAAACAGAGGGGACAGCTTGGGCACAAACCTGGAAGTGAGAAAGGTCATGATTGTTTTAGGAAGCAGCAAGAGGTCCCTGTGGCTGGATCTGATCTGGGAGTACGGGATTATGAGGAGCTAGAGTTATTGGCGGGGAGAAGTTCCAGTCTGCAGTTTCAGAACATTCCTCTGCTTGGCTATATGTCTTTTTGTTTATAGTCAGGGTCTCACTGTATCACCCAGGCAAGAGTGCAATGGTGTGATCATGGCTCACTGCAGCCTCCACCTCCTGGACTCAAGCGATCCTCCTGCCTTCTGAGTAGGTGTGACTATAAGTGTGCACAACCATGCCTGATTGACTATTTTTATTTTTTGTAGAGATAGGGTCTCCTTATGTTGCCCAAGCTGATCTCAAATTCCTGGCCTCAACCAATCCTCCTGCCTCAACCTCCCAAGTTGCTGGGATGACAGGCGTGAACTACTGGACCCAGCAATCATTTTTTTTCTTTTGAGTTAACTGGGTTCTTAAGGAATGTGGTCAACCCCAGTGACTCTCTCCCCATTCATTTATTCATTCATTCAACGAATACTTACGAACTCCTAGTATGTGCCCCGCACTGTTCTAGGTTTGAGGACAGATCAGTGAACAAAACAGATGATTCCTGTCCTTGTGGCGTTTATCTTCTCATATGAAGAGACAGATAATGAACATGTTAAATTATAAGGTATGTTCAGGCCAAGTGCGGTGGCTCATGCCTGTAATCCCAGCACTTTGGGAGGCCGACAGGGATGGATCAATTGAGGTCAGGAGTTCGAGACCAGCCTGGCCAGCATGGTGAAACCCTGTCTCTACTAAAAATACAAAAAATTAGCCAGACGTGGTGGTGGGCACCTGTAATCCCAGATACGCAGGAGGCTGAGGCAGGAGAATCGCTTGAACCTGGGATGGGGAGGTTGCAGTGAGCCGAGATTGTGCCATTGCACTCCAGCCTGGGCAACAAAAGCGAAACTTCATCTCAAAAAAAAAAAAAAAAAGAAGATTCCAGGCACTGTGGAGAAAAGGAAAAAGCGAGGTAGGGTGAGGGAATTGGGCTTGTCAGGTAGTCACGGGGGGGCTCATTTAGAAAGGGACATTTGAGCATCCACTTGACAGAGGTGACAAAGTCTGAAAGGCTCTTCCTCCAAATACCTTCCAGACAGTGGGAACAGCTCATCCAAAGCCCTGAGATGGGAACCTGCAGCAGTGTCCAGGAAGAGCAAAGGGGCGGTGCAGCTGTGGTGGAGCGAGTGAGGGGGTTTGGTAGGAGATGAAGTCACAGAGGAGCTGGGGCCAGATCAGGAAGGGTTTGACAGCCATTGTCAGGACTTCAGCTTCCAGCCTAGCAGGATGGGAGCCCCTGGAAGGTTCTGAGCCGTGGAACAACATGGTTGTACTTAGAATTTTTAAAGGTCCTCCTGGCTGGGCATGGGAGCACATGCCTATAATCTCAGCATTTTGGGAGGCTGAGATGGGAAGATCCCTTGAGCCCAGGATTTCAAGGCAGCAGTGAGCTATGATTGCACCACTGCACTCCAGCCTGGGTGACACAGGGAGACTCTATCTCTAAAAATAAAAGGATCCCTGGCTGAGCACGCTGGCTCATGTCTGTAATCCCAGCACTTTGGGAAGCCGAGGAGGGAAGATTGGTTGAGCCCAGGAGTTCAAGGCCAGCCTGGGCAACATAGTGAGATCCCCATTTCTACAAAAAAATTTAAAAAGTATCCAGGTGTGGTGGTATTCATCTATAGTCCCAGCTACTCGGGAGGCCAAGGCAGGAGGATCGCTTGAGCCCGGGAGTTCAAGGCTGCAGTGATTGCACCACTGAACTCTAGTGTGGGCAACAGAGCCCGACCCTGTCTCTAAAAAACTATGAAAGAATCAAAGGATCTGGCCCGGCATGGTGGCTCACACCTATAATCCCAGCACTTTGGGAGGCCGAGATGGGTGGATCACCTGAGGTCAGGAGTTTGAGACCAGCCTGGCCAACATGGTGAAACCCTGTCTCTACTAAAAATACAAAAATTAGCTGAGCATGGTGGTTTGTGCCTGTAATTCTAGCTCCTCAGGAGGCTGAGGCAGGAGAATTGCATGAACCCAGGGGATGGAGTTTGCAGTGACCAAGATCTTGCCACTGCACTCCAATCTGGATAACAGAGCAAGAATCTGTCTCAAAAAAAAGAAACAATCAAAGGATCTGCCTGGCTGGGCAGAGAACAGACTACAGGGGCTGAGGGTGGACAGAGGGGGACCAGTTAGGAAGCAACTGTGGCGTCCAGGTGAGAGGAGGGTGGCTGTCAGAGTAGCGAGAAGCTATCAGATTCTGGACAGATTTTAACAGTTGAACCAATTGGATTTGCAGGTGGGTTGGACATGGCGTTTAAGACAAGGGGGAGTCAAAGGTGGCTTTAGGGTTTTAACCTGAGTGGTAGAGTGAACTGACTGGTCCACTGGGAAGGGAGGGAGGAGCGGGGTGGGAGAGACGATCAGATGCTCGCTCCAGGAGCTGGTGAGTTTGAGTTTTCTGTTAGACAACCCGTTGCTGATATTCAGAGAGCATTGGATACATGAGCCTGGAGCAGAGGGGCCTGACCTGGAGCTAGAACCTGGGGAGTCATCAGCATCTAGACGGAATGTAAAGCCACACCGGACACAAGCCTGTTTATCACCCACTCCTCTCCACCAGGGCCACATCAAGAAGAGGCTGTTCATGTTCCGATTTGGGGACCACAAGGCACGGATGAACTGGGTCCACGTACACAATCTGGTGCAGGCACACGTGCTGGCGGCCGAGGCCCTCACCACGGCCAAGGGCTACGTGGCTGTGAGTCCCCTCTGATGCCCCCAACCACCTTCCCCACAGGGCTGCAGGCAGAGCGTCCCATCCCTAGGGGATTTCTGGATGGCACACAAGATTTCCCTCCAACTTAAGAAGGCTGGTGGGACTCTCAGCCCAGGGGAGCTTGGGGGAAGCAGGTAGGTGGGGTGTGGAGTTCTTTATAGAGCATCTTTAGCTCTTCTCTATGGCCATGTGAGGTTGGCGTTGTTGATCCCAGAATAACAGCTGCCAGATGCTAAGCCTCCACACATATTGTCGCATTTAATCTTCACAGTAGTCCAAGAAGGAGATCCCATTATTATCCTCCCATTTCTCAGATGAAGAAACTGAAGTACAGAGAGGTTAAGCAACTCCATGGAGGTCACACAGCTAGTCAGTGTGGTCGTCCTGGAATTCACAGGGAATAGTTCACGTGTGTCCTCAGGTATTGGAGCTGCTCCAGAGAACTCAGGGTTGGAGCAGCTGCTGGGAGCCATCTGGAAGGGTGGGGCAGGCTGCTGGGGAGAAGGCTGACCGTCCCCTCCCACATGTCCCCTTCAGAGTGGGCAGGCGTACTACATCAACGATGGGGAGAGCGTCAACCTCTTTGAGTGGATGGCCCCACTGGTAGGTGCACAGATGCCCACCCACCCCGAATGATCATTCTGGGATCCCTGACCTTCTCTTCCTTTTTATTTTTTTTTTTAATTTTTTGAGACAGAGTTTTGCTCTTGTCACCCAGGCTGGAGTCCAGTGGTACAATCTCAGCTCACTGCAACCTCCCCTCCCAGGTTCAAGCAATTCTCATGCCTCAGCCTCCCGAGTAGCTGGGATTACAGGCACACGCCACCACGCCCAGTTAATTTTTTGTATTTTTAGTAGAGATGGGGTTTCACCATGTTTGCCAGGCTGGTCTCAAACCCCTGACCTCAAGTGATCCACCCACCTCGACCTCCCAGAGTGCTGGGATTACAGGCATGAGCCACTGTGCTCGGCCTGCGGCCTTCTCTTCTTGTCCTTTTCGATTTCCAAAAAGCCAGAAGATTTCACGTCAAAAACCAACTCTTTGCCCAGTGAGGTGGCTCACATCTGTAAGCCCAGCACTTTGGGAGGCTAACACGGGAGGATCGCTTGAGGCCAGGAGTTTGAGACCAACCTGGGCAACAAAGCGAGGACCCCTGTCTCTGCAAAAATAAAAATTCAACTAGGCAGGCATGGTGTTGGCACACCTGTGGTCCCAGCTACTTGGGCAGCTGAGGCGGGAGGATCTCTTGAGCCCAGGAGTTCAAGGCTGCAGTGAGCTATGATTGCACCACTGCACTCCAGCCTGGGTAACAGAATAAGACCCTATCTCTAAAAATCAATTTTTTTAAAAAAACACCTCTGGCAACATTGGAACTGGCTGGAGCCCTTGAGGGGCGCCATGTGTTCCTCAGTTACCTGCAGTTCCCTTCCACCCTGCTTCCAGGCGTTTGTTTTGTTTCATTTTTTTGAGACAGTCTCACTCTGTCACCCAGGCTGGAGTGCAGTGGTGCGATCTCAGCTCACTGCAACCTCTGCCTCCTGGGTTCAAGCGATTCTCCTGCCGCAGCCTCCTGATAGCTGAGATTACAGGTGCACACCACCCTGCTCGGCTAATTTTTTGTATTTGGCTAATTTTCGTATTTTTAGTAGAGACAGGGTTTCACCATGTTGGCCAGGCTGATCTCGATGCTTCCAGATTTATGTTGGCTTCTAGCCCTGTGGAGTTTTGCTTGTGAGCCACCCATTATGTGTTGAGGCTCGGAAGGAGGCATGTGGAAGAGACAAAAGCGCAAGGGAGGTGTTTGGCTTTGGGGCCTCCCCACACGGCAGCCCGGGAACTCTGGTGTCCTCTCTGAGCAGCCCAGACTCCTAGCAGCCAGGCTTGCCTGGAAGGGGTAGACCAGAAAACCCAGGCTAAAGGACACAGGTTTCCTCTTGACCTGGAAAGTTTTTATGCCAGTGAAGAGTTCACCTTATCCCATGCCAGCCCATTTCTGCTGCATATCCTACCACCCTCCACAGAAAAGTCAATTCTGGAAAAATCAGATTCTACATAAATGCCTTAGAGTGTCTCTAGGTATAGACAGATGTAGGTGATAATTAAATGATGTGAATGATCCCAAGTTAAAAAGCTACCTGGCGGGTGTAATGGCTTATGCCTGTAATCCCAGCACTTTTGGGAGGCTGAGGCAGGAGGATCACATGAGGCCAGGAGTTCAAGACCAGCCTGAGCAACACATCAAGACCCCTGATTCTCTGCAAAAAAAAAAAAAAAAAATTTTAACTAACCCATGCTTTCAATTCCTCCTTGGGTTTTCTGGGTCAAGGTGCGGATTTCATTTCAATACTGGCACAGGCCTGGGGTTGGCTGCAGGGTCTGCCCCCTGGGGTGGGTTGGTGGGGAGACAGGAGGTACCTCTGCTGGTCCCCGGTAGAGGGAGCATGTGGTCTTTCCACACCAGCCCCTGAACCACTTGTTCTCACTCCAGGTCGTGTTTCTTTGCAGTTTGAGAAGCTGGGGTACAGCCAGCCCTGGATCCAGGTGCCTACTTCCTGGGTTTACCTGACAGGTAAGGAAAGGAGTGTGCGTAGTAAAGCCCTCCATGTGCCAGGTGTACCTTGCATTGCCTTAATTGAAACTCAGGGGCCAGGCACGGTGGCTCACGCCTGTAATCCTAGCACTTTGGGAGGCTGAGGCAGGCAGATCACCTGAGATCAGCAGTTCCAGACCAGTCTGGCCAACACAGTGAAACCCCATCTCTACTAAAAATACAAAAATCAGCCGGGTGTGGTGGCGCACGCCTGTATTCCCAGCTCCCTGGGAGGCTGAGGCAGGAGAATTGCTGTAACCCAGGAGGCAGAGGTTGCAGTGAGCCGAGATCCCGCCACTGCACTCCAGACTGGGTGACAGAGTGAGACTCTGTCTCAAAAGAAAAACAAGAAAAGAAAAAGAAACTCAGGCAGGACCAGGACTAGGGTGAGGACAGTGAGGCACTGTGGTCACAAAATTTAAGGAGGCCACGCAGCAGCTCCAAGCCTGAGTTTGCACTTGTCTGGTGCCGGAAGCAAGTGCCTCCTTAAATTCCACACCCTAGGTGTCTCACTTCCCTCACCCTAGTCCCACCTGCAAGGCAGCTATGATGGGCCCATTGTAAAGATGAGGTGACCCGAGGCTCTGAGAGGTTAGTGACTTTCTCAAAGTGCCACAGTGAGAATGCGGGAGAGGCGGAGAGGCGGAATTCACAACTGGGCTTGGTGGGCTCTTTGTGGTGCTGCTGGGAGGTCTCATGCCAGTCAGGAGGAGAGAGAACCCTGGGGCTGTTCTGTCCCCCAAGGTCACCCTGAAGTTAGGGCTACTTTAGGACAAACGGAGGCTCCATTTTGATCCTAGATTCTCCTCCTGTCCCTGAAGGTCAGTCTCTGCTCCCACCTCCACCCCCGACAATGCGTCTTGGCTGCTCCCCTTCCCTCTGTCCCCAGCACCCATACAATGGCCTCCTCCCAGCTGGAAGGCAGAGCAGCCTTCAGACATGGAGTGACCAGCCTGAGGGGATGGTGGCCCTCCAGTCCCAAATAGCTGTGTTCCAGGGACTCCTTGGCAGGATCTCTTGTGTTTTAAATGCATCGAGTGGCTTGCCATTAAAAGCAGGGGGTTGCAAATTTTTGTTCACCAGGGAACACATGCAGGGCAACTTCTCATGCACAGCATTGCCGCAGTGATTGGTACTCCCGGCCCTGAGCCACGGCCGATGGCACTTGGAGAGGATTGTAAAGGCGTTCCCAGTTCCCAGTGGGCTAACAGTAATTCAGTGCTTCTCAACCAGGGCTGCACTGCACAGTCACCTGGGAGCTTTTAAAATAGAGAAATGTCTCAGCCACACTACCGACCAATTAAATTGGGATTAGCAGGGAGGAAGTGGGAGGAAAGCATCAGTATTTTTTATTTTTTTAGAGTTAGGGTCTTGCACTGCCACCCAGGCTGGAGTGCAGTGGCATGATCATAACTCACTGCAGACTCAACCTCCTGGGCTCAAGCAATTCTCTGCCTCAGCCTCTCAAGCCTCTAGGACTACAGGCTCCTACCACCAGGCCCAGCTAATTTTTATACTTTAGTAGAGATGGGGGTCTTGCTATGTTACCCCAGCTGGTATCGAACTCCTGGCCTGAAGCGATCCTCCCACTTCAGCCTCCAGAGTAGTGGAGGTAACAGGCATGCACCTCCATGCCTGGCTATTTTCAAAAATTTTTTAGAGATGAGGGCGTCTCACTTTGTTGTCTAGGCTGGTCTTGAACTCCTGGCTCCAAGAGATCCTCCCTCCTCAGTCTCTTATGCTGGGATTACAGGCATGAGCCACCACACCTGGTTCTCACAAGTATTATTTTTAAATTGGTCCCACATGCAGCCCAGTTTGAGAACTGTTACTCCAACCTCTTTCTCTCCTACTCCAGAGAGCATTGGAGTAGAAGTGAGAGAGAGATTATTATATGGATAACTTTGAATCTGTTCAGATTTATTTAAAAACTTCAGTCGTTCAATTTTTTTTTTTTTTCTGACGGAGTCTTATTATGTTGCCCAGCCTGGAGTGCAGTGGTGCAATCTCAGCTCACTGCAATCTCTGCGTCCTGGGTACAAGCGATTCTCCTGCCTCAGCCTCCCCAGTAGCTGGGATTACAGGCATGTGCCACCACGCCCGGCTAATTTTTGTATTTGTAGTAGAGACAGGGTTTCACCATGTTGACCAGCCTGGTCTCGAACTCCTGATCTCAGGCAATCCGCCCGCCTCAGCCTCCCAAAGTGCTGGGATTACAGGCTTGAGCCACTGCACCCAGCCTGGTCATTTAATATTAAAAACAAGTTACTTGTGACATATTTCACAGCTAAACAAGGCACCCCAGCAAGGGCTGCTGATTTAAAGGAATCCAGTGACTTCTGCAAAGTGACCTCTAGCAAAGCAAATGGTGTCCCCCATTGATTTGTCCCCAAGGGCCTCCCTGGAGTTTGCATAATGTGAGGCCCCTGGTCACTGGCCCCCTCCTTCCCTGCAGCAGCAGTTATGGAGCGCCTCCATCTGGCCCTGAGACCCATCTGCAGCCTCCCACCGCTGCTCACTCGTAGTGAGGTAAGTGGGCTGCTGTTATGGGACCTAGGCCCTGCTCCCCATCCCTCCCTTCCTACCTCTCCCCACCATCCCCACTGCTGCCACTCCTTACCCCTTTGACACCATGATGACACATGCTTGTCTGAAGTCTCAGAACTTTCCATGTGGGCCCAAAGCTGGTGCTAGCTCTGTTATGATCACCCCAACCTCTGGGCTTTTGCTGAGGCTGTGCTTTCTGGGTCTGAAATGTGACAGCTCCAAGCCTATCCATCATCACTGTTTCTTCATTCATAAGCATCTTGTCTTTCCAGCCAGACTGGAGGTTCCCAAAGGCAAGTTTCAGGCCATTCACTTCTTTGAATGCTACCAATCCCACCAACTCTCAACACATACATACACACACACAACAGCCTGGTGGTCCTAGGCTCATAGTTCATGCTTACTGAATAATGAGTATATATTAAGTACCTACTACATACAGAATATAATTATTTTTATGAGACAGGGTCTCACTATATTGTCCAGGCTGGTTTCAAACTCCTGAGCTCAAGAGATCCTCTTGGCCAGGTGTGGTGGCTCGCACCTATAATCCCAGTGCTTTGGGAGGCTGAGACAGGAGGATCACTTGAGGCCAGGAGTTTGAGACCAGCCTGGGCAACATAGCAAGACCTCATCTCTACAAAAAATTTTAAAATTAGCCAGGCAAGGTGGTGCATGCCTTTAGTCCCAGCTCAGGTGGGGGATTACTTGAGCCCAGGAGTTCAAGGCTGCAGATTGCACCACTGTACTCCAGCCTAGGCAACAGATGGAGATCCTGCCCCTAAAAACCAAAAAAAAAAAAAAAGATTCTCCCCCCTCAGCCTTCTAAATAGCTGAGATTACAGGCATGCACCACCATGCCTGGCTCAGAATACTATTCTCATAATAATGATGATGCAGGTTTATATTTGCTTAGTTAAAAGAGAGGATGTTTTCATCACAGATTGTAAATAGCAAAGTAATCGGTGGTATTTGAGGTTATTTGCAAAAATCCTTCCAGTCCAGTCGGGCACGGTGGCTCACACTTGTTCCCAGCACTTTGGGAGGCTGAGGCGGGTGGATAACCTGAGGTCAGGAGTTTGAGACCAGCCTGGCCAACGCAGTGAAATCCTGTCTCTACTAAAAATACAAAAATTAGCTGGGTGTGGTGGCACATACCTGTAGTCCCAGCTACTCGGGATGCTGAGGCAGAAGAGTCGCTTGAACCTGGAAGGTGGAGGTTGCAGTGTGCTGAGACCACACCATTGTACTCCAGCCTGGGTGACAGCACAAGACTCCATCTAAAAAAAAAAAAAAAATTACTTCCAGTCCACTCTCGTTTTATTGTCTCTGATGCCCTGCTAAGTTAAAAAGGTCAAAAAAAAATCGTGATCTCCATTTTATGATGAAAAATTGAGCACTAGGAAAATTATTTGTCCAAGGCCACACCATACTGGAATTGGCTTCAGACTCCATGTTCAGTGCTCTTTAACAAGGGGAGTCAGAGGGGGAGAGTGGAGAATGGGCCACAGAAAGAAGTAGTCACCTATGGCTTCTCCTTTGAGCCATCCGGATCAGTGGAGGAGAGAATAAGATGATACTGACAATCTCTTGAGTTGTGACAGTATGCCAGGCACTGTGCTTTATCTCATTTAACTGAGTTGTAGACAACATTGTCCTCTCCATTTAGAGAGGAGGAAATGAGACACACAGTGAAATAACCTGCCCGTGATCACTCACTTAAATGGTAGAGCTGGGATTTGAACCCAGACCTCAGTGATTTCAAGCTTAACCATTAGCTTGTGAAAATGCATCAGGAATCACATCCACATAAAATAGCTGCCAGGGTGCAGCTGAATTGTGGTCAGGCAGGGACTTGGCTCCTCTCCCTCTTGTTTAACTTGGGGATTTCCTTGTTCAGCTCAGGGGCAATGTCCTTAACTGTGGAAGTTCCTTGGCTGTGGCTCGGGTACCCTCTGCTGGTCAATCTGTGACACATCAACCAGCCCTCCAGTTTGACTTTATAGCCTTTTATGCATTTAACATAAATGTTACCAGGCACTGTGCTGAGCAACGGAGGCAAGAAGACATAGTCCTTGCCCTTAGGGAGCTCCTAGTTCAAAGGGGAAGACAGCCCACTAACCAGGCAACTCAACACTGTAATTAGAGCCATTCTTGGGAAAATCGCGAGAAACTCCAGTGCACACAGAAGGGGCGCCTCAGCCAACTCTGAGGAAGTCAGAGAAAGCTTCCCAGAGGTGACATCTAGAGACATCTAGGTGTATTAGGGACCCTGCTTATCTAGCGTAACTCAACTCCTGTGCTCCCCAAAGCCCTGCACTTACTGACTAGGAAAAAAAGGGACAAATACTGGCCTCTCTCCTCACCCCCCATTAAGCATCCAAGACCACAGGTTTGACCCCAGGGGCTGTTTCAATGCCATGGGAGAATCCAGCAGCTGGTGGATTCTTCCCCAGGGTCCGGCTGAGGAAAAAGAGAGGAAGAAATGAGTCAGGTGGGAGAACATCTCCAGGTGCCAGCACAGCAGAGAAGAAATTAGGCTAGAACCTGGCTCCCCTGTGCGACCCCAGGCAAGTCACTCAACCTCTCTGACCTTTTTCCAAGTATGCACAGAACAGATAGTGCTAGTACCACCTGAGAGGATTAAATGAGGTAGGGCATAGAAAGGATTTAGTCCAGGCCAAATGCAGGGTGTGTGTTCCTTAACTGCTGATAGCTATCATTACTACCCTTCAAACCAGTGGGCCCCAAGCCATCTGGCAGCAGGGGAAACACAGCTTAGACCCTGGAGAGCAATCAGTTCTGCATAATCGAATTCCTCTCTTAGGGAAGCTTAGTTAATAAGCGAGGGCATGAAGGCTGCGACTGGGGCCCTCCTGGTCACAGTTGGTCTGGGGTTGGGGGCAGGAAGCCAAGGTCGTTTCCTGCAGATGTTTCTGGCAGGCGTTCACCTTCTCCTAGCGGATGCCTAAGAATGTATCAAGGGCCTCCTGAGTCCCAGCACCGTGCTAGGCCGGGAAGATGAGTGTAGGGGTGAGACCTTTGCTTCTTAGGGACCAAGGAGTTAAATAGGGTGCGAATTCAGCGGGGCTGGAGGGGGCGACGCAAAGGCGGCACCCTCCAATAAAAATGAACATGTAAGGAAGAAAGGAAGACCTCTCTAATGAGGGCATCGCAGGAGCAAGACGCTGCACTCGGGTCCTTTTAAATCACTATGTAATGGAGGGGAAATCCCTGCCCTCTCTTTTCCCTTTCCGTAAACAACGAAGTAGAGGATGTCCTCCTCCCACGAGGCCCGCCCTCGGATGCCCCGCCTGTCCCCGCAGGTGCGCAGCGTGGCCGTGACGCACACCTTCCAGATAGCCAAGGCCCGCGCCCAGCTCGGCTACGCGCCGGATAAGTTTAGGTTCGCCGACGCCGTGGAGCTATACGTGCAGTCCACGACCCGGCGGCCCCGCGGCTCCACGGCGCGGACCCTCCTGCGCCTGCTGCTCAGGCTGCTGCTGTTCCTCGGCTTGCTCGCCCTGGCCCTGCACTTCCTAGGCCTGCAGCCTCTGCACGCCGCCGTGGAGCGCCTGTGACCGTCCGCCGTCCGCCGCCCGCTAGGGTCGGCCCCGCTGCACCCTCGCCCACGCCCGGCTCCCTGGGCTTGTACCAGCCCCTGCCCCGCCTTCTGGGTTTGAGCGCGCCTCCGCTCCGCCCCTTGAATCCTGGTCACGCCCCCGAGCCGCTCTCCAGACCTAGCCCGGACCGCCGACTTCTGGCCACGCCCCTATCTACTCCCAGACCTTGCCTTGCGCCCTTCCTGTGTTTTGGCCCCGCCCCTGTCCTGTCCCGCCCCGCCCTCCGAAGTGGGCACGCTCCTGCTCCGCCCCCTGAATCCTGGCCACGTCCCTGGTCGGCCCAGACGCGTAGCCCCGAGTCTCTTTCCATGTTTTGACCACGCCCTTGACCCGCCCTTCAAATTGGGCACGCCTTCTTCCCCGCTCACTGATTTCCTGGCCTAGCCCCTGAGCAGACCTCCAGACCTAGCCCCGCCCCCGTTTTATAACCCCGCCCCTGCTTCACGGCTTGGGCACGCCTCTTCCCCGCCCCCTGACTTCAGAGCCTAGTCCTGAGCCGCTCTCCAGGCCTAACCCCGCCTTCATGTCATAGCCACGCCCCTTCCCGCCCTTCCATGTTTGGGCACGCCTTCTGAGTCCTGGTCACGCCTCTGTCCCGCCCCCTGAATCTTTCCTACGTCCATGACCCTCCCTCCAGGCCCTGGCCCTGCCCCTTTTTTCCTCCCTCCGGCCTGTCCGGTTTCTGATATGGGCCAAGGCTCACAGCTTCCTCCGCCTTCTGGACCTTCTCCTAGTCCCTGCCCAGTCCCGGCCCACCCCCAGATTCTCCCTCATTCTGGTTTCGCCCCCTTTCTGGTCCTCCCCGCGCGCTTGAGCCCACCCTTTGGCTTCTCCTTTTGGGTCTGTCCTTGCTCCTGCCTCTGGACCCGGTCCCGCCCTTCTCGCGTGTAATTGAGTCCTGGCCCCGCCCCCTCCCTCTCTGGCTTCACCCCTTTCCAGCTCCGCCTCCCGGGTAGGTTCTCCCCGGAACCAGGCTGCCGCGTCGCTATGGGCTAACGCAGGCTCGGGTGACGTTGGTATGAGTTTGCGCCGTCGGCTGCTGCTCTGTCTGGTAACATTGCATTCGATCCACCCCGACCCAATGTTCTGGGCTTCTCATTCACACAGATCTGTGTGTTGACAGCCAGGGTTTGGGGAAAAACCGAGACTCAAGCTTCTGCCGAGCCCGACTTGGCCTTTTTGGGTTCCTGTCTGAGGATGACAGCATAGTAAGCACAGGTTTTAGTACCAGAAAGAGCATGAAAAATTAAAAAAAAAAAACTCTTAAAATAATTGGATGTCTCGATGAAGTACCAATAAAGCTATAATGGGAAAAATAGAGTTTAGTTGGTTATATTTTATGATTTAGTACTGTTTCTATTTATTAATTAGAGGTAGTGGTAATCACCATAATCTTTAAAGTTTAAGGTCACGAAACTTCTTTATCTAGCCCTGCTCTCCACAGAAACTTCGCCTCCTATCATCTTGGTATCAGTTATCAGTTGTAAGTACCAAGACATCAGTGTGTAAATACAACCATGTATAGATCATAATATGCACACGTGGGACTGGCAGAGAAGAAAAGCACCACAAGCCTGAGGTGGATGGGATCGAAAGGGCTCATCAGAACCAACATGGCCACCGCAGTGTGTGTCCCACTCTGCTGAACAAGGTGAGCAGTTTGGGAAGGAGCTAAAAAAAAATGTATGCTCCTCTCTGCTAGGCTGAATTTTATGTGTGTATATAATTTTTGAAAGAATAATAATCCTATGTCTGTTTAATGCTTGACAGTGTAAAAGAGCTTTCATCTATGTGATCTTATTTAATTCTTACAGCTACTCTTAAATAGGGTTTATTACTCTCCTTTTATAGATGACGAAAACTGGGGCTTTGTCTCATTCCAAAGAGCAGAGGAGGGTGGGGGTTTCTGCTCTACAGCTGGGGGAATTTGGAGGAGCACCGCCTAAGCCGCCACTGGCCTAAACACAACACGTGGTAACTTCTACTCTTCTACACTCTGGCCATGCCAAGGCTTGCGGTTGAACTCTGGTCTCGTTCTCTCAGAGCCGCAAACCTCGGACCATTTGAAGCTGGCGGTCCTGGGGCTTCCTTTCCTCTCGATAACATGTTTACATCCAAACTCACTTCCTTCCTCTCTTTCTTCTCCCTGCTAATCCTGGGAAATCTGTTCTTCGAGCAGGAAAAACAATCTCACACTGCTCACGTTATTTTCTAGATCTTTTGACTAGTGCCAAACCTACTTTTGAAAATCCAAAAGCCAAGAATCAATTTATTTGTTTTCTGGATTTCTCCAACTCATCTATTTCCTAACACTCTGGAAGCAGAATGTGTAAACCCTGGGCATGGGGACAACATGGATCGCTATGTCAAAAAAGCTTTTTTCCTTTCAAGCATCTTTATCCAATGGAAAAGGAGGTGGCATCCCCACCCAACAGGAAAACTGAATCACTGTAAGAATTTTTGAGACTGCCCAGACCACTAGCCTCCATGAGGTTCTGAAAGGGCAAGTAGGAGGTTCTAGCTTACTTGGAGACGCTAAAGAGAAGCATCGCAAATGCAGAAAACAGAATTGTCACAGTGGGCAGCCCAAGGTGACATAGTCGATCTGAAGGGATTATCAAGACAAACTCATAGGCTTTCCATTATGGGTGCTGAAGCTATTCCCAGTTGTAAACCCAATGCCAGGCATCTAAAACATCCTCAAGTCTCTCTCATCTTGAAAATATCTTCCCAGCAGGGCACAGTGGCTCACACCTGTAATCCCAACATTTTGGGAGGCTAAGGCTGGAGGATTGCTTGAGGTCGGGAGTTCAAAACCACCCTGGGCGATTTGGTGAGAACCCTGCTTCTACATAAAAAAAAATTTTTTTTAATTAGCCAGGTGTGGTGGCACCCAGGAGGCTGAGGCAAGAGAATCACTTGAGTCCAGGAGTTTGAGTCTGCAGTAAGCTATGATTGCACCACTACACTCCAGCCTGGGCAACAGGGTGAGACCCCATCTTTAAAATTTAAAAAAATCCTCCTTTGATTCCCCCATTTTCCCTCCCACAACTGTTCCTTTTGCTCCTCCTTTTCAAAATCAAATTTTGTGATGAATTGACCATACTTATGTTTCCATTTCTTCTCCTCAACCCATTCCAAAATGGCTTTCAGATCATCAATGATCTTGTCCATAAATCTTAATAGATATTTTTCCGTCTTTATTTTGCCAATTATCTTAGCTGTGTTCAGCATAGTTGACTGCCCCCTCCTTCTTGATCCGCATTTCTTGGTCTCTATGAAACCACACCTGTTTTCCACGTATATTGCTGGCCAGTCCTTTCCCGTCTCTTTCGCATCTCTTTCACTGGCTTTTCTTCCACTGCCCTCCCTTTAAGATGATGTCTCTCGGGTCTCTGTCTTGGCCCCTCTTCTCCCTCTGTGGGATCTTTCTGGATGAGTTCATCCCTTCCCATGGCCTCAGTCTCTAATACCTCCCAAATCTGTATCATTTCCTTGGAGTGCTCTCTTGACCTCCAGAAATCTATGTCCAACCTCCTACTCAACCCCATATCCCACAAGAATCTCCAGCTCAATGAAAATCAAACTGAAGTCATCATCTCCCACAAACCTGCTTTCCATCTATCTTGTGTTCCCTCCCAGGAGAGGAGAGGCACCACCAGCCATCCAATGACCCAAGCCCAAATCCTGGGCGTCACTTTTGACGTGATCCTCTTCTTCTCGACATGCTCATCTGTGGATTCTGTCAAATCTATCTCTAAAATGTCTCCCTGACTCACTCCTTCTGTCCCGCACCCGGCCACTATTGTGGTACAAACCACTGTCCTTTCTCCTAGACAATTGCAATAGGCATTGAATGGGACCTCCTGTCCCTGCTGCCAGCGGGAACTTTCTTTTCTTTCTTTGTTTCTTTGTTTCTTTCTCTTTTTTTTGACACGGAGTTTCACTCAATCGCCCAGACTGGAGTGCAGTGGTGCGATCTCGGCTCACTGCAACCTCCGCCTCCCAGGTTCAAGCAATTCTCCTGTCTCAGCCTCCCAAATAGCTGGGATTACAGGTGCGTACCACCATGCCCAGCTAAATTTTGTATTTTTGGTAGAGACGGGGTTTCACCGTGTTGGCCAGGCTGGTCTCAAACTCCTAACCTCAGGTGACCCACCCGCCTCAGCCTCCCAAAGTGCTGGAATTACAGGTGTGAGCCACCGTGCCCAACCAGTGAACTTTCTAAATTCCAAATTGGAACATGCCACTCTCTAGCTCAAAAGCCTTCCATGGTTTCCCATTGCCCTTGGGAAGGGACCAAGTTCAAAGCCTTAACTCGGCATTCATGGCCCTCTTTGCCTGTCTCTTCGCCTCACCTATTGCCAATACTCCACCTCCACTCTCTGTGCAGCTGCCCTGAATTACCTTCACAGCGTCTCAGCCTTACCAGGCTCTTTAGGAGTTCCCTCTTGGAAATCCCCTCCCACGCCTTCACTTGGCTAATCTCAATTTCAGGCCCCAGCTAAATGTCACTTCCTTGCTTCTCAGGGGCCAGGTTAGCATGCTGTACTGCCTAACACTCCTCACAGGTGTAATTAATTAAAATGACAATGTCTGCAAAGTCGATGGGTTCAAAAACATGCCTGCCTTGTACACCACCACAGCCTCAGGACGAGCACGGTTTCTGGCACATAGTAGGCCCTTCATAAACAGCTCAACAACTGTTTATAAATGAAGGCCCCTAAATCAAGCCTGAAAACCAAGTAAGAGGTGAATCAATGAAGCAGAGACCTCAAGGTTGGCACCCCCACATAGGGCCAGACCCCTACTACTCCAGGGTCACCTGACAACAGAGGTTTATGGGGTCCCTGGAGCCCTCTAAAGTACACGGAGCAGGCCAGAAAGGGACCCCCGTCCCTAACTCAGGTCATGATTACAACCACCCCCAACTAACCCCAGGAAGACCCAGACAGGCTGTTGGGAACTTTTCAAGCTAGCTCAGATGCTTTCCCCTGGAAATGGGGAGATGTGTTTTGTTTTTTTGTTTTGTTTTGAGGGAGCTGGATGGGTAGGTGAAAGAGAGGTTTGTGTATTGGGCTAGACAGTGAAAGAGCCTGCACTGCAGTTTCTGCCTTTTCTCTTCCCTTCCCCCTTCCATTAAAAAAAATCCATTATAAGCAATCTAAAGCTTTAAAAAAGAAATACATCAGAAAGGAGAAAAAAGGAAGAGAAGTTGGCAAAGGACTACATAAAGAGATGGTTTATGGATAGAAAAGTGAGACCTTCTGAGGTGTGGCAGCGGTGGGATTCGAACCCACGCCATCGAAATGACTGGAGCCTAAATCCAGCGCCTTAGACCACTCGGCCACGCTACCTCCCGATCGTAGGGCTTCCTATGCCGGCATATTAGTGTGATGACGGAGGCGCCCCGCCCTCAAAGTTTGCGCATGCTCAATATAGAACCGCTGTCTCCTGCGTTGCTCACGGAGACTTGGAGTCACAGTGCTCTCGCGATCAGCAGCAGTAAACACACTAGGAACGCACTATTAAAATGAAGAGTGCCTACATATCAAAAATTAATATTTTTAATATTAAATCCTCACAAGTGTGTTTGGATTTGATTTTGAGTTTTCCTTGGGCGTGATCCTGCCTACAGCCACGTAGGGGCGCTCCCGTGCTGCCGCTTCCTCCCGGGTGGGCCGGGATCTTGCGTGGAGCCCCAGTTTGTATGTTGGGTCCCCAAGGTGCAGACGCTCTGTCCAGTTCAAGGCCCCTCTGTAGCCCTGAGTGGCCTCATGTCCTAGCCCTTGCCCTCGCGATGTAAGAATCAAGAGTTCAGGGAGGAAAACCATTGAACGTTGTTGCAGATTCTTTGCATGTGTGGGCTCCTAACATATCAAAAACTATTAAGCTTTCATAAGCTGTGCGACCCATTTTACAGAGGAGGAAAATAGAGATGCTAAGTAACTAGCCTCGGGTGCCCCAGCCAGCCGGCATTCCACAGCCTCCCAAGACGTTTGTTCGTACGTGCAGAGGATTTTAGTGCTTTTAGAAAAAAAAAAAAAAAGCAATAAATATAGAGTATAACCTAGCAAAATTCCATTTCCTATCATCTCGAATTATTACTAACATTTTGCATATTCGCTTCAATTTTTTTTTTTTTTTTTTTCCTGAGACTGAGTTTCGCTCCTGTTGCCCAGGCTGGAGTGCAATGGCGCGATCTCGGCTCACTGCAACCTCCATCTTCCAGGTTCAAGCGATTCTCCTGTCTCAGCCTCCCAAGTAGCTGGGATTACAGTCGCATGCCACCAACGCCCGGCTAATTTTTGCATTTTTAGTAGAGACGGGGTTTCATCATATTGGTCAGGCTGGTCTCGAACTCCTGACCTCAGGTGATCCGCCCGCCTCGGCCTCCCAAAGGGCTGGGATTACAGACGTGAGCCACCGCGCCTGGCCTGAAATTGTTTAAATTAAAATTAAAATTAACACTCTAGATAAAATTCAAGTCTCCTTTGATGTCCCCAAGTTCTATTCCCCCTTCCTTCTCTTTCAGGAGTTTCCCATCTTTTCAGTATGCATTTTCCTAATTTCACAATCACATAGGGTTGTCTATTTCCTTGCACGTTTAAGGAAAATGGCAAACAAAAATCCAAGGTTGTAGAGACAGTTGGGTAAGTGGGAGTGGCAGTCTGTATAATGACCCCTAAAGATGCCCACACTTGAACGTGTAAATATGTTACCTTCCGTGGCAAAAGGGACTTTTGCAGTTGTGATTAAATTAAGGATCTTCTGATGGGGAGAGGAGCCTGGATTATCCAGGTGGTCCCAATATAATCACAAAAGTCCTTATAAGAAAGAAACAGGTAGCCAGGCGCGATGGCTCATGCCTGTAATCCCAGCACTTTGGGAGGTTGAGGTGGGCAAATTGCTGGAGGTCAGGAGTTCGAGGCCAGCCTGGCCAACGTGGTGAAATGTCATCTCTACTAAAAATACAAAAAATTAGCCAGGCATGGTGGCATGTGCCTGTAATCCCAGCTATTCGGGAGGCTGAGGCAGGAGAAGCACCTGAACCCAGGAGGCGGAGGTTGCAGTGAGCTGAGATCGCGCAACCGCACTCCAGCCTGAGCGACAGAGCGAGATTCCATCTCAGAAAAGAAAAAGAAAGAGGCAGGAATTCAAGGAGGTATGAGGGTGAAAACAGAGGTCCCAGTGATGTAGCCACAAGCTACAGAATGTCGGCAGTCTCTAGAGGCTGGAAAAGGTAAGGAAATTGATTCACCCCTAGAGGCACCAAAAAGGGAACACAAGGTGTCTGACACCTTGATGTTAGCGTTTCCGACTTCCAGAACAGTACCACTATAAATCTGTGTTGCTTTAAGCCACTAAATTTGTGTTAATTTGTTACAGCAGCAATAAGAAACTAATCAAGTGGGTAAACCCATGGGCTTGGGAATGACACAGTCTAAACTCCCATGAGCTGTGTGATCTTGGAAAAGTCACTTCTCTCTGGGCCTCAGTTGCTCATCCCTGTAATGGAGTGATAATGATAGTATCTACCCCACAGGATTTGCTGTGAGGATTAAACTCATTCATTCTGCAAATGTTTCATGAGCACCTACAATGTGTCAGGCACTGCTCCGGTTATATCAGAGGATAAAGTCAATACAGATTAAATGTGGTAATTTGGCCAGGTATGGTGGCTCACGCCAGTAATCCCATCCCTTTGGGAGGTTGAGGTGGGAGGATTGCTTGAGGCCAGGAGTTTGAGGCTACAGTGAGCTATGATCATACCACTGCACTCTAGCCTGGGTGACAGAGAGAGATCTTGTGTCTAAACATGTGCCAAGCATTTAGATGAATCTCTGGCACATATGAGAAGGGTGACGGTGATGACTTTGTTCTCTCCTGGTATCTCAAGGGTTCCCACCACAAGGGTTCTTTTTGGTTTTTGTTTTCTTCTGTTTTGTTTTGTTTTGTTTTAAGACAGAGTTTCGTTCTTGTCGCCCAGGCTGGAGTGCAATGGCATGATCTTGGCTTACTGCAACCTCCGCCTCCCAGGTTCAAGCAATTCTCATGCCTCAGCCTCCCGAGTAGCTGGGATGACAGGCACCCGTCACCAAGCCCAGCTAATTGTTTTTGTTTTTTTGTATTTTCAGTAGAGACGGGGTTTTGCCATGTTGGCCAGGCTGGTCTCAAACTCCTTGACCTCAGGTGACCCACCGGCCTCAGCCTCCCAAAGTGCTGGGATTACAGGAGTGAGCCACCGTGGCCCAGCCACCACAAGGGTTCTTATACAGGCACTGGCCACTTGGTGGTATTCCACACACATCTCTCCAAACACCCTGTTTCAAGTAGGGGGTCTCTCCCAGGATGATACTGGGCCCTGCTAGGAGGTCAACTCCAGGAAGGCAGGTGATGGTGTCTTGTTCATCCACTGCTGTATCCTCAGGACCTAGAACACTGTTGGCAGCAGGAATATTCCTTGAAAAAAAATAGTTTTGCATTCTTGGTTAAGTCCACTCCATCTTGCCACATGAACTTAAGAGTCAGAGACAGATGCTTTCAGCTGGAGCTGCCCAATATAAGGGCTCAGAGAACTTTTGTCTGGACTTGAGTTTCAGCGAGGAACACCCATTACTTTTGCAAAAGTTATTTTGTGACTTGTGACTTGCCCTCTGTGGCCACAAGAAGGAAGCAGCGTCCTCTTTAGGTAAATTCCCCTACAATTGCTCAAAGCATCTTCTGGCAGTTAGTCCATCTGCCAACAGCATCATGTCCCCTAACTCTGTCTCTGATCATTTAATGCAAGTCAATACCTGTCCTGCACCTACTAGGCCTCATCAGGCAAAAAGCAGGCCTTGCGGGCTCGGGGAGGGGGATGAGAGCTGTTTCTGGAGTTGCTTAGAACCCTTGTGCTGGAGTTGCTTCTGTAACAGAATAAAAATCCAGTGGTGGAGCCAGACGCGGTGGCTCATGCCTGTGATCCCAGCACTTTGGGAGGCCGAGGCGGGCAGATCACCTGAGGTCAGGAGTTTGAGACCAGCCTGTCAACATGGTGAAACTCCGTCTCCACTAAAAATACAAAAATTAGCCGGGCGTGGTGGCACACTCCTGTAATCCCAGCTACTCAAGAGCCTGAGGCAGGAGAATCACTTGAACCCAGGAGGCGGAGGTTGCGGTGAGCAGAGATCGTGCCACTGCACTCCAGCCTGGGCACAAAGCAAGACTCCATTTAAAAAATAAAATAAAATCCAGTGTTGGACGCAAGGCCGCCAGTTCCTCTGCTCCACCCTGCATTTCTCCAGGCCCCGTCGCCCTGCTGGCCTCCCACAGTCCTGCTGACGAGGCGTCTCTGGTGATTCATGCCTTCAAGGGTGACGCTGCCAGGGCAGCTCATATGCAAAGCCCATGCAAAGCCCAGCCACAGCCAGGCAAGGGTGGGGAGGCCACAGGCGCCAGAGCAGCCGGGCTATGTTTGGTTTTTTATTTTTTATTTTTCTATGTGACATTTAAAAATAACTTTTGCAAAAGTAACCCATTTTCCTTGTTGAAACTCAAGCGAAGAAAGGAAAAGCACAAATAAAAAAATATCTTTTCATGTCTCCACCCAGTTAAACTCTGTCAATACTTTGGTAAGGGACCTGGGTTTTGTCTTTTTAAAATTTGTAATATAGGCCGGGCACGGTGGCTCACGCCTATAGTCCCAGCAATTTGGGAGGCCGAGGCTGGTGGATCACCTGAGGTCAGGAGTTCGAGACCAGGCTGACCAACAAGGTGAAACCCTGTCTCTACTAAAAATACAAAAATTAGCCAGGTATGGTGGCAGGCACCTGTAGCCCCAGCTACTCGGAAGGCTAAGGCAGGAGAATTGCTTGAGCCTGGGAGGCAGAGGTTGCAGCGAGCTGAGACTGCGCCACTGCACTCCAGCCTGGGCGACAGAGTGAGACTCTGTCTCAAAAAAAAAAGAAAAAAAATTGTAATGTAATGCATGCTCGTTGTACATTTTTTTTTAATGTCAAATCAAAAGAATAAGATAAAAAAAAGAAAAAAGTCAAATCACAGGCATCAAGTTAACAGGGAAATTCTCTCCCTCACCACAGCCCTCCTTCACAACCGAATCCCACAGCTCAGAAGTAACCATTATGAAGAGTACCAGTTTGGGCTGGGCACAGTGGCTCACGCCTGTGATCCCAGCACTTTGGGAAGCTGAGGCAGGCGGATCACCTGAGGTCACTGAGGTCAGGAGTTTGAGACCAGACTGGCCAACATGGCAAAACCCCATCTCTATTAAAAATACAAAAATTAGCTGGGCATGGTGGCGCCCTCCTGTAGTTCCAGCTTCTTGGGAGGCTGAGGCAGGAGAATCGCTTGAATCCAGGAGGCGGAGGTTACAGTGAGCCAAGATCATGCCACTGACCTCCAGCCTGGGTGACAGAGCCAGATTGTCTCAAAAAAAAAAAAAAAAAAGAAAAAGAAAAGAAAAAGAGAAAAAGCCGGGCATGGTGGCTCACACCTGTAATCCCAGCACTTTGGGAGGCTGAGGCAGGCAGATCACTTGAGGTCAGGAGTTTGAGACCAGCCTGACCAACATGGTGAAACCCCATCTCTACTACAATACAAAAATTAGCTGGGTGTAGTGGCGGACGCCTGTAATCTCAGATACTTGGGAGGTTGAGGCGGGAGAATTGCTTGAACCCTGGAGGCAGATGTTGCAGTAGGCTGAAACTGCGCCACTGCATTCCAGCCTGGGCAACAAGAGTGAAACTCCATCTTAAAGAAAAAAAAAGAAGAAAGAAAGTACTTTCCAGATCTTTTCCTGTGCAAATATATAGGTGAATGAAAACTCGAAGCCCTGATGTGTCCCACTCTCATCCTGGGGCTGGCTTTACACAGGGTAGGAGAGGAACATGCGATCTAAAAGAAGAGTGGGGGTCGAGTGTGGTGGCTCATGCCTATAATCCCCGGCACTTTGGGAGGCCAAGGCAGGTAGATCACCTGAAGCAGGAGTTCAAGACCAGCCTGGCCAACATGGTAAAACCCCGTCTATACTAAAAATACCAAAAATTAGCTGCGCTTGGTGGCAGGTGCCTGTAACCCAGCTACTTGGAAGGCTGAGGCAGGAGAATTGCTTGAACCTGAGAGGTGGAGGCTGCAGTGAACCAAGATTGTGCCACTGCACTCCAGCCTGGGTGACAGAGCAAGACTCTGTCTCAAAACAAATACACAAATAAATTAACTAAATTAAATAAATACAAGACGAGTGGTGTCTCATCACTTCCTTAAGTCTTTCAGTAGCTACAGGTGGGCCATCCAGATGGCTCTGTGTTGGGCATTTCTCATACCTAGTAGGCCCAGGACCTCTGAGCCAAAGAGGTGAAACACACAACCCAAGCCCACTGTGCACAGGGAATTTGGGCAGTTAACAGTTTGGAAACCAGACCCTTCCTGTGGTGCCTGCGGCCAGTGCAGCTCTTCAGCCCCACCCTGAGCAGATGGGAGGATTACACCTGTCTTGTTGCAGTTGGGAACAGCCACGTGACTGTGACTGTAAGACCTGGGGCTCTATCACCATGGTGAGATGGAAACACCATGAGTCTTTTTTGTTTTGTTTTGTGACAGCTTTATTGCTGTTATAATTGCTGATATAATTCACACACTTTTTTTTTTTTTTTTTTGAGACAGAGTCTTGCTCTGTCACCCAGGCTGGAGTGCAGTGGTATGATCTCAGCTCACTGCAACCTCCACCTCCCAAGTTCAAGCGAGTCTCTTGCCTCAGCCTCCCAAGTAGCTGGGACTACAGGCATCCACCACCACACCTGGCTAATTTTTGTATTTTTAGCAGAGACGGGGTTTTGCCATGTTGCCCAGACTAGTCTACAACTCCTGGGCTCAAGTGATCCACCTACCTCGGCGTCCCAAAGTGCTGGGATTACAGGTGTGAGCTACCGCGCCTGGCCCATACACCCATTAAAAAAGTATAATTCAGTGGTTTTTAGTGTATTCACAGAATTGTGCAACCATCAGCACAATCAATTTTAGGACATTTTCATCACCCCAAAGAAGAAACCCTACAACTATTAATAGTCACTCCCCCTCTCCCCAAGCTCCCTTCCCAGCCCCTGGCAACCACTAATCTACTTCTCTCTTTATGGATCGATTGTCCTATTCACTGATATAAATGAAATCACATAGTATGTTGTCTTTTGTGTCTGGCTCTTTTCACATAGCATATTTTTTAAGGTTCGTCCGTGTTGTAGCATGTATCAGCACTTCATTCCTTTTTGTTGCCAAATAGTATTTCATTGTATGAATCTACTGCCTTCTTTTCTTTTTTGAGATGGAGTCTCGCTCTGTCGCCCAGGCTGGAGTGCAGTGGTGTGACCTCGGCTCACTGCAACCTCTGCCTCCCAGGTTCAAGTGATTCTCCTGCCTCAGCCTCCCGAGTAGCTGGGATTTCAGGCACATGCCATCACACCTGGCTAATTTTTGTATTTTTAATAGAGACGGAGTTTCACCACGTTGTTGCCAGGAGTTCAAGACCAGCCTGGCCTCAAGTGATCCGCCCGCCTCGGCCTCTCAAAGTGCTGGGATTACAGGCATAAGCCACCGCCTGGCCTACTGCATTTTAATTATGCATTCATCAGTCATTTGGATTGTTTTCACCTTTTGCCTATTATGAATAATATTCCCATGAACATTTTGTATAAGTTTTTGTGTGGACATATGTTTTCATTTCTGCTAGGATTTGAATTGCTGGGTTATACGGTAACTTCATGTTTAATTTTTTTTAAGAATTGCCAAACTGCTTTCCATTCCTACCAGCAGTGTATGAGGGTTCTAGTTTCTCCACATCCTTGCCAACACTTGCTATTATCTGAGATTTTGATTATAGTCATGCTAGTGGGTAGTGGGTGTGTTTTGACTTGCTTTTTTTGGTCACCCACGCTGGAGTGCAGTGGTGCAATCATAGCTCACGGCAGCCTCCAACTCCTGGGCTCAAGCTATCCTCCCACCTCAGCCTGTCGAGTAGCTGGGACTACAGGCACACATCACCGAGCCTGGCTAATTTTTCTATTTTGTTTTTTTGTAGAGATGAGGGTCTTGTTATGTTGCCTTTGCTGATCTGGAGCTCTTGGGCTCACACCATCATCCCACCTTGGCCTCCCAAAGTGCTAGGATTACAGGCATGAGCCACCATGCCTGGCCTTGCATTTTCTTAGTGGCTAATGACGTTGAGCACCTTTTCATGTCCTTATTGGCCATTTGTATATCTTCTTTGGAGAAATGTCTATTCCAATCTTTGGCCCATGTTTAAATTGGAGTATTTATCTTTTATTATTGAGTTGTAACAATTCTTTATATATTCTAGCTGCAAATCCCTTATCAGATATGATTTGCAAATATTTTTTCCCCATTCTCTGATTGTCTTTTCACTTTCTTTTTTGTTTGTGGTTTGTTTTTGTTATTGTATTTTGAGAGAAGGTCTTACTCTGTCCCTCAGGCTAGAGTGTAGTGGCGGGATCTTGGCTCACTGCAAACTCTGCCTCCCAGGTCCAAGTGTTCTTCCCACCTCAGCCTCCTGAGTAGCTGGGACCATAGATGCAAGCCACCACATCTGGCTAATTTTTGTATTTTTTTATAAAGATGAGGTTTCGCTATGTTGCCCAGGCTGGTCTCAAATTCCTGAGCTCCAGCAATCTGCCTGCCTCCCAAAGTATTGTGATCACAGGCATGAGCCACTGAGCCTGGCCTTTTTCATTTATTTATTTAATTTTTACAGACAGGGTCTCACTCTGTTGCCCAGGCTGAAGTGCACTGCATGATCATAGCTCACTGCAGTTTCAAACTGCTGGGCCCAAGGGATCCTCCTGCCTCAGCCTCCTGAGTATCTGAGACTACAGGCACACACCACCATACCTGGGTTTTTTTTTTTTTTAATGTTTTATTTTAGAGACAGGGGTCTTGCTATGTTGCCCAGGATGGTTTTGAACTCCTGGCCCCATTGATCCTCCTGCCTTGGCCTCCCAAAGCTCTGACATTACATGTGTGAGCCACCTTGCCCGGCCTTGAGTAATTTTATTTTACCGCAGTAGACATCTCCTTGAAGGCAAATGTTTCCCCCAATTCCTAGCACCATATTTGGCACACAATAGGAGCTTAATAAAATTTGCCATAAGAATTAATGCTCAGAAACTCTACTATTACATCCTATCTGCTCAACTCCCTGGAAAAGAGACATTCTCTTTTTATGGTTACTATAAAAGGCCCAGATTAGTATTTCACTGGCCTAACTTGGATCACATGCTCATCCCTGAACCAATCAATGAGGCTGAAGGGATGAAATATGCTAATTGGCCAGGTCTGGTCATGTGTCCATTTTTGGAGCCAGGGGAGTGGGGAGGGCTATTTTCCTGAACTGAAATAGGGTGAACTGGTTCCCTGAAGACTAACCAAGACGCTAATGCAAAGAAGGACACTCCTGCTGGGCAGACAAAAATGACAGAGGCTCAGAGAAGTAAAATAACTTGCCCAAGGGCCATAGAGCTTTAAGCAGTAGCGTCTTTTTTTTTTTTCCAATCTTGCTTTGGGCTTGGACAGACTAGTTCAGCATCTTTGATCTTCCCTTCCTGCCTGACGGCCCCAGGGTCAGAATTCCAGGTGCAATTTTGTCTTGCCAAAAGCTGGAGTTTACTCTCTTTGGGGTTTATAAATAAGGAAAAAAGTTCTTTGGAGAGCCTGAACTTTGAAATCAGAGAAGTCTGGATTTACTGCTGGCTCTGCCTTTTCTAGCTGCCTCACCTGGGGCATGTCATTATCTCTATAAGCCTCAGTTTTGTTCTTTTTTCTTTTTTATTTTTTTGTTTTTGTTTTTTTGCGACGGAGTCTCATTCCTTCACCCAGGCTGGAGTGTAGTGGCGCGATCTCGGCTCACTGCAACCTCTGCCTCCAGGGTTCAAGCGATTCTCGTGCCTCAGCCTCCAGAGTAGCTGGGACTACAGGCGCGCCCGGCTGCTTTTTTGTATTTTTACTAAAGACAGGGTTTTACCGTTTTGGCCAGGCTGGTCTCGAACTCCTGACCTCAGGTGATCTGCCGGCCTCGGCCTCCCAAAGTGCTGGGAAGATGGAATGAGAGAAATCCCTCAAAACATGTCATTGTTACTACTTTTCTATCTAGAATGTGTGAAATTTCTAAAATTTCACTAACAAAGTATCTGGAAGGACCTAATATTAAAGTGTTCACAGTAGCTATTAGTTTTAATTCGTTTTCTTTTTTATACCTTAGCCACTCTACCACTCATGCCACAGGTATTTATTAAGCATCTACTGTGTGCCACCCAGGCCCTGTGTCAAGAGTTAGGAATAACTAAAGGAGATACTAATTTTAAAACTACACAAATAATTGCAATCGTCATACGTGCCTGTTTTTACAAAGCAGAAATCAGGAAAAACAAAGTATTTCCGATAAAAAATATTTTAAGGTTATGGATAGAGATACATACAAACAAGCGATGGGCTTGGATCACTAATGATTTTGGAAAGGACAGGAATACAGGAACTAAGCGAGAAGCAGGCGAGAATGGCGAGGCGCGGCGGGAGAGGACGGAAGTTGGTCACTCCCTCGAATTGCCCCCTCGCTGCCGGATGCTAGGCCAGCCTTGAGCAGGAGAACCGGACACTGTGTACTCAGCAGGGGGAGCCAAGACTTAGCGCTAACCATTGCACCTGGGGCTGGGAGCCAGCGCCGGAGCCAGGAGGCCCGCTAGGCGGCTGCAGGCGCTGTGATGGCCACCTGGGGGCGGCCACGTGAGCGCCACGCCGTGCGCCCGCCAGGCCAGCCCCGCCCCTGCCCGCCCGCTTCTGCTCAACCTAGACCAGCCCCAGCTTCAGCCTCAGCTCCCCTCCTTCCTGGATCGAGCGCCCGCACTCCCGGCCCTGCAGCCACCCGAGTCCCGCTCGCTGTCGCCTGCACGCGAGTCCCCCCTGGCACGCGCTCCCACATCCCGGGATCGTCCCAACGGCCCCTGCGCCCTTCCTGGGATCACTCCGACTGCCCCGCGCGCCCTGGGATCGGTCCATCTACCCCGCGTGGCCCCAGCTGCTTGCCCGGAGCGCCAGCTAGCGCTCCCCGCTCTCCGCTCCCCGGCACTCTCGGGGGGCCCGCCCGCCCTGCACCCTGGAGCTCCGGGCCGCGAGCCTCTGCCAACTCCTCTGGACCCTCGCGGCCGTGGGCAGCGGCTGCCGCGCCTGTCTGCCCGAGGGAGGTAGGTGTGGACCGCGGCCGGCAAGGCTGTGGGGGGCTGGGAGCCCGCGCTGCAGGCCTGTGCGCCCGGGTGCAGCTGGCGTCTGGAGCGTGCTGGGTCTGGGCTTGGGAATGGGGCCGGAGAAGGCATGGAAGGAGAGTGTGGGGGCGCTTCTCCTCTGGTTGTTAAACTCTCTGGGGCTAAGTGCTTGCTTTGGAGAAATGGGGAAGTTGTGCGGATTAAAGGCGATGTGGATATGGAAAGCAATTGGCAAGCAATGGGCGGTGATCTGGCTGCAAGTGACAGAGAGTTTGGGGGCCTCCCCCCTCGGGGCCCCTAGAGTGTGGGCGCATCGCTGCCTTCCTGTCCCCTGCAGGGCTCAGAGCCGCATCCCCCACCTTTCCCCTGAACTAGAGGCCTGCGTCAGCCCGAATTCCCGGAACCTCCAGGACTGTATAGACGCGCCCTTGCTGCATTGTTGGCTGCGGGAGTTTGTTGGCAGGCGCTGCTGACATGTGTGCCAAGGGGCTGGGCATTAATAAGCCGGTGGCCGCGCGGGGGTGGGGGCCTCCCGGGTAAGCCCCGGCCTAGATCCTTTTGCGCGCGCCTGGGGGATTTCGGGGAACCAGCCCAGCTGCGCCCTGAGTGTGACAGATGGGCCGCATGGGGAAGTGAGATCTGCCCAGGGGGACGGTCCCAGGGAGCCCGACCTCTGGGACCTCGGTGGTGGGTGCTTCTTCAGCCAGGAAAGCAGGAAACACTAGGGCTGGAGTCCTGGGTTGGAATTCTAGCTCATTTATGCTCTCTGGCCCTCGGTTTTCTCATCGGTAAAATGGGTACAGTATTAGTATCTACCACTTAGTATCCTTGGAAAGAGTAGATGAGTATGTATATGTCAGGTGCTTGGAACAGTGCCTGGCACACAGTGTCATAGTCTATGGCCCCGGGAGACATCTGATGGCCAAGAGCCCTGTGGTTGAGGGCCCTGGACAGGCTGTGAAGTCACAGCGAATTGAGTCACGTAGTCTATCCTAATGTTTTTAGCGAGGAGGAAACCGAGGGTCAGAGTGATCCCCAGGCCCACAGAAGCTCCCTAAGAGGAAGCCAGTCACATAAACAGATTCTAAAAAGCGAGATGGAGTAAATGGGAATACAGAGCAAGCAGGTGGGAGCTGAGAATGCCCACTGTGTGTGTAAAGGGGAGAGGGTTATGGGGGAAGGCTTCCTGTAGCAAGTGCTGTTTAAGCTGAGCTGGGGAAGAGGCAGGTGGAAGGAGGTAGAGTTCAGAGATGGCGTATGCAGGTGTCTTCCTTCTGTGTGGCCTCCACAGCACCCGATGTTCATTCCTTTGTTCAGCTATTAATTCAACAACTACAGTAAAACCTCTCAAGGACATGAATTTCAGTGTAACATGGCTGGGATTGGCGTCCGCCCTCCTCTCAGCCCCCATTCTCAAAGAAGGGGGTGGGGTCCGAAGTTCTTATCCTCTGCAGGGAATGGGGAGGCCAGAAGACAGAACTGAAGTGGTCACAGTTTACACATAATCATCGGTGTACATTCCAAGAGCTACCGGTGTTTTGGGCCAGGGGCGTGGTGGCTCAGGCCTTTAATCTCAGTACTTTGGGAGACTGAGGAAGGTGGATCACTTGAGGTCAGGAGTTTGAGACCAGCCTGGCCAACATAGGGAGCCCCCATCTCTACTAAAAATACAAAAATTAGCTGGGCATGTTGGCATGAGCCTGTAATCCCAGCTACTCGGGAGGCTGAGGCAGGAGAATCGAGAATCGTTTGAACCCAGGAGGTATAGTTTGCAGGGAGCTGAGATTGCACCACTGCACTCTAGACTGGGCAACAAAGCGAGACTCTGTCTCAAAAAATAAAAAAGATCCACCAATTTGTTTTTCTTGTGCTTTTTGTAACTGTACAGTACTTTTTGGCTGATTACGGATATATCACTGGCTGGGTGTGGTAGCTCACACCTGTAATCCCAGCCACTTTGGGGGTGCTGAGGCGGGAGGATTGCTTGACCCCAGGAGTTCAAGACCAGCCTGGCTGACGGGGTGAAACCCGGTCTCTATTTAAAAAAAAAAAAATCTCTGATTTGCTTTTAAAACATTTTACTGTATTATGTGGCAGAGAAAGCTATGGGTCACCAGTACCCATGTTCTCGTCCTCCTGGGGTGCTCCCTGGATGAATTTTCCTAGGCTTCCTTACCATTCGGTAGGGCCACACGGCTGAGTTTTGGCTGATGAAATGTGAGTGTGTCCATTTCAAGCCTCGACCCTAAAAACCTCTCACTCTTTCCTTATTTGTTGGACAAGTCAAGGCGACTTTGAAGGCCTAGAGGAGGGCAGAGCCACAAGCCAGAGGGAGTGTTTGTTGTTTTTGAGATGGAGTCTTGCTCTGTTGCCCAGGCTGGAGTGCAGTAGTGTGATCTCAGCTCACTGCAACCTCTGCCTCCCAGATTCAAGTGATTTTCCTGCCTCAGCCTCTTGAGTATGAGCTGGGACTACAGGCACATGCCACCGTGCCCAGCTAATTTTTGTATTTTTAGTAGAGATGGGATTTCACTGTGTTGGCCAGGCTGGTCTCAAACTCCTGACCTCAAGTGATCCACCCGCCTCCCAAAGTGCTGGGATTACAGGCATGAGCCACCATGCCCACCCGGGAAGGATGTCTTTAGGGTTGTTATCTTGCTGTGGGGAGAGTCCCCAAAGCAGTCTTGTCCAGTTTTTGGCAGGGTTGTCGTCTGGTTGCCGGGACTCTGGGAGCTGTGTGAAGAAAGCCAAGGGTGAACAGCAGAAGCTTGGACTTGTTCAAGCTCGTTCTCCGGGATTCACTATTTCTGGTCCAGTTCTTACACCTGAAGCAGAACAACTGAATGATCAGGGCTATAGACAAAGTAATAGCGGCAGGTTGAACTAATTTAAAAGAATCAGTGTTTTTTGTTGAGGGAGATTGGTTCTGCTGACCTGAAAGCTGCAGGTTATTACCCTGATGAACTGAGAAGGCTCCTAGAAGGTGGTTAGAGCGATGACCTTGTCTCCACCTGGGATGAAAGCGGCTTGGGCCTTAAAGTGTTGCTGGATCAAATTCTTGCAGCCAAGGCTGATGAGCACAAGCAAGGAGGCTTCTTTTTTGTTGTTGTTTTGAGACAGGGTCTTGCTCTGTCACCCAGGCTGCGGTGCAGTGGCACAGTCACAGCTCACTGCAGCCTGGAACTCCTCGGCTCAAGTGATCCTCCTGCCTCAGCCTCCCAAGTAGCTGGGACTACAGACATGAGCTACCACCATGGCTGGCTAACTTTTAATTTTAGTGTAGAGATGGGGTCTCACTCTGTTGCCCAGGCTGGGCTTGAACTCTGGGCTCAAGCGATTCTTCTGTCTGGGCCTCCCAAAGTGTTAGGATCACAGGCATGAGCCGTGCCCAACCATATAAGAAGGCTTCAGACAAAGGAAGGAGTGAGTCACTAACACGCTGATGATAAAGCAGAAAATAACAGTGCTCCCCACAACCCCCAAAGTCCCAGGGCTGTGGGACTCCTAGAGAAGCGTCTCAAATGGCTCCAGAGTCAGAAGGTGGATGGCGTTCTGTTCTCCAGCTGTGAAGCTTTCGAGCTCTAGCAAGGACTAGCAAGCCAGAGGAAGCACCCGGAAGTAGGTGGCTAAACTGCGGAAAATTGCCCTAGGCCAGCGTTTCTCTAACTTCAGTGCACATCAGCATCCCCAGCAGGACTTGCTTACACTTTGATTGCTGGACCCATCCCCAGAGTTTAATTTAGTAGGTCTGTAGTGAGGCTTGAGAATTTGCATTACCAGCAAGTTGCCAGGTGAGGCTGCTGCAGTGGCTGCTGCGGCAGCTGGTCCCATACTTTTAGAAGCGCTGGTTAAGGAAGTGATGACTGCATTGAAAGCTCTGGATTCAGCCCGCACCAGCTTCAAACCCAACTCTAGTCATGTGATTTGGGATAAGTCACATAACCTCTCTGTTCCTTAGTTTTCTCATCTGTAGAATGAAGCTAAGAGCGACTAACTCCTGGGGTTCAGGGGAGGCTTCATGAAGGAGGTGATATCTAAGCTGAGACCTGAGGGATGAGCAGTCAAGTTGGCCAGGGGATGAGTAGGGAGGACAGGCTGGGGTGTGTACCAGACAGAGGGCATAGCATGTTCAGAGCCCGAGGAGGAAGGAGTGCCTGCCTTCTAGGGAGCTGGGAGGAGTTATGTAGCAAGTGCTTTGTAAGTGATACTGAAATGCTACCAATCTGTTCTGGGCAGGATCACAGTGGAGAGGAAGCCAACCAGGGTATGGAAAATGGGCTGCTGGACGGGCTCAGAAATGGTACAAGTTATTTGTGCTCTTTCATTGGCCAGAATGCAGTCACATGACCTTACCTAGCTGCAAGGGATGCTGGGAAATGTCCGTGGCCAGGCAGGGGAGAAAGGATTCCTGGAGGAAAGCCAGCTCTCTGTGCCACCTGTGGTTTTCAGGCCCCCTCTCTCACTTCTTCTCCACCTTGCTCACTTTGCTCCACTCTGTTGAGTAGATGAATTTTACAGATGAAGAAGCTGAGGTTCAGAAGGTTAAGTAATTTCCCCCAGCATTCCTCAGCTGACTGTGGCAGGGCCAGGACTTGAATTCATCCCAAAGGCCTTGTTTGGCTAGATCTGGTTTTGGTGCTTATCAGGTCCTCCATGAGCCAGTCTTTCCCACTACGACCTCAGCCATGTCATTGGACTAAGTAACTCCTATGTAGTTACAACACAGTAGGTTGTTTTGTTTGTTTTTGTTTGTTTGTTTTTTCGGAGGTCTGGGGGCGGGGGGATAGAGTCTTGCCCTGCTGCCCAGGCTGGAGTGCAGTGGCACAATCTTGGCTTACTGCAACCTCTGTCTCCTTGGTTCAAGTGATTCTCATGCTTCAGCCTCTCAAGTAGCTGGGACTATACAGGTCGTGTGCCACCACACCTGGCTAATTTTTGTATTTTTGGTAGAGATGGGGTTTCTCCATGTTGCCCAGGCTGGTCTCGAACTCCTGGCCTCAAGTGATCTGCCTGCCTCGGTCTCCCAAAGTGCTGGGATTACAGGGGTCAACCACCGTGCCCAGCCACAACCCAAAAGTCCTTCTGTTTCTCCATTATATCAGCAGGAAACTGCCAGCTTTTCTTCACTTACTCGTTGATTCATGCAGCATGCACTTGTGCATTTATGGTGTGTGCCAGGCATTGTGCTTTGGGCTGGGAGCTGCAGAGGAACAAGACACACGGCCCCTTTTGTTCAAGACACTCACATGGTCTGGCCACCGAGAGGGCTGGGCACACAGTTCATGTGAGAAGTGAGACGTGCTGTATCCCTGAGCTGACCCACCAGGAGTAGAGTGTACCGTGGACATGCAGAGAGTGCCCAGCAAGTGATTAAACATTACAGTTCAAGCTCCCTTGTGCATTTTGCTAATCAAAGCTATAATTATATTTTGTGTTTCATATTCCAAAATGCATTTTTCAGATTCCTGAAACAATAAAATAGCCCTTGCATGATGACAGTTTTATATGCAGAAAACACAGTGTACTGCAATGATATTTTTACGAGCCTTTAGCAGAGCAAATGATGACGTATCTCTGGCTTCTGCAGCAGGTTGCTGTTTACATCGGTAAGTTGATTTCTCTGTCTCTTTCTTTTTTTTTTTTTGAGACAGAGTCTTGCTGTGTCACCCAGGCTGGAGTGCAGTGGCACGATCTTGGCTCACTGCAACCTCCGCCTCCCAGGTTCAAGCAATTCTTCTGCCTTGGCCTCCTAAAGTAGCTGGGATTACAGGTACACACCACCACACCCAGCTGGTTTTTGTATTTTTAGTAGAGATGGGGTTTTCACCATGTTGGTCAGGTCTCAAACTCCTGACCTCGTGATCCGCCTGCCTCGGCCTCCCAAAGTGCTGGGATTACAGTCGTGAGCCACCGCACCTGGCCTTCTCTGTCTCTTTATGGTATGTGGGGAGATTTGTTTTTAAAAGGAAAAGGGGAAGAGAGGGTTGGGGAGGGCTCCTTAAAATTACACCAGAGGCTGGACACAGTGGCTCACACCTGTAATTCCAACACTTTGGGAGGCTGTGGCTGGAGGATCACTTGAGTCCAGGAGTGGCAAGACACCATCTCTACAAAAAATTTTTTAAAATAAGCCAGGCATAGTGGCACAGGCCTGTAGTCCCAGCTACTCAGGAGGCTGAGGCGGGAGGATCCCTTAAGCCCAGGAGTTCAAGGATGCAGTGAGCTGTGATTATGCCACTGCACTCCAGCCTGGATGAGAGATCAAGACACCCACCCAGTCTCTTAAAAAAGAAAGAAAGAGGCCAGGCACAGTGGCTCACGCCTGTAATCCCAGCACTTTGGGAGGCGGAGATGGGTGGATCACCTGAGGTCAGGAGTTCAAGATCAGCCTGGGTGACATGGTGAAACCCTGTCTCTACTAAAAATACAAAAATGAGCCAGGCATGGTGGCACACACCTGTAATCCCAGCTACTCAGGAGGCTGAGGCACAAGAATCACTTGAACCTGGGAGATGGAGTTTGCAGTGAGCCAAGATGTAGTTGCTGCACTCCAGCCTGGGCGACAGAGTGAGACTCCATCTCAAAAAACAAAAGAAAGAAATTCCACCAGATTCATTCTAGAGCTGGGTTTCTCAGCCTCGGCACTGACATTGGGCCGGACCTTCTTCACTGCAGGGGACTGTTCTGTTTATTTTAGGATGTTTGGCAGCATCCCTGGCCTCTATCCACTAGATGCTAGTTGCACCCCTAGAGTTTCAACAACTGAAAATGTCTCTAGACATTGCCAAATGTCCCTTGAGGGAGCAAAATTGCCCAAGGTTGAGAGCTGCTCTTCAGGACTTCGTTAGTTTCCAATTGCTGCTGTAACAAATTGCTGCAATTACTTAGTGGCTTTAAAACAACACATTTATTATCTTATAGTTCCTGGGGATCAGAAGTTCTAAAATCTAGGTGTCAGCATGGCTGTGTTCCTTCTGGAGGCCCCAGGAGAAAATCGGTTTCTTTGCCTTCTCCAGATTCTAGGGGCTGTCCTCATTCCTTGGGCTCCTGGCCCCTCCCTTCCATCTTTGAAGCCAGCAGTGTGGCAACTTCACACCTTTCTGTCTTTGGTCACATCTCTTCCTCTAACTCTGACCCTTCTACCTCCTTTTTATAAGGATCCTTGTGATTACACTGGGCTCACAGGATAATCCATGACTGTCTCCCATCTTAAGATCCTTAATCACATCTGCAAAGTCCCTTTTGCCATATAAGGTAACATATTCACAGGTTCCAGGGATTAGGATGTAGCCATCTTAGGGGAGCCATGTTTCTGCCTGCCGCAGACAGTCTGGCCTCAGGTTATAATGAAATTTGCTTGTGGAGGGTTTGTAGGGAGCGAAGTGATTTAGGGAGTCGGGGACTGGAGGATTATTGGGACATAACAGCAGCTAGTACTTTTGAGAGTCAAGTCTATCCCAGACACCATGTGCCTAATCTCATTGTATCCTCAGAACAACCCCTGCAGGGGTACTGTTAGCTGACCCCTGTTTACAGAGGAGGGAACTATCCAAGGAAGGCTTTCTGGAGGCCAGGTGCAGTAGCTCATGCATGTAATCAACTTTGGGAGGTCGAGGCAAGAGGATCGCTTGAGGCCAGGAGTTCAGAGGCAAGAGGATCACTTGAGCTTGGGAGACTGAGGCTGCCGTGAGCCATGATTGCACCATTGCACTCCAGCCTGGGTGACAGAGTGAGACCCTGTCTCAAAAAAAAAAGAAAAGAGACCAGCCTGGGCAATGTAGGGAGACGCCCATCTCTATAAAAATAAAATAACATAATTAGCCAGATGTGGGTGGTATGCACCTGTAGTCCCAGGTACAATGGAGGCTGAGGTGGGAGGATCACTTGAGCCCAGGAGTTGGAGGCTGCAGTGAGCTATGATTGCACCACTGCACTCCAGCCTGGCCAACAGAGCCAGACTCTCTCAGCAACAACAACAACAACAAACCCAAAAGAAACAAACAAGGAAGGCTTTCTGGAGGAGGTCAACATTTGAGCTGCGTCTTGAAGAGATTAAAGGGTTTTGCTAGTGAGTGGGAAAGGGATTCCAGGCAGAGGTGTTACTGGTGGAGGGTGTCCAGGTTCTTGGCATTTTGAGCAAAGAATTGGACAAAACACACGAACAAAACAAGGAAAGAAAGCAACGAAAGCAAATATTTACAGAAAACAAAAGTACACTCCACAGGGTGGGAGTGGGCTTGAGCAGATTGCTTACAGAATTGCCTGGGGTTTAAAAACCCTCTAGAGGTTTCCCATTGGTTACTTGATGTACACCCTATGTAAATGAAGTAATGGCCTGGGATCAGTCTGATAGGTTGTGGAATGCGACCAATCAGAGGCTGAAGTGAAGTTACAAATGAAGACTCCTATACAAACGAGGACTTGGCCAGCACCAGCCTGATTGGTTGTGGGAAGGGACCAATCAGAGGTAACTTCAGTTTTTCATCTGCCACGCAGGTAAGTTGGGGGTTGCAAAGGGAGTAGCCTCTGGTCCTTTTGTTACTTGGGCTTGGAAAGTAGGGGTTTTCCTTTTGATTTAGTTCTAGGAAGTCAGCCTGAATCAGCCTTAGGTTCCCTGCCTCCAGACCCTATTCGCCTGCCTCAGAGGCACCTGCAGATAGATACAAGGGCAAGGAGGTGAGGAGAGTTTGGTGGTGCATGGAGATTGATTCTTGGACTTGGAAACTTGGGAAGCTGAGATGGCAGGGAGGAAGGGACGGATGGGCTGGACTCTGTAAATTGGTCCTTTCATTCTGATGTACTATTTCTCTCAATAGTTTAAATAAATGTTTATGAGCACCCATTATATGCTAGGGGTGCAGACATTAAGACACTGATGTGAACTCTTAGCTTGATGCTTGACTTAATCACTCCTAATGCTGCATCCCAGTAAATAAACACTGAGCAGCCAGACACGGTGACTCACACCTATAATCCCATCTCTTTGGGAGGCTGAGGCGGGTGGATCACTTGAGGTCAGGAGTTCAAGACTAGCCTGACCAACATGGTGAAACCCCGTCTCTACTAAAAATACAAAAATTATCCAGGTGTGGTGGCGGGTGCCTGTAATCCCAGCTACTCGGGAGGCCGAGGCAGAAGAATCACTTGAATCCGGGAGGCGGAGGTTGCAGTAAGCCGAGATCACGCCACTGCACTCCAGCCTGGGTAACAGAGGGAGACTCCATCTCAAAACAAAAGAAACACTAAACATAAGGGTATTTGAGTTCATGTTGAGCACCTGTGCACTGAAGGCAATACAAGGTATGGGGGGAGGGATGGAGACAGCAGTGCAGACCTTAGGATGTCACAGCCCACCTGACAAGTCTATTGTCTAGGAGAGGGTCCCAGCTCCTAATGGTGGGGCCCAGGATTCAAACCCTGGCCATGCGGCTGTAGAGGACAAGCTGTTAGCCACTGTATTGGGCTTTGGTTTTTGTTTCTTGTTTGAAGGAAACTCGGGACTCCAGCTAGGGTTTAAAATATCTTCAGAACAAGCCAGGTGCAGCCCTCAACAGCCTAGCGCTGTGTAGTTCCGCTCCCTTAAGGTTGCCTTTTCAGAGGTAGACTGTCACTTCTGGACCTAGCAGCTCCTGTCATTGTCAGAGGAGAGTCCAGTGTAGCACCTGGTGTGCAGTCAGTCTTTCACGTGCATTATTTGTCTTTCTTATTTCCATAGAAATTACGCCTTTTTGAGGTTGATAAGCTTTTGAGGTTGATAAGCAGATAAGTAGCTCTTCTGCTTACTTATCACTCATTCACAGCACAAAAGCCACACTCTCCCTTCTCTGAATTCGTGTTAAACTGTGAGAAACTCAGCTTCTTCTAGTTGGTGGAATAAGACAGTGTCCTTGGCATGGTATGTAAAGGAACCAGATGGCTGGGCACTGTGACTCATGCCTGTAATCTCAACATTTTGGGAGGTTGACGCGGGAGGATCACTTGAGACCAGGGGCTTGAGACTAGCCTAGGCAACACAGCAAGATGCCGTCTGTAATAAATAAATAAAGGAACCAGAAGAAGACCTACCAGTGTAGGGATAGGGTGGGGAAGGGAAGTAGTAAGGGGAAGTAGAGCTAAAGTCTCATTTATCATACCTGGAAATCAGAAGATAGGATGAAAATAGATAAATTAAGAAATAATCAGGGCCGGGTGCAGTGGCTCATGCCTGTAATCCCAGCCCTTTGGGAGGCTGAGATGGGTGGATCCCTTGAGTCCAGGAGTTTGAGACCAGCTGGGCACATGGTGAAATCCCATCTCAACAAAAATATACAAAAATTAGCTGGGTATGGTGACGCGTGCCTGTGGTCCCAGCTACTCCGGCGGCTTATATGGGAGGATCACTTGAGCCTAGGAAACAGAGGTTGCAGTGAGCCAAGATTGCGCCACTGGACTCCAGCCTGGGTGACAGAGCAAGACCCTGTCTCAAAAAAAAAAAAAAAAAAAAAAAGAATCAGGAAGCGTATTATTTAGTGATATATATAGATAGATAGATAGAGAGAGAGAGAGAGAGAGATGCGAAGGATAACACTGAGAATAGTTGGAAGTAGTTGCCTCTAGGGTTGGGAAGTAGGGCTGCCCGTGCAAAGTTGCAAAGGTTGTTCACTAGAGTTGAGCAGTACCCCACCTATATGATCATATACAGTGGCCCTAGTAAGAAAAAGGTGTTTAAAGCATTTTTAAAATTATATATAAATAATATACAATGGCCCAAACCCTGGCTGGGTTTGGACAGAGTCTCACTCTGTCGCCCAGGCTGGAGTACAGTGGCACGATCTTGGCTCACTGCAAACTCTGCTTCCCAGGTTCAAACAATTCTCCCACCTCAGCTTCCCGAGTAGCTGGGATTACTGGGATTACCGGCTCGTGCCACCATGCCCCGCTAATTTTTGTATTTTTAGTAGAGACGGGGTTTCACCATGTTGGCCAGGCTGGTCTCGAACTCCCGACCTCAGGTGATCCACCTGCCTTGGCCTTCCAAAGTGTTGAGATTACAGGCGTGAGCCACCGTGCCTGGCTGGTTTGGGGATTTTCATATTGCATGTGACAGAAAACCTATCTGTAACTAGCTAAATAGCCCTTTCCCCTACTGCCCCCCAAAAGGCGGGGTTTATTGTATCATCTGATTCAGAAATCTACGCTGGGCTTGGTAGTTTGGTTTCGGGAACATCTGGATTCCAGGTCTCAAATGACATCATCGCTATTCATTTTTCTCTTTCTCTGGTTCTGCCCTCCACCACGTATCAGCTTTGTTCTGTGTTGGCCTCAGCCCCATTCTCAAGTTCACATTCAGCATGAAAAGGCTGATCACCTCTTCCAGTCACTCAAGCAAAAAGCCCCAGGTTTGCTGCAATGGGCTAGAATAGTTTGACTGTAATCACATGACCACCTCTAAGCCAATCTCTGTGGCCAGGCACCCCAGTGGTTGGTTTAGGCCTGGATCTTGTGACACACTCCTGAACACATGACTCGAGGGTGGGGCAGAGGCAGATCCTCACACAGAAGCTGGTGCGTGATTCCAGGTGGCTGATCAATCACCTGTGTCCACTGTGGTTGTAGTCAAGGGCGTGTGGGTTGTGCTGTGCTGGGCGTACACTAGTGTGTGCATTGGCCAGCTCGGGGTGCCACGTTATTGGCTTTGGGATGCTGGTTCCCAGGAGTGGCGGTGGGAAGATTCCACCTGCTTTCTATGGTAGGAAGGCAGGTCCTGGGGTGAGGGTGAGCCCCGAGGGGGACCAGTGGCCACTGTGGCTTGACCCGCAGGCCTTGACCTGAGCATTGCAGGCATAGTTTCCTGCCCCTGTAACTGCCAGATCGAGACCCAGTGAGACAGTGGTTTCCGTCGCCAGAGACTGAAATAGTGTATTCCCTGAGGACCCCTGAAGAAGCTTGGCTTTGCTACGAGCCAGACGTCCAGGTCACAAGTCTGGCTGGGACCCAAGGCTCAGTCCCTTTATAATAGCTGTTGAGTTCACGGAGTGAGTACAATTATGCATCCCCACTGAGGCTCAAGAGGTGAAGTCACATAGCCAGTTAGTGGTAGAGATGGGGCTTGAACCTGGGTCTTCCTGACTCACTCAGCTACCTTTCCATAGAAATAGGGACTGGAGGCCGGGCGCAGTGGCTCATGCCTTTAATCCCCAGCACGTTGGAAGGCCGAAGAGGGTGGATCACTTGAGGGCAGGAGTTCAAACAAAAAAATTAAAAAAAAAAAAAAAAAGAGAAAAAAGAAAAGAAATAGGGACTGGGAGGAGAAGATGTGGATGCCTGAGTGAGGTAGAGAAAGCTTTCAAGAAAAATCCTGATGTCTTTCAGCTGGAGTCCTATTCTTATCACAGGAGTAGATCCTTTCTTTGGGCCAAGGGAACCCCAGGATAGATAGAGACCCCTAGGAGGCTGGGCATCTTGCCTGGTGTTAGAACAGGCCTCCTGGAACTGACTTAAAGGCTAAGGAAGGTTCCTTGCTTGTTTGGGGAAATCCAACATCCTCCAGGTACCCAGTCTTCATGTGCAAATGTAAGAGTATCTGCCAAGTTAGGACTATGGATTGAGGCCACAGTTTTCCCAGGTTGACCCTGCCCAGGCACCCATTTGTCATAAAGGTTGTGACCTTTAGGCCAGGTGCAGTGGCTCACGCCTGTCATCCCAACACTTCAGGAGGCCAAGGTGGGAGGATTGCTTAAGGCCAGGAGTTCGAGACTAGCCTGGGCAACATAGTGAAACTGTGTCTCTACAAAAATAAAAAATTAGGTGGGCATAGTGACACACACCTGTAGTCCCAGCTACTCAGGAGGCTGAGGTAGGAGAATCACTTGAGCCCAGAGATCAAGGCTGCAATGAGCTCTGATTGCACAATTTTACTCCAGCCTGGGCAGCAGAACAAGACCCTTTCTCAAAAAATAAAACTTTACAAAAAAGAGGATGTGACTTTTTATGATATGGGAGAGAAGGAGCTACTGTTACCAAATAAAATTAGCAAGTAGAAAGGAAAAAAGAAAATTACAGTAGATTATACAAGTTTAGCTATCAGAGTATGAAGTTTCTGAATCCAGGATTGTTATGCTGTCCCATGGTATAAGAGACCCAGGTTCTGTTTGTCTCATAGCTCTTCCAGCCTCAGCACAGGGCCATCCGCCTCATGGTCTAGGGTAGCTGCTTGAGCTCCGGCAATCACATGTGCATTTCAGCCAGCAGGTTGGAAGGAGAGCCAAGGGGCACACTCCCTTTAAGAACCCTTCCCTATGGTTGCACACAGTCCTTCTTATATCCCATTGACTAAAACTTGTTCACATGTTTATATCTATCTGCAAAGGAGTCTGGGAAATGTATCCTGAGTGGCCACGTGACATGCTTAGCCAAAACCCGGTGGTTCTCTTATCAAGGAAGAAAGAGTGAACAGCTATTGGGGGATAGTTTGCCACAGCTGCCTTAAGAGCAAATTTATGACAACTCAAAAGCCATAAAACAGATGACACTCACTTAGCTCTGGAATGCATATCAAGTGCCTGCTGTGTACAAGGCGCTGTGCCAGGCAGGGTCACAGCTGCTTGTCTTCATTTCCCAGGGCCGAGGAGAACGTCAGGTCTGTGGTGGGACATGGCCGAGGGCCGAGCTCCCCACACTGTAAGATGAGGGAGTCGGCTCCGTGAATTAATTGGGTAAGGAGCCAGATTTGCTCGCTAGCAGCCCAGATCCTGAATCTGAGCGTGCTTTTTTTTTTGTTTTTTGCTTATTTGAGATGAGGTCTTGCTCTGTTGCCCAGGCAGTGGCACAATCTCAATTCACTGCAGCCTCTGCCTCCCCAGATTCAAGTGATCCTCCCACTTCAGCCTCCTGAGTAGCTGGGACTACAGGCACACACCACCACGCCCGGCTAATTTTTGTATTTTTTCGTAGAGACAGGATTTCGCCATGTTCCCCAGGCTGGCCTCGAACTCCTGAGCTCAAGCGATCTGCCCACCTTGGCCTCCCAAAGTGCTGGGATTACGGGCATGAGCCATCACGCCTGGCCCTGGATCTGAGCTTTTAACCACCGAACTACACTGTCTGGAGGTCTGCAGCTTGGGGCTGTGGTTCTGGCCCTCCTCCTGGCACTGTCCTGGCCCCCAGTGGCCGCTGACTAGGCTGGGCCTGCTGGCAGCTCCTGGCACCACGCCGTGTTGGTCAGCAGGGATTCTGGCCAAGGGCTGACCAGGGCAGAGTAGGCGCTGGGGCTGGGAGCAGCTGACAGTGAGGAGAGGCCAGTCCAGGGCTCAGGGAAGATTCTGCTGACAAGCAGGATCAGGTGGCTCTGGCATTGGATCCAGGCCTGTGACTGTGTCTTGCCCAGAGGATAAGAAACAAACTCAGTAGTTCACGTTGGTTTTCAAACGGTGAGTATAGAAATCAATGTGTGGGTGGTGTGTTAAGGAAAAAGATTAAACAGAAAGAAAAAACAGAGGACTTAAGTAGAATAGAAAATAGCAAGAGTGGGCCAAACACAGTGGCTCACATCAGTAATCCTAGTGCTTTGGGAGGCCAAGGTGGGAGGATCACTTGAGGCTGGAAGTTCAAGACCAGCCTGGCCAACATAGTGAGACTCTGTCTGTACAAAAATAAAAAACTTTAGCCGGGCATGGTGGCATGGACTGCTCTGGAGGCTGAGGCGGGAGGATCACCTGAACCCAGCTGTTGGAGGCTACAGTGAGCTGTGATCACACCACTGCACTCCAGCCAGGGCAACCTGTCTCTAAAAATAACATTTAAAAAAAAAAAATAGCAAGAGCGCATTATACAAAGTAAGGCTAAGCACAATTTCTTGAAATTTTACTGTCCATTTTATAAGCATGTAGTGGGTTAGGATATAAATATATTTCCTGCTTCGGTAGCCAGAGTACCAAAGCCTTGGCTCTAGAAGACTGTGCACCTGATGGACAGCACTGTCAAAAAAATTGGAATTATTGGTTTGATGTAAAAAAATTTTTAAACTAATTTACTTACTATTTTGTGTCTAAAGCAATCCAGCTTTGTAAAAAAGTTAAAGCAGTATAGAAACATACAAAGTTTTAAAAAGCTGGCCAGGCTCAGTGGCTCATATCTGTAATTCTAGCACTTTGGGAGGCCAAGACGGGCAGATCACTTGAGGTCAGGAGTTCAAGGCCACTGTGGCCAACATGGTGAAACCCCGCCTCTACTAAAAATACAAAAATTAGCTGGGTGTGGTGGTGGGCTCCTGTAATCCCAGCTACTCGGGAGGCTGAGGCAGGAGAATCGCTTGAACCTGGGAGGCAGAGCTTGCAGTGAGCCAAGATTGTGCCACCCCACTCCAGCCTGGGCAACAGAGCAAGACTCTATCTCAAAAAAAATTAAAAAATTAAAAATAAAAAGTTTCCTCCAGCTCTACAGCTGCTTATTTCGAGTGCTGTACAGTTCCTGTGGATTTTTCAGGGAAGTTTTCATGCATGTACACAGGTCCTTTTTCTTTTCTTTTCTTTTTTTGGAGACAGGGTCTTGCTGTATTGCCCAGGCTGGAGTGTTGTGGTGCAATTTCAGCTCACTGCAGCCTCTGGGCTCACTTGAACCTCCTGGGCTCAAGTGATCTTCCCACCTCAACCACCTGAGTAGCTGGGACTACAGGCACGCACCATCACACCCAGCTAATTTTTTGTATTTTTTTTGTAAAGTCAGGGTCCCATTATGTTGCCCAGGCTGGTCTTAAACTTCTGGGCTCAAGCGATCCTCCCACCTCGGCCTCCCAAAGTGCTGGGATTACAGACATGAACCACCACATCCGACTTTCTTTTCTTTAAAACTTTGGCTTTCTTGAGATAAAATTCACATACCTTACAATCTGCTCATTTAAAATGTACGATTCTGGCTGGGAGCAGTGGCTCATGCCTGTAATCCCAGCACTTTGGGAGGCTGAGGTGGGCAGATCACAAGTTCAGGAGTTCGAGAACAGCCTGGCCAACATGGTGAAACCCCGTCCCTAAAAAAAAAAAAAAAAAAAAAAAATACAAAAATTAGCTGGGCACAGTGGTGCGTGTCTGTAGTCCCAGCTATTTGGGAGGCTGAGGCAGGAGAATCACTTGAACCTGGGGGTGGAGGTTACAGTGAGCCGAGATTGTGCCACTGCACTCCAGCCTGGGTGACAGGGTGAGACTCCATCTCAGATAGATAGATAGTACAATTCAATGGTATATTCATAGTCATATAGCCACAGTCAATTTTAGAACCTTTTCATCAACTCAAAAGAAACCCCATACCCATTAGCAATCATTCCCCATTTCCCCCAACCATTCCCACCACCACACCCTACCTCCATCCTCAGGCAACCATTAATCTATTTTCTATTGCTGTTGCTTTGCCTTCTCTGGAAGTTTCATATACAGAGAATTAGTCAATGTATATAGTCTTTTGTCACTGCCTTTCACCTCCCCTAGTGGTTGTAAGTTTCATCCATATTGTAGTGTATGTCAGCACCTAGGAGTGGAATTGCTGGATCATACGGTAACTCAGTGTTTAACTTTTTGAGATGTTGTTTTTTTCTGTTTTTTTTTTTTTTTTTTGGTTTTGTTTTGTTTTTAGACAAGGTCTCACTCTGTCACCCAGGCTGGAGTGCAATGGCACAGTCTCAGCTCACTGCAACCTCTGCCTCCCAGGCTCAGGCAATTCTCTCACCTCAGCCTCCCAAGTAGTTGGGATTATAGGCATGCACCACCACGCCTGGCTACCTTTTATATTTTTAGTAGAGACAGGGTTTCGCCATGTTGGCCAGGCTGGTGCCAGAGTGTTTTCTAATTTCTTAATTTTTGGGTATGGCGTAAGGAAGGGGATCAACTTCATTTTTTTGCATGTGGATATTCATTTATCCCAACACCATTTGTTGAAAAGATTCTTCCTTCCCTGTTGAATCATCTTGGCTTGTTGAAAATCAAGTGACTGTAAAACTGAGAGTGAATTATCTTGGCACCCTTGTTGAAAATCAGGTGGCTGTAAATGTGACAGTTCTATCCTACAATCTTCCTGAACTCTTTCTTGATTATTTTTGTGTGTTTGTGGGTATGGGACCGTCCCCTTTCTAACAGGCACGGAGTATTTCATGGTGTAGAGAGAAATACTGTAATCTGTATAATGAGCTTCTATTGGACATTTGGGGTTGTTGGGTTTTGTTTTGTTGCTGTTACTGATTGTGCTACAGAAAGTGCTTTTAGGCCAGGCGTGGTGGCTCACATCTGTAATCCCAGCACTTTGGGAGGCCGAGGCAGGCGGATCACCTGAGGTCAGGAGTCCAAGACTAGCCTGGCCAACATGGTGAAACCCCGTCTCTACTAAAAATACAAAAATTAGCCGCGCGTGGTAGTGGATGCCTGTAATCCCAGCTACTCAGGAGACTGAGGCAGGAGAATTGCTTGAACTCGGGAGGCGGAAGTTGCAGTGAGCCGAGATCATGCCACTGCACTCCACAGAGCCAGACTCTGTCTCAAAGAAAAACAAACAAACAAAAAATGCTTTTAGGGCCACTCCTTCATTCTGGGAAAGTGCATTGAGTGCCTTCTCTGTGCCAAACACTTTTGGAGGTATTGGGCATACAGACAATAACAAAGTAAACGGGGTGATTTCAGTTTGAGAAAAGCACAATGAAGAAATGAAGCATGCCTGTAATCCCAGCATTTTGGGAGGCCAAGGCAGGAGGATCACTTGAGCCCAGGAGATTGAGACCAGTCTGGGCAACATAGGGAGACCCTGTTTTTACAAAAAACAAAGAAAATTGGCCAGGCTTGGTGGCATACACCTGTGATCCTAGCTACTTGGGAGGTTTGAGTGGGAGGATTGCTTGGGCCTGTGAGGTCAAGCAGTGACCTAGGTGAGCTAGGATTGCACCACTGTACTCCAGCCTGGATGACAGAGCAAGATTCTGTCTCAAAAAAAAAAAGAAAAGAAAAGAAAAAAGTCCGGATGTGGTGGCTCACGCCTGTAATCCCAGCACTTTGGGAGGCCCAGGCAGGAGGATCACCTGGGGTCAGAAGTTCAAGACCAGCTTAGCCAACATGGTGAAATGCCATCTCTACTAAAAATGCAAAAATTAGCTAGTTGTGGTGGTAGGCACCTGGAATCCCAGCTACGCGCGAGGCTGAGGCAGCAGAATCGCTTGAACCTGGGAGGTGGAGGTTGCAGTGAGCCAAGATCGCACCATTGCACTCCAGCCTGGGTGACAAGAGTGAAACTCTGTCTCAGAAGAAAAAAAAAAAAGAACAAAGAAAGAAATGGAATGGGGTGATATGCAAGGGAGTGATTGGATATGCATGTTGGGTTAAGGGTTCTTTGATTTGGGGATTCACAGAAGATTTCACTGAAGAGGCATCTGTGAGCTGTGAGCTCAATGATGAGAAAGAACCCACTGTTAGAAAGGTTGTTCCAGGCACAAGGAACAGCAGGTACAAAGGCTCGGAGGTCGGAATGAACTTAATGTGTTCACAGAACAGAAAGAAACCCAGTGTACCTGGAGAGCAGCCAGGGCCGGAGGAGAAGTGGGCAGCACGCTAGATGAACGCAGCTCTTGCAGCCTTACCAAGGCATTTGGATTTTATTATGAATGTGAAAGGAAGCTGCCAGGGGTGGGCGTTAAGCAGAGGAGTGCCTCGATCTAATTGATGTGCTAAAAAGAGCACTCTGCTTAAGAAGCCATTCCTTTCCCAACCTGGTTCCAACATTTGCAAACACTGAGTTCTTAAAAGTGGAATGACGACTGGGTCAGCGGGTTTCGAATTTAAAATGTGCCTGGGTGCTGCCAACTGCCTCCCCAAAAGATAGCTCTAGGTTTTACCCCAAGGGTGCCAGCTCCTGCGATAGCCTGCAGCATTTGGGGTGAGGGTCGGGCGAATTCGCAGCCCTGGGCCCCAGCACCCACTCTCTGGCCCTTGCTTTCCTTGTAGGACCTTCGCCTCTGCATTTGTCCAGTAACTCTGGCTGTGCCGGATACTGCTTGGGTAAAACGGGCACCCCAGGAACATGGCAGACGAAGATCTCATCTTCCGCCTGGAAGGCGTTGATGGCGGCCAGTCCCCCCGAGCTGGCCATGATGGTGATTCTGATGGGGACAGCGACGATGAGGAAGGTTACTTCATCTGCCCCATCACGGATGACCCAAGCTCGAACCAGAATGTCAATTCCAAGGTTAATAAGTACTACAGCAACCTAACAAAAAGTGAGCGGTATAGCTCCAGCGGGTCCCCGGCAAACTCCTTCCACTTCAAGGTGAGTGAGCCACCTATTCCACCTTCCCCACCTGGCTTAGCTGCTGTAAGGGATGGAGGGTTGGAGTCGCTGGTTGGGGACTTCTTCGTATTTCCAAACCCTGGACAGTGCTCTAAACTCTGAGCTGAGGATATACTTGTTAAGCAGGGAGGGTATTATTGATTTAAAATAAATTTCATTACCTTGGAACTGGGTGTTTTTCAAATAGTAGCCCAGGACACACTACGGAGTTGTGAAAACCTTTTGCTGAGTTTTGTCCAATGTTTTGTTTTGTTTGTTTATTTATTTTAGCTTTCTTTAGAGACAGAGTTCTCCTCTGTCACCCAGGCTGGAGTGCAGAGGTGCTGTTCTTTTTTTTTTTTTTTTTTTTTTTTTAAAGAAATGGAACAGAACAGAATAAAACAGCAACTATTGGGGAACATTGCAAACTGTAAAGATCTTATTTCTTTGTAAAAACGTTTATTTATTTATGGCAATAGAAAATCCCCAAACTAAGGACCTTATTTCTCTTTCTCTCTTTTTCTTTCTTTTCCTTCTTCTTCTTTTTTTTTTTTTTTATAAACGTGGTCTCGCTTTGTTGCCCAGGCTGCAGTGCAATGGCACAATCATGGCTTACTGCAGCCTTGAATTCCTAGGCTCAAGCAAGCCTCCCACCTCAGCCTCCTGAGTAGCTAAGATTATAGGCTTGTACCACTATACCCGGCTCATTAAAAAAATTTTTTTTGTAGAAATGGGGTTTCCCAGGCTGGTCTTGAACTACCACGCCCAGCCACTTGTTGTTAATTTTTTGAAAGAATTTATTTAACAACATAATTTTAGGTCAGGCGTGGTGTCTCACACCTGTGATGCCAGCACTTTGAGAGGACAAAAGGGAGGATCACTTGAGCCTAGGAGACCAGCCTGGGCAACATAGTGAGACCCTGTCTCTCAAAAAATAAAATAGGCTGGGTGCAGTGGCTTACGCCTGTAATCCCAGCAGTTGGGGAGGCCAAGGCAAGTGGATCACCTGAGGTAGGAGTTCTAGAGCAGCCTGGCCAACATGGTGAAACTCCATCTCTACTAAAATACAAAAAATTAGCCGGGTGTGGTGGCGCACACCTGTAATCCCAGCTACTTGAGAGGCTGAGGCAGGAGAATCACTTGAACCTGGGAGGTGGAAGTTGCGGTGAACTGAGATTGCACCACTGCACTCCAGCCTGGACAGCAAGAGTGAAACTCCTTCTCAAAAAATTAAAATAAAATAAATACATTTATTATTCATTTTATTTTTTTGTATTCCACTCTGCTGCCCAGGCTGGAATACAGTGGTGGGATCTCGGCTCACTGAAACGTCCGCCTCCTGGGTTCAAGTGATTCTTGTGCCTCAGCCTCCTGAGTAGCTGATATAACAGGCATGTGCCACCACACCCAGCAAAAGTTTTGTATTTTCAGTAGAAACAGTTGCACTGTGTTGGCCAGGCTGGTCTCAAACTCCTGGCCTCAAGTGATCCACCTGCCTCAGGTTCCCAAAGTGCTGGGATTACAGGCATGAGCCACTGCACCCAGCCTAAAATAAATTTAAAAACATAATTTTATTGAAAACCGTTTGGTAGGTGCCAGCGTGGGTACTTGATTACATGAAATTTGCATTTATTTATTACATATTATATATCTGTCACCAGGCTATGCACTGAGTACAGACAGGCAAACAGCAATTGTTTACAGACTTAACAATCTCCCCATTTATCAGCAGAGACATTCAAGCGGAGAAACAAATATAATAACTATTAGTTACTTTGATAGAAACTTGTTTTAGGGACACTGAAAAAAATGATCTCATTTAACATTTATAGCTATCTTGGCTGGGCACAGTGGCTCAAGCCTGTAATCCCAGCGCTTTGGGAGGCCAAGATGGTAGGATCGCTTTAGGCCAAGAGTTTGAGACCAGCCTGGTCAACATAGGAACACCCCATCTTTATTAAAGAAAAAAAAAAAGAAAAAATGCTTACAGCCATCCTATGTAGTTACAGCTATGAAGGATAAACCAAATTCTTTTTTTTTTTTTTTTTTTTTTTTTGAGATGGAGTCTCACTCTGTCGCCCAGGCTGGAGTGCAGTGGCACAATCTCAGCTCACTGCAACCTCCACCTCCCAGGTTCAAGCAAGACTAAATTCTTATGAATCATTACTTTTGAAACAATACCTAGTATTGTGTGTCACACATTATAGGTGCTTAATAAGTGTTATTTCCCTCTCTGTTGCCACATTCCAGGAGTGTGGTCCTAATAATTTGTCACTGATTATGAGAATTAATATATTTTTTAAAACCTTTCCACAAATTAATTACCTTTTCCCAAATTTGTTTACTGATTAAAAGCTCATACTGTGGGCTGGGCGCGACGGCTCACACCCGTAATCCCAGCACTTTGGGAGGCTGAGGCGGACAGATCACAAGGTCAGGATTTCGAGACCAGCCTGGCCAACATAGTGAAACCCATCTCTACTAAAAATACAAAAATTAGCCGGGCATGGTGTTACAATAAAACTCCAGCCAAGGAAAAGACAAAGAGACCTTTGGAAACCAAAGAGAACTTTATTTAATTCAGGTACCCGGGCCGACAGCAGGCCCACGCCTAAAATGGCTGCCGACTGGGACACAGAAAGCAGGCTTGCTTATATGTCGTTTGAGGAGGGAAAACAAGGCAGGATACAGGTTTCAGACAAAGACAGTAAATTATTTAACACGTGACAATTCTGAGAAAACATATAATTTAGTTATCTTGACCAGTCAACTTTGAAGCTGGACAGCTCGAGCTTCGGGGTAAGGGAAAACAGGAATTACAGAAATACGCGGGGGTCTGGAGGCAGGCAATAAGCTTGGAAGATTGAGATAAGCTCATAGCTGCAACTTGTTAGCAATGCTGGGAGGGGCTGCTTAAATTTCTTAGCCTATGTATAACTTCTAAATAACCTATACTTAATGTTAACTATTACTTATGTTTATTATTTTTAACTTTATTATTACTTATTTTATTTTCCTTCCACAATGGTGGTGCATGCCTGTAGTCCCAGCTTCTCAGGAGGCTGAGGCAGAAGAATCCCTTGAACCCAGGAGGCAGAGGTTGTGGTGAGCCGAGATCGCACCACTGCACTCCAGCCTGGGCAACAGAGGAGACTCCATCTCAAAAACAAAAAACAAAAAACAAAAACCTCATACTGTGGAAGGTTTCCGTCTCAAGTGTCTTCTACATTTGTCCAATTTTGTGTTGAATATTTTGAAAGCACCCCTGCATATGCGTGTATGTGGGTACAGAGACATATGTGCAATGTGATCCTTCATGTTGGTTATCGTAAAAAAACAAACAAAAAAACACTTTTTAGAGTTGGACATCCTTCTCTGGACTGAGGAAAAGTGTACTTATTTTGGTAGGGATTTGTGTTCATACCATAGCAAAGCTGGTATAAAGAAGACGGGGAGAAGCCGGGCGCGGTGGCTCACGCCTGTAATCCCAGCACGGGCAGGCAGATCACCTGAGGTCAGGAGTTTGAGACCAGCCTGGCCAACATGGCGAAACCCCGTCTCTACGAAAACACAAAAATTAGCCGGGCGTGTTGGTGCCACCTGTGGTCCCAGCTACTCGGGAGGCTGAAGCATGAGAATCACTTGAACCCAGGAGGCGGAGGTTGCAGTGAGCCAAGATTGTGCCACTGCACTCCAGCCTGGGTGACAGAGCGAGACTCCATCTCAAAAAAAGAAGAGGGGGAAAGGCGAACATTATTGGACTTTTTATAATAACTGGTGGGGGTAAAAAATCAAAAGTGCAATACCATTACCCTTTCTTAATCAAATCCTCACAAACAGTTAAGTATCAGTACTGTAAACAAAATGCCTATTACCACTTGGGGATTTGAAATTAAAAATAATCTTCCATAACTTCTGAATTAATCTGTTTTTAGAAAATTAATAATTTTAGTTCTTGGAGATAGTTGGGTAATGTTTTCCCTTTAGGCCTAGAGTTCTAGCTGGAGTTACTCTGGGGCAGGCAGCTCCAGAAATAGCCCCGTGGGTCTCCTCTGGGGTCCGGGGGCCCCTGAAGGGGCAGGTTTCCACTGATCCTGTTTCCTGTCCTAAGGCAGCTTTGAAATGAACACCCACCCCGAGGAGGACAGCTCAAGTGTCCGCAAGAGGGGCTGATTTAAATTACAGGCATTGGTTCTCACAGAATGCTGTGTTTACGTTAGAACAAAGTGATGTTTCTTTCCTTCTTTTTTTTTTTCGAGACAGGGTCTCACTCTGTCGCCCAGGCTGGAGGGCAGTGGTGTGATCCTGGCTCACTGCAACCTCCACTTCCTAGGTTCAAGTGATTCTTGTGCCTCAGCCTCCCAAGTAGCTGGAACCACAGGTGCACGCCACTATGCCCTGCTAATTTTTGTATTTTTCGTAGAGATAGGGTCTCGCCATGTTGCCCAGGCTGGTCTTTAACTCTTGGCCTCAAGTGATCCGCCCGCCTCAGCTTCCCAAAGTACTGGGATTACAGGCATGAGCCGACATGCCCAGCCTTTTCTTCTTCTTTTCTTTTTTCTTAGAGACACGGTCTTACTCTGTCACCCAGGCTGGAGTGCAGTGACATGATCATAGCTCATTGCTGCCTTGAACTCCTGAGCTCAAGCAATCCTCACACCTCAGCCTTCTGAGTAGCTAGGACCACAGGTACATGCCACCATGCCTAGCTGATTTTTAAAAAAATTTTTTGTAGATATGAGGTCTTACTATGTTACCCAGGCTAGTCCAAAGATGAAGATGATTCTATGTGATTTGACCTTTTTTGTTGTTGTTATTGTTTTACATTTTTTTGTAGAGAGAGGGTCTCATACTATGTTGCTTAGGCTGGTCTTGAACTCCTGGGCTCAAACAATCATCCCACTTCAGCTTCCCAAAGGGGGATTACAGGAGTGAGCCACCACGCCTGGCCATGATTTCACTCTAAAACAGTGCCTACTATTACATATAGTATGTGTGTGTGCAAATCCATAAAGAGCCTTTGGCACAAGCCTGGTCCATAATAAAGTCAAAAAATGTTAGCATTTTTATATATGTAGTTAAGTTAAAAAGCAAGTTGAAATATAGTATGATGCTTTTTTTTTTCTTTTCTGAGACAGAGTCTTGCTCCATCACCCAGGCTGGAGTGCAGTGGTGCAATCTCGGCTCACTGCAACCTCTGCTTCCCAGGTTGAAGCAATTCTCCTGCCTCAGCCTTCCGAATAGCTGGGATTACAGCCGCCCGCCACCACGCCTTGCTAATTTTTTATTTGTTTATTTATTTATTTATTTTTTGTATATTTAGTAGAGACGGGGGTTTCACCACGTTGGCCAGGCTGGTCTTGAACTCCTGACCTCGTGATCCACCCACCTCGACCTCCCAAAGTGCTGGGATTACAGGCATGAGCCACCACGCCCGACCTGATCCTATTTTTATTAAAAATGTATATACATATATATTGGTATCTGCATAGCAAAAACCATTTGAAGGGGAAGTTTGCACCCAGCAGTTAGTGGCAGTTCTCTCTATGGGAGAGGTACCATTAAAGGGGGGCTTTGTATATTTTTTAAACATTTTAAACTTTTAAAGTTACACATATGTATCACTTATGTGGAGAAAAAGATGTTGTTAAGAAAAATAAAGTAAAATAACCAGGTAACTTCCTCTTCCTCAAATACATTGATAAATACCCCCTCCTCAAAACTCATCACTTCTGGCCGGGCACGGTGGCTCACACCTGTAATCCCAGCACTTTGGGAGGCTGGGGCAGGTGGATCACGAGGTCAGGAGTTTGAGACCAGCCTGACCTACATGGTGATACCCTGTCACTACTAAAAATACAAAAATTAGCCAGGCATGGTGGCACATGCCTGTAATCCCAGCTACTCAGGAGGCTGAGCCAGGAGAATCACTTGAACCTGGGAGGCTGAGGTTGCAGTGAGCCAAGATCGCGCCATTGCACTCCAGCCTGGGCAACGAGAGCGAAACTCTGTCTTAAACAAACAAAAAAAAAAAAAAAAAAAAAAGCTTCATCACCAGGATGGGAGTGTCTTCTAGGTCCCTCCGCTCCAGGACCTTTCTAGGCTCTGTTCATCCCCTCCACTCACACACATCTGGAAGCTCCTGGAATGGGCTTCCCTTTTTCACACCTCTGCCTTATAAAATTTCTTTCAACTGATGTCCTGGTCTATCAAAATTACAGTTCTGCCTCCTTCAGAACCCAGCTTTAATTTTTATTTTTTTAATTTTAAAGACAAGGTCTTGCTGTGTTGCCCAGGCTGGAGTACAGTGGCATGATCATAACTCACTGCAGCCTCTAACTCCTGGGCTTGAGCGATCCTCCCACCTCAGCCTCCTGAGTAGCTGAGACCACAGGCGTGCACCACCACACTTGGCCAACTTCTTAATTTTTTTTTGGAACGATGGGGTCTCATTACGTTGCCCAGGCTGGTCTTGAACTCCTGGCCTCAAGCAGTCCTCCTGCCTCAGCTTCCCAAAGTGTTGGGATTACAAGCATAAGCGATTGAGCCTGGCCCAGAGCCCAGATTGAAGACAACCTTTCCAGGCTTTCTGCTCTGCCTTCCGTGGGGCTCTTAGCAGACCTTTATGTGTGTGAGTCATTCTCCAGTGTCGTTCTTTGTTTGAGTCAGCACCTGACTGCAAGAGTAGGGTTGTGTCTGATGCGACCTCCATTCCCTTGGTCCTGCGTAGTAGGACTTGATAAAATGTTTGACTGTGTGTGGACGGGAGTTGGCACTTCATTGCTTACTTTCTAGGTTATCGAAAGCAGGCTCTGTTGGGTTAGTGTTGCCAGGGGTGGCTTCAGAGGGAGACAACAGCTCAGCTTTCCAACCTTTGTTCCCTCAGCATCCCATAAACCTAAGTGGTTTTTTTTTTAACGCACTGTGACCTGGAAACTTGGATTGTTTAACCAAAATGGCCCGCTGGCCTCCCTCCAAGGAACACACCCAGCAGGTATTGGGTGTGGATTGTGAAAGGTCAGATTCTATCGCTGTCAAGCCCAGCCTTCTGCCCAAGCTCCCGTGGAGACGTGGCAGAACCATTCAGGGGGCCGCCCTCTCCATAGAATATCAGGCAGTCATCCAAAGATGTTTATAGAGTTTATGATAACGTGGGAAAGTGCCTCTGCTCCAGAGTTAAATCTAAAAAGAATACAGCATGATTATAGCTCTGTGAAACTCGCACGTACACATACAGCCAAGGCCTGAGGGGAAGCACATCACCAGGGCAGCAGGAATTGTCTTTGGATTGGATTAGGAGGGACTGTGTTCCTTTTCTCCTTCTCTGTCATTTCTACATTTTCTAGAATAAGCATAGGGAGCAAATACATGTTTTTAATTTGTTATTAAGGTGGGAAATTTTATTTTTAAATATTATTTTCAGCCAGGTGCACTGGCTCATGTCTGTAATCCTAGGACTTTTGGCGGCCGAGGCAGGTAGATCACTTGAGGTCAGGAGTTCGAGACCACCCTGGCCAACATGGTGAAACCCCGTCTCTACTAAAAATACAAAAAAAAAAAAAATAGCCGGGCATGGAGGTGGGCACCTATAATCCCAGCTACTCCACAGGCTGAGGCAGGAGAATCACTTGAACCTGGGAGGCAGAGGCTGCAGTGAGAGATTGCACCACTGCCCTTTAGCCTAGGCAACAGAGCGAGACCCTCTCCCCTGCCCCCTGGCAAAAAAATATTTTCCTGATCTGAGAATATCTCAGAGCTCATTCCACATCAATACACATAGATCACCTTATTTAAAAAAATTTCTTTTGAGATAGGGTTGCCCAGGCAGAAGTGCAGTGGTGTGATCATAGCTCACTGCATTGAAATCCTGGGCTCAAGTGATCCTCCCACCTCAGCCTCCCGAGTAGCTGGGACCACAGGCATGCACCACCATGCCCAGCCTGTTGTTGGTTATTTAATGGCTGAATATCATTTCATTGTTGGAAGCACCATAATAAATGTAGCCAGCCCCTCCTTGTAGGGTATGTAGGTTATTTCCAGTCTTGTCCTGCCACAAACAGCACTTCCTTGTGCATGTGTCTTTGCACCCATGAATGGGCGTGCCCACCAGAGGACCCCCCCCAGAGGTGAACTGGCTAGGCAAAACGTTTGTGTGTTTAAACTGGGATAGGTGTTGTCGGTTGCTCCTCAAAGAGGTTACACCATCGTGTGTGCCCCCCATGATGGGTGGGTACACCTGCTTCCCATGCCCTTATTTGGCCAACTTTGGTGATTACACTCATACTTGTAACCCACTGAGGGCAGCTCTAACAGCATGATCAAAGAATAATGATTGCCTTGGGAGGCCGAGGCTGGTGGATCACCTGAGGTCAGGAGTTGGAGACCAGCCTGACCAATATGGTGAAACTTCATCTCTACTAAAAATACAAAAATTATCTGGGCGTGGTGGTGTGAGACTGTAGTCCCAGCTACTCAGGAGGCTGAGGCAGGGGAATCACTTGAACCCGGGAGGCGGAGGTTGCAGTGAGCCAAGATCGCACCACTGCACTCCAGCCTGGGCAACAGGAAAAAAAAAAAAAAATTTTAGCAGTTTTTGGAAATATAATTCACATGCCATACAATTTACCCATTTAAAATGTACTATTCAAAGCCTTTGAGTATATTCATAAAATTATGCATCCATCACCACAACCACTTTTAGAACATTTTACCCAAAAACTAAATTCTATACCCCTTAGCCATCACGCTCTAATATACACATCCCACCCAGCCCCAGGCAAACACCAGTCCACTTTCTGCCTCTCTGGACTTGCCTTTTCTGGACGTTTTACATAAATAGAATCATACAACATGTGGCCTTTTATGTCTGGCTTCTTTTGCTAAGCATAATGTTTTTTGTTGCTTTTTTTTTTTTTTTTTTTTTTAGGGGCGGTTTCACTCTGTTGCCCCTGCTGGAGTGCAGTGGTGCCATCTCTGCTCACTGCAACCTCTGCCTCCCAGGTTCAAGTGATTCTCTTGCCTCAGCCTCCTGAGTAGCTGGGATTACAGGCAACATGGTGAAACCCCATCTCTACTAAAAATACAAAAAATTAGCCGGGCATGGGGGCGCACACCTGTAGTCCCAGTTACTGGGGAGGCTGAGGCGCAAGAATTGTTTAAACCTGGGAGGCAGAGATTGCAGTGAGCTGAGATTGTACAACTGCACTCCAGCCTGGGAGACAGAGCAAGACTGTGTCTCAAAAAAAAAAAAGTGCAGATATTTTGCTATTAAGATCTTAGTGTATAGTTCAGACTTTACTGTATTTCACTTTAAATATACACAAATATGGACATTTTGTTGCTACTGTAGAATCATGCTATATATGTCTTCAGTAACCAGTTTTTTTCGGCAAGCAAGAAATCATCATGTCTTTTCAGATCAGTAAATATGGATGTAGTGTCTTGATGGCTCTGTCAGCCCATTGTATGGCTACACCACAGTTTCTTTAAGCATTGCCTCTTGTGGGATACTTAGGCAGTTTCCACGTTTGTTTGTTTTTGAGATGGAGTTTCGCTCTTGTTGCCCAGGCTGGAGTGCAATGGCACGATCTCAGCTCACTGGAACCTCTGCCTCTCGGGTTCAAGTGATTCTCCAGCTTCAGCCTCCCAAGTAGCTGGGATTACAGGCATGCACCACCACGCCTGACTAATTTTGCATTTTTTAGTGGAGATGGGGTTTCTCCATGTTGGTCAGGCTGGTCTCGAACTCCTGACGTCAGGTGATCTGCCTGCCTCAGCCTCCCAAAGTGTTGAGACTACAGGCGTGAGCCACCGCGTCTGGCCAGTTTGTTTGTTTTTTAAGAGATAGGGTCTCATGCTGTTGCCCAGGCTGGAGTGCAGTGGCACAATCATGGGTCACTGTAGCCTCGACCTCCTGAGCTCAAGTGATCCTCCCACCCCAGCTCCCCAGGTAGTTGGGACTAAAGGCATGCGCCATCACGCCTGGCTAATTTTTGTATTTTTTTTTTTGTAGAAATGGGGTCTTGCTATGCTGCCCAGGCTGCTCTGGAACTCCAAGTGTCAAGTGATCCTCCTGCCTTGGCCTCCCAAATTGCTGGGATCACAGGCATGACCACTGTGCCTGGTTTCCAGTTTTTTGCTGCTGTATTCCATGCTGGGTTCCACTGATAATTGTACCAAACCTCTAAGTGCATGTGGCATAGATTGTGGCCTCTACACACCACTGTTGGTCTCTTTCCATTCCAGAGCCTCACTGTGTTCCCCCACTTCTTCCCGCTTCTTTTATTTGAGCCCTTGAGTTTGGTTAAGCCCATTACTGCTCTGCAGGAGGGGAGAGTAGTTGGGCTGTCTCTGAGTTGTATTTCTTTTTTTTTTTTTTTGCCTCGACTTCCCAGGTTCAGGTGATCCTTCCACCTCAGCCTCCTGAGTAGCTATTACTACAGGCGCATGGCACCATGCCTGGCTAATTTTTTGTATTTGTAGTAGAGGCAGGGTTTCGCAATGTTGCCTAGACTTCTGAGCTGTATTTCATAAAGTCTGCAGAAGTGATGATGGGGAAAAAAATGATTTTATAACATGAAGTGACTGTAACAGGTGATAAAGGCTTGGGTGAGTCACTGGATGTGTCCTCAAGTAACCAGGGGCCTTGATTACTGTGATAATGGCAATAATAACAGTAATATAAAATTGGCAACAACAGTGATAACATCCCACGTGCCAAAACATTTGCAAACACATTGCCGGCACTCCACCCTCACTCCTGGCATACTCGATGAAGTAAATTATTATTACTATAGTAATCATTATTATTATTTCCATCTCCCTTTCCTGGTATATAATTATTATGATTTCACTATTATTTATTTTTATTTTGTACTCTCAGACTTTGAAGAACCACAGCCTTTCTATTCTGTAGCCAGAATTATGTTTTCCTTTTTTTATGAAATATCCACAGACCTCTTTTTTTTTTTTTTTTTTTTTTTTTTTGAGACAGAGTCTTGCTCTGTCACCCAGGCTGTAGTGCAGTGGTGCAATCTCAGCTCATTGCAACCTCCACCTCCTGGGTTCAAGCGATTCTCATGCCTCAGCCTCCTGAGTAGCTGGGAGCACAGGCACACGTCACCACGCCCAGCTAATTTTTATATTTTTTGTAGAGAGGGGGTTTCACCATGTTCACCAGACTGGTCTCAAACTCCTGGCCTCAAGTGCTCCACCTATGTCGGCCTCCCAAAGTGCTAGGATTACAGGCATGAGCCACCACACCCGGCCCATAGCCCTCTGTTCTATGTAAGATTAATTAACCTACTCAACAACTGAGTTCCGGAATCCTTAGAAATAGAGGATATTAGAGCTGGCACGGCCTTAAGAATCATCTAACCTGGCCAGGCGCAGTGGCTTATGTCTGTAATCCCAGCACTTTGGGAGGCCAAGACAGGTGGATCACTTGAGTCCGGGAGTTTGAGACCAGCCTGGGCAACATGGTGAAACTCTGTCTCTACAAAAATACAAAAAATTAGCCAGGCGTGGTGGCGTGTGCCCATAGGCCCAGCTACCCGGGAGGTTGAGGTGGAGGTTGAGGTTTCAGTGAGCCATGATTCCATTACTGCACTGCAGGCTGCGCAACAGAGTGAAACCCTGTCTCAAAAAAAAAAAGAAAAGAAGAAAACTCGTCTAACCCAGTAATTTTTGTTTCTTAACTTTGATTTACACAGGCATTACCTAAATACATTCTCATTGTAAAAAGAATGCAAACAACATAGATAAACTGAGGTCTCTTTGAGCAACTTCTTATCCCTTTCTATTCCCAGAGATAAGAATTATATTAGTTTCATATAAATTACTTTTCAGACCTCTTTTTGTGCATTTGCATATAAGTATACATTTGTGTGTATGTCTACAGACACACACATCCTTAGAAAATCCATGGTATTGATTTGTGGGTTTCCGCCACCAGTAAGTGGTATCATAGTGTTTGTATTGTTCTGTAACTTGCTTTTTTCCCCCCTAAACAATAGGTCTTAGAAATTGCCCATGCTGGGTGCGGTGGCTCACGCCTGTAATCTCAGCACTTTGGGAGGCCAAGGTGAGTGGATCACCTGAGGCCAGGAGTTCAAGACCAGCCTGACCAATATGGTGAAACCTGATCTCTACTAAAAATACAAAAATTAGCCGGGTGTGGTGGCACTCACCTGTAATCCCAGATACTCAGGCAGCTGAGACAAAATTGCTTGAACCCAGGAGACGGAGGTTGCAGTGAGCAGAGATGGCGCCACTGCACTCCAGCCTGGACGACAGAGTGAGACCACGTCCCCCACTCCCTGCCCGGGGGGAATACAAAGATCACCCGTGCTAGCATCTTATTTTGAGTATACCAAGTGTATGTGATCATCCCCCTACAGATGGGCAGTTTGTACTGCCTGATCATTATGGCATTATAAGTGCTGACCTTGAGGCTAGAGTTCAAGACCACCCTGGACAACATAGAGAGACTGTCATCTCTACACACACACAATTTTTTAAATTAGCTGGGCATGATGGTGAGCACCCATAGTCCCAGCTACCTGGGAGGCTGAGTTGAGAAGATTCGTTGAGCCCAGGAGTTGGAGGCTTCAGTGAGCTATGATCCCACCACTGCACTTCAGCCTAGGCAACAAAGTAATAAATACCTGGTCTCAAAAAAAAAGAAAAAAGGAAAAAAAAAAAAAAAAAAAGCACTGATCATCCTTGGACCAGCTTACCTGGACACACCTGGGTAGGTGATAGGAATGGCTGGGTCAGAAGTCGGTGCAGAAGAAGGTTCATAGCCACTGCCAGGTGGCTCTCAAAGATGGCAGTACCTGCTTCCATTCCCCACCTGATGGTAACATTACTGGTGATTTGTAGCTCCAGCAGGAGTCACCCATAATAAGCACTGCCACCCCAGTGAGCCACTGTTTTTGGTGGGAGTGTGTCTACCCTGGGTGCAGGGGCCACAAAAAAGTGGACCACCAGCAGCCAAAACCTTCTTCATCCTTGTTTGTAAACAAGGAAATGGAGGTTCCCACAGCCAGTCAGTAAGCTGGAACCAGAGTCAGGGACATGAATGTTAGTACAGTACTTTTTATACTGTGCTTATTAAAAAAAAAAAAGTCAGTTGCATTAATCCCACCTGTTGCCAATAAGGTCTGGCATGACTCTGTTCTGGGTTTGGAAAAAAGGTAATTTTTATTCTATGAAATACCACACCCTCTAATTCTGCAGTACTTTCCTCCCTGTTTTGTGGTTGGTGCCACGGCATCCAGCCAGGAGGTAATTTCTGTTGCTAATCTTCACTGAATGGGGACGGTCCCTGTTAGTGGCTTACGGAGTGGCGGAGTCGTTTGAGAGAGGCACTGTCAGAGAATTGTGTGTCGTAGACAGAGAACAGGGCACCTGTACAGACATGCTTGGAAGGGTGGCCTGCTGAATTCTCAACCCTGCAGGCTCTCCTGACAGGTGGAGGTCGAAGGCTGTCCCTGCCATTTGTAGCAGCCGGAATATGAGCTGAGACTGGTGCTTTAAGTTACGGGGATTGGGCTGGGCGTGGTGGCTCATGCCTGTAATCCCAGTGCTTTGGAAGGACAAGGCAGGAGGATCACTTGAGCCCAGAAGTTTGAGAACAGCCTGGGCAACATACCGAGATCCTGTCTGTACAGAAATTTAAAAAATTAGCCAGGCATGATGGCAAGCGCCTGTCATCCCAGCTATTCGGGAAGCTGAAGCAGGAGGATCACTTGAACCCAGGAGTTTGAGGCTGCGGTGAGCTGTGATCATGCCACTGCATTCCAGCCTGAGTGACAGAGCAAGACCCTGTCTCTTTAAGAGAAAAAGTACAGGGGCCAGGCTCATGCCTGTAATCCCAGCACTTTGGGAGGCCGAGGCAGGCGGATCACAAGGTCAAGAGATCGAGACCATCCTGGCCAACATGGTGAAACCCTGTCTCTACTAAAAATACAATAATTAGCTGGGCGTGGTGGCGCAAGCCTGTAGTCCCAGCTGCTCAGGAGGCTGAGGCAGGAGAATCGCTTGAACCCAGGAGGCAGAGGTTGCAGTGAGCCGAGATCATGCCACTTCACTCCAGCCTGGTGACAGAGCCAGACTCCATCTCAAAAAAAAAAAAAAAAAAAAGGTACAGGGACCGAAATTCAGAAAAATGTTTTAGACATACACATGTCTGCTGTGGGGTTATTTACAACAGGGAGCAATCAGTGACAAGCTTGAAGTCTAACAGTGGAGAGCAACAGGTGAATAATCAAGTCAATAACAAAAAAGTTATACAGTAGATTATTATGCAACTATTAAAGCAGGATGCAAATAACTTATAAATTTTATAGTTATCTGATGTACTGTCTGTGCCAAAAGAATTTTAGTGATTTGTTTACTGCTTCTTGGAGTATAACTTGGGATAAATTTTTTGGCAGAGAACTCAGTCATTTCTAGATTTTAAATGTGATCCAGCAGTTACATTTCCCAAAAAATATGTACTACTGAGATCTTGCACAAGCGCCCAAGATTTGGATAGGAAGATGTTCACTTCAGCACTGTTTGTACTAGGAAATGTTGGAGGGAACCCAAACATTATTCAATTGGAGGTTAGGCAAATACCTTAAGGTACATTTATATAATTATATATCTGGTAGTTCTGGAAATGAAAGGAGGTTACCCCAGCCAGTCTGCACATATGACATGGAAAGATGTCCAAGATCTTACATTAAGAAAAGTCAGATGCACAACAGAACATGTGGTGTGGTCCAATTGCTCTTTCTTTTTATTTTGTTTTATTTTTATTTTTTTGAGATGGAGTCTCACTGTGTCGCCCAGGCTGGAGTGTAGTTGTGCTCTCTTGCCTCACTGCAACCTCCGCCTCCTGGGTTCAAGCGATTCTCCTGCCTCAGCCTCCCAAGTAGCTGGGATTACAGGCTCGTGCCACCATGCCCGGCTAATTTTTGTATTTTTAGTAGTGACAGGGTTTTACCATGTTGGCCAGGCTGGTATCAAACTCCTGACCTTGTGATCTGCCTGCCTCAGCCTCCCAAAGTGCTGGGATTACAGGTGTGAGCCACCGCGCCCGGCCTAAACTGCTCTTAAATATGTGTTTATGTTCACAGAGGCATAGGAAAAAATTTTGCAGAATGTCTACATCAACTGTCAGCTGTGGTTTTCAGAGGAAGTGGATTAGGGAGGACTTCCGCTTTCTAATTCAGAGTTCTATAGTGCTTGCAGTTTTTATGTGATGTGGATCATACTTTGGAATCAGAAAAAAAAATTGAGATCACTAAATAAAGCACAAAATCCCATTGACCCACTCTTCTGTAAGGAGGTGAATTATATTTTATGGTATGATACCAATCTTATTAAAAAATGCATGTAGGCCGGGCAAGGTGGCCACGCCTGTAATCCCAGCACTTTGGGAGGCCAAGGCGGGTGGATCACCTGAGGTCAGGAGTTCGAGACTAGCCTGGCCAACATGGTGAAACCCCGTCTCTACTAAAAATACAAAAATTAGCCAGGCATGTTGGCTCACGCCTGTAATCCCAGCTACTCAGGAGGCTGAGGCAGGAAAATTGCTTGAACCCAGGAGGTTGCAGTGAGCTGAGATCACCCCACTGCACTTTAGCCTGGGTGACAGAGGGAGACTGTCTCAAAAAAAAAAAAAAAAAAAAAAAAAACATATAGAAGATCTGGAAAAGAATTAGTCTACGGCATTGCTCCAGTGGATGGTATATGGTGGATTTGACTTTTGTCTTCTGTATTCTCCAACTTTTAAATTAAGTCTAAATTAGCTACCAAAATAGAAGAAAAGAATTACAGGCTTTATTTTTTGAACTCTGCAGAGGTAAAAAAGCCCCAGCAGGCTAGGTGCAGCAGCTCATCTCTGTAATCCTAGTTCCTTGGGAGGTTGAGGCAGGAGGATCACTTGAGGCCAGGAGTTCGAGACCAGCCTGGGCAACAAACGTAGTGCAACCCGGTCTCTGCAAAATAAAAATAAAAATAAAAAAATTAGCTGGGCATGGTGACACACAAGTGTAGTCCCAGCTACTCAGGAGGCTGAGGCAGGAAGATCGCTTGAGCCCAGGAGTTTTGAGGTTGCAGAGAGCTATGATCACACTACCACCACGTAGCCTGGACAACAGAGAGAGACCTTATTCCTATTTAAAAAACAAAACAAAAACCCAAAAACAAAAGAAAGCCCTAGAGAGAGTGAGAGGCCTGGGCTCTGTGTGTGTGTATTGGAAGGCCCAGCTCCACTGCCTGAGCTGCTTCTATTTTGAGCAGGACCCAGTGCTGGGGATGAGGTGAAGCCCTGTTTGGGCTGAGTCCTTGGGAAGCTGGACTCTTTTTTTTGGGTACAGAGTCTTGCTCTGTCACCCAGGCTGGAGTGCAGTGGCCTGATCTCCATTCACTGCAACCTCCACCTCCTGGTTCAAGCGATTTTCCTGCCTCAGCCTCCCGAGTATCTGGGATTACACGTATGCACCCAGCTTTTTTTTTTTTTAAAGTAGAGACGGGGTTTCACCACGTTGGCCAGGCTGGTCTCGAGCTCCTGACCTTGGATGATCCATCTGCCTCGGCCTCCCAAAGTGCTGGGATTACAGGCGTGAGCCACCATGCCTGGCTACTCTCAATAGGTTTTGATAGATTTGGGAGTTCTTTTGGGCCATCATAATGATGGGGTGGTGGGCACTGCTGGCATAGAGTTAGGGAAGGCCGGGAATGCCAGCAACCCTGAAACAGGGCTGTTCTGCACGATGAATTTTCCTGCATCCCACAAGATCTTGGAACAGCTCATGGGAATCGTTTCATAATTATCTGAGGCCAGAGTTAAATGCTATGTTATGTGTAAAGGCGGCGTATCCTTTGGGAGGCTGAGGTGGGAGGATCGCTTGAAGTTCAAGACCAGCCTGGGCAATATGGTGAGACCCTGTCCCTACAGAAAATTAAAAAATTAACCAGGTATGGTGGCTCAGCCTGGGGTCCTAGCTACTCAGGAGGCTGAGGCGAGAGGATCACCTGAGCCGTGATCATGCCACTGCACTCCGGCCTGGGGACAGGGTGAGACCCCGTCTCTTGAAAAAAAAATAAAAAATAAAAAAGGCAACATATCTTTGGCATGGTTCTAGCTCTGAGCTTAGAAATTTATGTTATCTATGAATTTCACATAGGGCAGTAAAATGGGGTGTTATATAATATTTATTATAAAAAGAGGTCATTGGGTCTGGTAAGGTCAAGAATCTCCACCAGAGATGCAGCCTATTTTTTTTTTTTTTTTTTTTCTGAGACAGGGTCTCCCTCTGTCACTCAGGCTGGAGTGCAATGGCACAATCTCGGCTCACTACAACCTCTGCCTCCTGGGTTCAAGCGATTCTCCTCTCTCAGCCTCCCAAGTAGCTGGGATTACAAGCGTGTGCCACCATGCCCAGCTAATTTTTGTATTTTTAGTAGAGACAGGGTTTCACCGTGTTGGCCACACTGGTCTCAAACTCTTGACCTCAGGTAAACCACCTGCCTCGGCCTCCCAAAATGCTGGGATTACAGGCACGAGCCACTGCACCCAGCCCAGCCTAGAAAAGTTTTATACCCCCGATGGTGTGTGAGGGTACCCGTTCCCTGATATCCGGGCCAGCACTCGCTAAAATGTTTCATCTCATTAAAATAATTGCCAGCCTGCTGTAATCCCAGCACTTTGGGAGGCCGAGGCTGGTGGATCACTTGAGGTCAGGAGTTTGACACCAGCCTGGCCAACATGACGAAACCCCGTCTCTACCAAAAAGTACAAAAATTAGCCAGGTATAGTGGTGTGCACCTGTAGGTCCAGCTACTCCCAAGGCTGAGGTGGGAGGATCGCTTGAATCCAGGAGGCAGAGGTTGCAGTGAGCCGAGATTGCACCACTGCACTCCAGCCTCGGCGACAAAGTAAGACCCTGTCTCAAAAAAAAAAAAAAAAAAAAAGAGGCCGGGCACAGTGGCTCACGCCTGTAATGTCAGCACTTTGGGAGGCCAAGGCGGGTGGATCACTTGAGGTCAGGAGTTCGAGACCAGCCAGGCCAATGTGGTGAAACCTTGTTTCTACCAAAAAATGCAAAAAGTAGCAGTGCGTGGTGGCGGGCGCCTATAATCTCAGCTACTTGGGAGGCTGAGGCATGAGAATTGCTTGAACCCGGGAGGTGGAGGTTGCAGCGAGCCAAGATCACATCACTGCACTCCAGCCTGGGTGACAGAGTGAGACTCTGTTTCTATATATATATATACGTTATATTCTGTTTCTATATATGTATTGTGTGTGTGTGTGTGTGTGTGTGTGTGTGTGTGTGTGTGTATATCCTATATAATATATATATAATGAAATGTTAGCCAACCTGAATGGGGGAATGGTATCCTATTTTCATTCTCAACTCTTTGATCCAAGCGTTGTGTAGTTAAGATGTGCCATTTCTGCCCACAGGGAGGCTGTGCCTGTGAGTGCAGATAGGTTCTTTTGGGGACTGTGTTCCTGAAAGGCTACTAGACAGGAGTCTCTCTCTGTCCTGATACTGTCTGCCTCTCCAGAGGAAATAACAGGGCAGGAGGAGTCCACGCTGTCCCCAAAGCCCCTGACCTGGGCCTGATGTTCCTACCTTCTCCTTTGCCTTCCACAGGAAGCCTGGAAGCACGCAATCCAGAAGGCCAAGCACATGCCCGACCCCTGGGCTGAGTTCCACCTGGAAGATATTGCCACCGAACGTGCTACTCGACACAGGTCAGCAGCTTGTGTGGGGTCTCGAGGAGTCCTGGGGGCTATACGTCCAGCTTCTGTTCCCAATCAGTGAGGCCTAAGTACTCTTGGGGGTCAGGGGAAGGGAGTAATCATAACAGCAGCTAATATTGGCATGCTAATGCGTGCTTAAGGCCCGGTGCATTACCTCACTGAATCCTTCTCGTGGTTCTCACAAGGTACCTATTAGACAGGCTAGACTGAGCTAGTTTTTTTAAATTGTTGCAGATCTCTGGCCGGGTGAGGTGGCTCTCACCTGTAATCCCAGCACTTTGGGAGGCTGAGGTGGGCAGATCACTTGAGGTCAGGAGTTCAAGACCAGCCTGGCCGACATGGTGAAACCCCATCTCTACTAAAAATACAAAAATTAGCCATAGCCAAGCGTGGTGGCTGGCACCTGTAATCCCAGCTACTCAGGAGGCTGAGGCAGGAGAATCGCTTGAACTCAGGAAGTGGAGGTTGCAGTGAGCTGATATAGCACTGCTGCACTCCAACCTGGGCGTCAGAGTAACACTCCATGTCAAAAATAAAATAAAATAAAATTGTTGCAAATCTCTGAAACATTTTCCAATATATTGATTGAAGAAAGTCCATTTATAAGTAGACCCACGCACTTCAAACCCATGTCATTCAAGCATCAACTATACTTGCCCTGGGCCGGTGCAAACTGTGCAGCTCTGGAGAGCTTTCCTCCCTCTGAGCCTAGGGGAGGTTAACCTGCCAGGCCTCTGCTTGTTTTTCCCGGTGGAGGCATCAGGCTCTGGGAAACCTGTTCTCACCGAGGGTGGGGTGTTCTGGAGTCTGCCCCGGCTGAGAGGTGCGCTAAGGGAAACCTCCAACTAGAGTTAAGAACACCTCAGCCCGGAGGGAGGTTTCAAACTTTAGGGATCCATTGAGCTGAGGAGATTTCCACCAGGCAAACTTGTGTGAGGCCTGGCCAGGCCCAGGGGCTGATTTACTCTGGGAAAGGAGAGATGGAAATGTTCCCTGAACCCTCTCCAAGCTCTCTCTGCCTTAGGTATGCACCTATCTGTGACAAAAACAAACTTAATTTAACCTACTGTACCCTTACAACACAGAATGCTTCTGTGAGCTCAAAATGTGTGGCGGTTTCTCCCCACCCACAAGCAAGTAATCAGCTCTGCAGTGGACACCAGCAGATGTGCGTCTAATTCTGTTCCTCTAATTGAAGGAATTAGAGGAGTTTTGAGTTGGGTATCCTATGATTCAATTCAATTCTGACACCATCTACCTGGAGATAGCATCAGATCCCACAGGTTGGAGGCTCAGTCCTACAAGACCGTCCCCGACTTTCACTGCTGATCGCAAGCCCGAAGTGGTTTCACCTGTGCTTCTGACCAGCTATAAATCAGGGTTCCCATGAACCCCTCCTTGGGTTTGATTAACTTGCTGGAGCAGCTCACGGAACTCAGGGAAACACTTACTCATATTTACTGGTTTATTATAAAGGATGTTACAAAGGGTACAGAAGAAGACTGGGCATGGTGGCTCATGCCTGTAATCCCAGCACTTTGGGAGGCCGAGGTGAGTGGATCACTTGAGGTCAGGAGTTCGAGACCAGCCTGACCAACATGGTGAAACCCCATCTCTTCTAAAAATTTAGCCGGGTGTGGTGGTAGGCGCCTGTAATCCCAGCTACTCAGGAGGCTGAGGCAGGAGACTTGCTTGAACCCTGGGAGACAGAGGTTGCAGTGAGCTGAGATCGTGCCACTACACTCCAGCCTGGGTGACAGAGTGAGACTCAGTCTTAAAAAAAAAAAAAAAAAAAAAAAAAGACGTCACTTTGGAGATTCCAAGGACTTTCAGAGTTGCATGCCAGGAAATGGAATCTAAAACAAAATATATATTTACCATCACACAACCTGGTACTGGGGCTCAGAAAATGATACCCCAAAGTGAAGGCTTCAGAAATAGCCCCTCTCTGATCATCTCCTGCCCTCCTGTCTCTCACCCCTTGTTGTCTCCTTAAGCAAGCCATTGAAACTAGAATTGGCCGGGTGCGATGGCTCACGCCTGTAATCCCAACACTTTGGGAGGCTGAGGCAGGCGGATCATGAGATCAGGAGTTTGAGACCAGCCTGGCCAATGTGATGAAACCCCATCTCTACTAAAAATACAAAAATTAGTTGGGCACGGTGGCATGCGCCTGTAATCCCAGCTACTCAGGAGGCTAAGGCAGGAGAATCGCTTGAACCCAGGAGACAGAGGTTGCAGTGAGCTGAGTTCGCCCCACTGCACTCCAGCCTGGGTGACAGAGCGAGACTCCATCTCAAAAAAAAAAAAAAAAAAAAAAAAAAAAAAGAAACTAGAATTGCCCTTGCCCACTACCAGTCATAGAAACTAGAACCCCTTTTTCCCAAAGCCAGCCATAAAGCTTAAAAATATTACTCTAGGCCAGGCGCAGTGGCTAACGCCTGTAATCCCAGCACTTTGGGAGGCTGAAGCAGGTGGATCACTTGAGGCCAGGAGTTCAAGATCAGCCTGGCCAACATGGTGAAACTCCATCTCTACAAAAATACAAAAAAAAAAATTAGCTGGGTATGGTGGCAGGCACACCTGTAATCCCAGCTACTCGGAAGGCTGGAGCAGGAGAACTGCTTGAACCCAAGAAGCGGAGGTTGTAGTGAGCCAAGATTGCTCCACTGCACTCCAGCCTGGGTGATGGGGAGATTCTGTGTCAAAAAAAAAAAAAAATTCTCTAACCTTACATGAATTTTCTGTGCAATAGCTGGCCATAAATAAATTATGGAATGAGACCCTCATTCCAAAGGGGTCCTACTCCATACACAAGAGAAGGAAATGCTATAACAGAGTGGCCAAGAAGAATCGCAACAGGCCTTGCTGGCCAACTCAGTCTGTTACCATTAGCTCATCTCCTTTTTGCCCAATCACATTGCTTCACGCCATCCCTGCTTCACTGAACCTCAGCATAAAATCGGATTGGTTCTTCTGTATCTTTGAGTCTTCATTCTGAAGGCTTCCGTGTCACATAAAACTGGTTGTCCATGACCCTTATGATGGGGAGGAAAGAGATCACTCCTTTCTACCCGTACACCGGCAGCCCTTCTCCTGTCTAGACTCAGAGACGGGACCCTTACCCTCCACTGTGTGCGGCTGTTACTTCTCGGGAGATGTGCCCAGCTGCCTGGCAAGATCGAGGGCACCACCACCACCTCCCCTCCCTGGGCCATGCCGTTTGTTACGGAGACCAGTTATGATCAGCATATTATTTATTCAGTCATTCATCCACCTTGTATATTTATTTTATGTATGTATTTATTTTTATTTTTATTTTTATTTTTATTTTTTATCTTTTGAGACAGAGTCTCGCTCTGTCACCCAGGCTGGAGTGCAATGGTGCAATCTCGGCTCACTGTGACCTCCGCCTCCCGGGTTCAAGCGATTCTCCTGCCTCAGCCTCCTGAGTAGCTGGGATTACAGGCATGCACCACCATGCTCGGCTAATTTTTGTATTTTTAGTGCAGGCAGAGTTTCACCTTGTTGGTCAGGCTGATCTCGAACTCCTGACCTCATGATCCGCCTGCCCCAGCCTCCCAAAGTGCTGGGATTACGGGCGTGAACCACCAAGTCCGGCCATGTATATTTATTAAGCATCCACACACACTGGGTCCTGGTGACTAAGACAGACATGGGTCTGCTTTTGTGGGGTTACAGTCCAGTGGGAGCCCCAGATGCAGAACAAGCCAGTAAACAGCACAGCAGTGAGTGCTGGGGATATGGAAATGGGGGACATGGTAGAGAGGGAACAGTGGGTTTGAGGAAAGGATTGAGACCAGTGTGTTGGGACGTGGGAGGGAGGGACAGTGTCTCCAACCCAACCCAGGAGGTTGGCTGGGCTATGGGCCAAGGTGGAGAGTGGGTTGGTTCTGAGGTCAGTGGGGAGCCCAGAAGGGTCTTTGACCTTTAGCCAGTGAGAAACAGGACCACGTGATGGACGCTGTGCCCCATGGTGGATGGGTCTCTGCAGGTACAACGCCGTCACCGGGGAATGGCTGGATGATGAAGTTCTGATCAAGATGGCATCTCAGGTGAGCAGAGCGTTGAGCCCCGTGGGGACAGGGCTGAGCAAAGACTTTCTGCAGCTAACTTTGGTCTGTGCACCCTTCTCTCCCACTCCCACTTTATTTAATTTTTGTAACTTCGGGGGATTCTTTGTTATTGTTTATTTATTGGTTGTAGCCAGCATTTTTTTTTTTTTTTTTTTGAGACAGGGTCTCACTCTATTGCCCAGGAGCACAGTGGCACAGTCACAGCTCACTGCAGCCTTGACCTCCTGGTCTCAAGCCATCCTCTCACCTTAGCCTCCCAAGTAGCCAGGACCACAAGTACACACCACCACTCCTGGCTAATTTTTTTATTTTTTATAGAGACATGGGTTCCACTATGTTGCCCAGGCTGGTCTCAAACTCCTGGGCTCAAATGATCCTCCTGCCTTGGCCGCCCAGAGTGCTGGGATTATAGGCGTAAGCCACCACACCCGTCTCTACTAAAAATACAAAAAAGGCTTTTGAAGAAAAAAAAAAAAAGATAAAAGACTAGAAAATAGAGTATTCCCTGCATATTGAAGTTAGGATTGCTTTATGAAACTTTGTTTTAGTGTAATATACAATATACACAGAAAAGTGTACAGCTTGCTGAGTTGTCACAAAATGAGCACACTGCCTTAACATCGGCCCGTATCAACAAACAGAAGGCAACCAGCCTGGCCAAGCCCCTCTCAGTCACTCCTCCCATACCCACAGGGTAAGCACCCCTCTGAATTCTATCACCCTAGATTACTTTTGCCTATTTTTTTGCTTCATATAAGTGGGGGCATACAACAGGTATTCTTTTTTAGAGACAGGGTCTTGCTCTGCTGCCCAGGCTGGGGTGTAGGGGTACATGATCTTGCCTTACTGCAGCCCTGAACTCCTGGGCTCAAGCAATTATCCCACCTCAGCCTCCCGAGTAGCTCAGACTACAGGGGTGCACCGTCACACCCAGTCAATTTTTAAAAATTTTTTTTTTTTTGGAGATAGAGTTTTGCTCTTGTTGCCCAGGCTGGAGTGCAATGGTGCGATCTTGGCTCATCGCAACCTCTGCCTCCTGGGTTCAAGCAATTCTCCTGCCTCAGCCTCCCAAGTAGCTAGGATTACAGGCATGCACCATCACGCCCAGCCAATTTTTCTATTTTTAGTAGAGACAGGGTTTCTCCATATTTGTCAGGCTGGTCTCGAACTCCCGACCTCAGGTGATCCACCCACCTCAGCCTCCTAAAGTGCTGGGATTACAGGCATGAACCACTGTGCCCAGCCTTAAAATATTTGTAGAGGGAGGTCTTGCTATGTTGCCCAGGCTGGTCTTGAACTCCTGGCCTCAAGTGATCCTCTTGCCTCAGCCTCCCAAAATTCTGGGATTACAGACATAAGCCGCTGCTCCTGGTGCTGCAGGTGTTCTTTTGGTCAACATTTTGCATTGGTTTTCATCGCTGCATGGTATTTCATTGAAGGAATACACCTGGTTGATTTTTCCAGTATATTGTTGCTGGACACGTAGGTTATCTCCACTTTTTTTCTCTTACAGTCAGGGCTGGGAAAACGTCCTCTGAGATGCACTGTCCCTCCCCCATCATCCTGCCCCCGTGGATTCTTCCCCTCAGCTGGGGTGGAGGAATGGGGGTTCCTTGTCATCCTGGCAGCCTCTGGGTTGGAAGGCCTCTATGGCTTTGGTGCTGAGACATAGAAGGGAGATCCCCAGGGATTTCAGGATTGAGATGAGGCCCAGGGCACCCATTTGATAGGTGGCATGTAAGGGGAGCACCTCCTGTCTTAGGGTCCCTTTTGGGTGGGGCATGGGGACTGATAACACTCTGTGTGGTGTCTTTCAGCCCTTCGGCCGAGGAGCAATGAGGGAGTGCTTCCGGACGTAAGTGACTCAGCCTGGCTCTTGGGGCCCTGCCCAGAGTCCCCCCAGGCTCCTAAGAGCTGAGGCATTGGGACATTTTCAGCCAAGGAATGGAGCCAGGGGCCTCTGCCTTCTTGTAGCCCAGGTTCCTGTCCATCTAGTCTCCCTCGGGCCACACATTGGGCCTGGCTGTGACGATGGGCTCAGGAAGAACAGGGAACACCCCACTTACCTCTGCCCTGGTGTTGGGAGGTCAAGGGAAATGGGATAGGAGACCTTTAACAGTGACCTTTAATCCCCCTGTCCCAGCTCTTTGAAGGATGCAGAGGGGTGGGGACGTCCTTCTTACCTCCTGCATTTTGTTCCTGCTGCCAGCCACCCAGCCACATCAGACAGGGTCTTGCTGTCCTGAGGACCAGGGCTGTGTCCCTGGTGAACCCCAGAGTACCCAGGTAGGCCCCCTGTTGCCTCTTCCCACAGGAAGAAGCTCTCCAACTTCTTGCATGCCCAGCAGTGGAAGGGCGCCTCCAACTACGTGGCGAAGCGCTACATCGAGCCCGTAGACCGGGATGTGTACTTTGAGGACGTGCGTCTACAGATGGAGGCCAAGCTCTGGGGGGAGGAGTATAATCGGCACAAGCCCCCCAAGCAGGTGCGTGGCCCCACTACCTGCCCCCTTTCCATGCCAGGGCAGCTGGGCACAGTGTCTGGGAAAGAGGGCCATGGTGAATCCCTATTTCACCTTCTTTTTTTTTTTTTTTGAGATGAAGTCTTGCTCTGTCACCCACCACCAAGGCTGGAGTGCAGTGGCATGATCTTGGCTCACTGCAACCTCCATCTCCCAGGTTCAAGCGATTCTCCTGCCTCAGCCACCCCAGTAGCTGGGATTACATACAGGTGCCTGCCACCACATCTGGCTAATTTTTGTATTTTTAGTAGAGATGTGGTTTCACCATGTTGGCCAGGCTGGTCTCGAACTCCTGACCTCAAGTGATCTGCCTGCCTTGGCCTCCCAAAGTGCTGGGATTACAGGTGTGAGCCACCATACCTGGCCTCTTTCACCTTCTTAATAGTAGCTAATAACAACCACTGTTTACTGAGCATGATGAACCAAGTCATTTATTTTATTTTTATTTTTTTTGAGACAGGATCTTTCTTGGTTGCCCAGGCCAGAGTGCAGTGGCATAATTACAGCTCACTGCAGCCTCAACCTCCTGGGCTTGAACAATCCTCCCAGCTTGGCCTCCTGAGTAGCTGGGACTACAGGGGTATGCCACCATGCCTAGCTAATTTTTGTATTTTCTGTAGAGAAAGGGTTTTGCCATGTTGCCCAGGCTGGTTTCAAACTCCTGGCCTCAAGCAATCCATCCACCTCGGCCTCCCAAAGGGCTGGGATTACAGGCGTGAGCCATTGCACTTGTTCCAGAGTCATTTATTCCTAAAAACAGAGCTCTGAGGTCGGAATGTTTTTATCCTCAATTACAGATGGGATCTATTAGTCAGGATTTTTGTTTGCAAATGACAGAAACCCACTCAAACTGCTTAATCCGAAAAGGGAATTCATTGCCTTATGTAACTGAAAAATAATGCTGCCACAGGCACGGCTGGATGCAGGATTAAACTGAGGTTGTCAGAATCTTCCTCCATCTCTGGCCTGGGTGTTCTTCTGGGTTGGCGTCATTCTCAGGCAGCCTCTGCACTAGTGGTAGCACTCTGGCCCCCAGCAGGCCCAAGTTCTTGTTGGAATGACAAAACCTATTTCCCCAGAAGTTCCAATAAAAGTCCCAGAGCTGCGTTTCATTGGCTCTGATTAAGTCAGATCCCTATTGCCGAGCCAATCACAGTGGCCAAGGGGCAGGAATATGCAGATTGGGCACACCCTAGCCATGTGCCTGCCCTTAGAGCTAGGAATGTAGGTGTTCCACCCAGACCACAGGGACTGAGACTGGAAAAGGTGAGATTCCCAAGAAAAAGCGGAAGAAAGAGCTGGGAATGTATATTAGTCCGTTTTCACACTTCTGATAAAGACATACCCAAGACTGGGTAATTTATAAAAGAAAAAGAGGTTTAATGGACAGATAGTTCCATGTGGCTGGGGAGGCCTCACAATCATGGCAGAAGGCAAAAGGCACATCTTACCTGGTGGCAGACAAGAGAGATTGAGGACCAAGCAAAGGGGGTTTCCCCTTATAAAACCATCAGATCTCGTGAGACTTATTCACTATCATGAGAACAGTATGGGGGAAACCACCCCCATGATTCAATTATCTCCTACCAGGTCCCTCCCACAACACGTGGGAATTATGGGAGCTACAATTCAAGATGAGCTTTGAGTGGGGACACAGCCAAACCATATCATAGTGGATACTATGTCTGCTCTTTGGGAAACCCTGGGCTCAAAGAGGCTAAATGACTTCCCCAACCAGGCAGAGCTGGAGCCAGGTCTCAAATGCAGGCTTTTCAACCCCCTGCTAGGTTGGCACCTTCATTTGAGCCCCTAGGGTGATGAGTGACTGAGGCCAAGCAGAATTCCCTGTTGCCTTTCGGCATTTGAGGAAGGATCCATGCCTCTGCCCTGCATGAGCCCACAGCTGAGATCTTCCACAGCTTGAGCATCTACTACATACAACGCACAGTCTCCTGGGTGTGCAGAATTTATTGAGCACCTGCTGTTTGCAGAGCCCTTGATGAAGCATACTTGAGGCAGGCGCAAGAAGCCACAGTCCCCACCCTGGGGGGCTGTGGCTTCCTCTGCAATTTGCGGCCTTCCAGCCTGGCCTCCTTTCTCTTCCTCCACAAGCTTGTTCCTGCCCCAAAACCTTGGCCCTGGCTGTGGGCTTGGCGGGCATCTTGTGTCACCGTAATTCTTGCATGGCTAGCTACTTCTTATAGTTCAGGTCTCAGATCCTGTGTCACCTCCTCAGCCAGCCCATCTCAGACAACCCTAAGAAGTGGTCCCTCTGCCCCAGTCACCTCTGTCACATCATTCTAACTTTTTTTTTTTTTCCTGTTCTTTGGAGCAGTTAGTATGTCATTCATTTAGTTAATATTTTAGGTGCTTCTCTCCCCTAAAGGCAGAGATTTTATTTTATCATGTTCACTGCTGTCTCCTAGTGCCTAGGTGTCCAGTAAATAATACTGTGGTAGGCCTGGCACAGTGGCTCATGCCTGTAATCCCAGCACTTTGGGAGGCTGAAGTGGGCGGATCACCTGAGGTCAGGAGTTCGAGACCAGCCTGGCCAACATGGTGAAACCCCCGCCTCTACTAAAAATACAAAATTAGCTGGGCATGGTGGTGCACGCCTGTAATCCCAGCTACTTGGGAGGCTGAGGCAGGAGAATCACTTGAACACGAGAGGCGGAGGCTGCAGTGAGCCGAGATTGGGCTACTGCACTCCGGCCTGGGTGACAGAGCAAGACTCCATCCCCAAATAGTAGTAGTAGTAGTAGTAGTAACAATAATAATAATAATAATAATAATGTGGTTGACTTAAGGGAGGGAGAGAGACGTGGTTGTTTGAGAAGGTGCTGGTTGTCCACTGTGGCTGTACCACTGCCCCTCGCCCAGGGAGCCCTCTGGCCCAGCAGGTGGCCCTGCTGTAAGTTTCCTTGTAGGGATGGGACCAGCCTTTGGGCAGAACCCTCTGAGAACCGCCGCTCCCTGCCTTCCCCTCAGGCCGGTTCTCAGAACCCATTGAAGCCTTGTTTGGGGCAAGTTCTCACCTCTCAGATCAGGACCCCTTCGGCCTCTGCATCTGTTGTCTGCATGTCTGGTGACCCACTCTCCATGGATGGTCGTTTCCTTGGGAAACCTGGACCTAATCCTCCCAGGAGGTGGCATTGAGGAGGACATGGGAACCAAGGATGAGTCCTTGTGTAACAGGGCAAGAGGTGCAAGCTAGAGTCCCTAATCTCCCCTACTCCACTTTACAAACCATATGCACTATTTATACATTTTCTTCTGTGTACAAAATTAAACATAGACTTTATAAAAACAAAAAAAATTCGGCAAGGAATGTCAAAGTTCCCTATAATTTCCCATTGCAGGGAGAAAACTGCTGTTTAGAGGTTGGTTTATATTTCTCTAGAATTGTAGCTCCTGATAAAAATGAGTTGCCAGGCACAGTGGCTCATGCTTGTAATCTCAGCACTTTGGAAAGCCCGGGGTGGGGGGGCGGATCACTTGAGGTCAGGAGTTCAAGACCAGCCTGGCCAACATGGTAAAACCCATCTCTACTAAAAATACAAAAATTAGGCAGGCATGGAGGCGGGTGCCTGTAGTCCCAGCTACTCAAGAGGCTGAGGCAGAGGAATTGCTTGAACCTGGGAGGCAGAGGTTGCAGTGAGCCAAGATCGTGCCACTGCAGTCCAGCCTGGGCAACAGCCTGGGCAATAAAATATAAAATAAAATGAAAGCAAACATTGCCTGGCTCCTTTTTGCATCAATAAGTTTAATTCACAGACTGAGCCTGAGACCCTCTTTATGCAGGTAAAGAAACTGAGGCACAGAGAGGTGAAATTCAGAAATGTTCCCAAATTCACAGTTTTACTGTAAGGCATAGTCTAAGTTGCTTAGCAAACAGACCCACAAAATATGTGTGGACACGAAATGGTTTCTTTTTCACTTGTGTGGAGGTCTTGCATTGGTGGGTGGCTTGGGGTAGGCTTGTTTGTGCCTCATCTCCTTGAAGCCATCTAGAGAACTCGTTCCTTTGGTCTTTTTTCTCTGCCATCCCCTCAGGGGTTTGCCATGGACCACATAATCAATTCTGGCTCCCAAGCAGAGTCCACCTTACAGGGCAGGCTGGAGTTACATCATTGCAATGCTCACTTCCCATTGGCTGGGCACAGTCATGTGGCCACACTTAGCTGCAAGGGAAGCTTAGCAATGTCATCCCTAGTGGGTGGCTGTGTACCCTTTTAAAACTCAAAGGAAAACAGAGCTGAGCACAGTGGCTGCAGCTTGTCATCCTAATGCTCTGGGAGGATGCTGGAAGACAAGAGGATTGCTTGAGGCCAGTTCTTGAGGCCAGTTCAAGACCAGCCTAGGCAACATAGTGAGACCTCGTCTCTATAAAAAAATTTAGATATGAGCCATGTGTAGTGACACACGCCTGTAGTCCTAGCTTCTCGGGAGGCTGAGGTGGGAGGATCACTTGAGCCCAGAAGTATGAGGCTGTAATGAGCCATGATTATGACACTGCACTCCAGCCTGGGCGACAGAGTGAGACCCTGTCTCTAAAATAAATTTTTTTTTTTTTAAGACGGAGTCTCACTCTGTCATCCAGGCTGGAGTGCAGTGACATGATCTTGGCTCACTGCAACCTCTGCCTCCTGGGTTAAAGTGATACTCCTGCCTCGACACCCTGAGTAGCTGGGATTTTTGGTACGCACAAGCACGCCCAGCTAATTTTTGTATTTTTATTTTATTAATTTTTTTTTTGAGACGGAGTTTTGCTCTTGTTGCTCAGGGCTGGAGTGCAGTGGTGCAATCTTGGCTCACTGCAACCTCTGCCTCCCAGGTTCAAGTGATTCTCCTGCCTCAGCCTCCAGAGTAGCTGGGATTACAGGCATGTGCCACCATGCCTGGCTAATTTTGTATTTTTGGTAGAGACAGGGTTTCACCATGTTGGCCACGGTTGGTCTCCAACTCCTGGCCTCAGGTGATCCACACACCTTGGCCTCCCAAAGGGCTGGGATTACAGGTGTGAGCCACCATGCCCAGCCTTAATTTTTGTATTTTTAGTAGAGGCAGGATTTCACCATGTTGGCCAGGCTGGTCTCGAACTCCTAACCTCAACTGATTCACCTGCCTCAGCCTCCCAAAGTGCTGGGATTACAGATGTAAGCCACCGTGCCCAGCCTAAAAATATATTTTTTTTAATTTTAAAAAAATTAAAGGAAAAGAGGAGATTAGATTCTGGGCATCATCAGGAGCTCCTACAATAGAGAGCTAGTAAGTCATGGAGCCAGGGTCTGAGCCCAGGCAGGCGAGTTCCTCTGAGCCCTCCCCTTGCCGCTTCTCAGAGGAGGTGCGCCTGGGCCCTCCCGCCTGAGCCCACTCCCCATCCCACCAGGTGGACATCATGCAGATGTGCATCATCGAGCTGAAGGACAGACCGGGCAAGCCCCTCTTCCACCTGGAGCACTACATCGAGGGCAAGTACATCAAGTACAACTCCAACTCTGGCTTTGTCCGCGATGACAACATCCGCCTGACGCCGCAGGTGAGGCCGAGCTCACCTCCACCCTCTGCCCACCACAGCCCTTGGGGTGAGATCCTGGCCAGGCTCAGCCCCTAAAGAGGAAGGTCCCTGTGGGCTTGGAGTCTCACCCCCAGAGAAGCCTCTTGGAGCATTCAGAAGGAGACCCGTCACCCCATGACAGCTTCTGTCACCTAAGGTGGCCACAGGACCTGCAGCCCAAGGTCCCTGCCCAACTGAAGAGGCCTTTTTCCTTTGTCTTTTCCTCTATATAACTCCTTGAAGAGAAAGCCCCTCAGCATGGGCAGAGGCGTGGCCAGTGCCTGCACAGACCTCAGCCTGTCTCTTGACATCTCGTTTTCCTTCCTGTCCCCTGTAGGCCTTCAGCCACTTCACTTTTGAGCGTTCCGGCCATCAGCTGATAGTGGTGGACATCCAGGGAGTTGGGGATCTCTACACTGACCCACAGATCCACACGGAGACGGGCACTGACTTTGGAGACGGCAACCTAGGTACGTGGGGAAAGCCAGCCTGTTTCTGCAGAAACCACGCTCCCTGCTAAAACCTCTGAGTTCTTCGTACAGCCAAGGAAACAGGCTGAGACACTGTACGCGCTTTTTCAAGATCATGGAGATGGGAGCCTGGATGTCTGATGCCTCCCAGCTTGGCACGTTTTATACCTGCCCTGGCCATATGTATGAGGCCCACCACTGCCTGTCCCCCGTCACAGAGCAAAGCAACACTCCAGACACCCCCGCTCTGTCCACAGGTGTCCGCGGGATGGCGCTCTTCTTCTACTCTCATGCCTGCAACCGGATTTGCGAGAGCATGGGCCTTGCTCCCTTTGACCTCTCGCCCCGGGAGAGGGATGCAGTGAATCAGAACACCAAGCTGCTGGTGGGTGCCCAGTGTGACCCTGCTTGGCCTGGCAGGCCCTTCTGCTACTTGCAAAGCAAGCCCTGCTCCCCTGTGTGGTGACAGCCAGGTCAAGCAGTGCTTAACTGATGAATACCAGGGCTGGAAGCATCTGTCCCATCCATGCCCCAGCCCGTCCCCTCCAGCTCAGTGCACAAAGCCCTCCTGAGCGTCCTTCCAATCGAGCAGCTGGTATCTGCTTAGGTTGGGCCCATTTTTTACCAGAGTGAGGGGAACAGGCACGTGGAGATAGTGAGAAGGCATGTGGTGTGTGTGTGTGTTTGTGTGATGTATTGACAAATGACTGAACTAGTCTTAGACCTGGCTCTCCAGGCACCTCACCAACATACCTCCCATCCTCCCATTGCTACTTGGACCAGGGACAAGAGAATGTTGCAAAGACCAGCTTGGGATGCTGGACATAGAGTGGAATGCTTTCTCCAGCTCTGGGCTGTGGAATGTGGTCAGTGCTTTAGGGGATACTGGCAGGTCCTCTGAGCCTCTGTTCCAGATGCCCTTTCTTGGAGGCCTTAGGTTTAATCCCTGACTGATTTTTTATTTTTTAAGACAATATATCAGCTCCTAAACAGGCATGTTTAGGAGCTGTGGATGAAGGGGTTTCAGGGTTAGAGGGAACAACAGGAAGAGCCCTTTAATTCCCAGAGGGTGTGTGCGTGACATGAGTATCCCTATTAATGTCCCTAGCAATCAGCCAAGACCATCTTGAGAGGAACAGAGGAAAAATGTGGGAGCCCCCGAGTAAGGACCCTCTCTGGGAGCCGGCCACCCCTGCTCCGTCCCCTTTCAGAGAACTCTGGAGACGAGAACATGAGCGACGTGACCTTCGACTCTCTCCCTTCTTCCCCATCTTCGGCCACACCACACAGCCAGAAGCTAGACCACCTCCGTGAGTGACGGTTCGGTCCCTAGTCACTGTGATTGGAGGGGACAGGTGGAGCAGAGCTAAACCAGCTTTCATTTATGTTAGAAAAATCAGACATGCTAATCGAAAAGGTTCATGGCCCCAGTGGTTTTATAGGTGAGTTTCATTGAGTGAACTTTCAAAACAGATCATCCAAATGCTATAAAAACAACCCCTATTGTAGGAAACAAAGTAACTTTTATCAGTGTGTTTTATGAAACCAGCAAAACCTATATAATAAATTTGACAAACTAAAAAAGAAAATTATATCCCAACCTTATTTAAAATTTGTATTTGTGTATAGAGAACAAAAAAAAAATCTAAATAGATATTAACAAATAAAAATAGTACTATGTTAAAAGGTTCACCTGTCACAGTTAAATAGGGATTTCACAGGAATCTGAGGGTTGTTCAATGTTAGAAAAGCTATGAATGTGATATTAATGGGTCAAAGGAGAAAAACAGAATCATTATTTCTGACACTGAAAGAGTGGAGTTTGCTGATGATTCAGATGAGAGTCTGTAGGAAAGGATAGAGGCAAGACTGACCCCAGGGTATTGGCCTAAAGAGCTGGAGGTCATGTATTCAGGGAAAGTGTGAGCGGGAGCAGGCTCAGAGCAGGAGAGCAAGATTTTATTGTTTAGTTTTTTAATTTTTCTCATTTTGATACCTTTGAAAGAGAGAAAGATTTTAGTGTCAAACATTAAAGAAGCCCTTTAGATGTTTCCACTGGAAGGTCTTTGGAATAGTCTGGAACAGGAGTCAACAGACTTTTTTAAAAGGTCAGAGAGTAAATATTTTAAGCTTTGCAGGTCATTCAGTCTCTGCATTTGGAGCATGAAAGCTACCATAGAAAATATTAAGTGAGTGGATGTGGCTGTGTTCCAATAAAACTCTATGGATGGTGAAATTTAATTTTTGTCATCCATTTAAAAATGTAAACACTGTTCTTACAAACTATAAAAACAGACAGATAGATTTGGCTGTAGAGGGCAGGAGACAGAGATAGGGAACCACCAGGAGATGGTTGGTGTTTTTTTTTTGTTTGTTTTGTTTTGAGACGGAATCTCTCTCTCTGTCACCCCGGCTGGAATGCGGTGGCGTGATCTTGGCTCATTGCAATCTCTACCTCCTGGGTTCAAGCGATTCTCCTGCCTCAGCCTCCCAAGTAGCTGGGATTACAGGTGCATGCCACCATACCCAGCTAATTTTTGTATTTTTAATAGAGATGGGGTTTCACTATGTTGGCCAGATTGGTCTTGAACTCCTGACCTCAGGTGATCCACCTGCCTCGGCCTCCCATAGTTCTGGGATTACAGGCATAAGACACCGTGCCCAGCTGAAGATGGTTTTGAAGCTATCTGAGGCCCACTTCTTGAGCCCCAAATGTATAAACGTCTGTTCTTCCTTCACAACTGCATTTTATTGAGGACCAAGTGGTGGCCAGGCACATATGCTAATAAACACATTACAAGGATAATTGCATTGTGACAACCCTGAGGACACACATAGGTGACACCACTTGGCCAGAATCATGTAGCTGGCAAACAGCAGACTTAGAATAAGTTCTCAAGGAAGAACTTTAGCCTCCAGGTGCTGATAACATTCTTCTCCTTTTTTGTGCCTTTCTTTAAAGCTTAAAAAAAAAAAAAGGCTTGGTGGCAGGTATGGACCGCCCTAGGCCGTGGGTTGGTCTTATGCATGTTCCAGTAGTGGAACCAGGACATGATGTCTGTTTCTCCCTGCCCAGATTGGCCAGTGTTCAGTGACCTCGATAACATGGCATCCAGAGACCATGATCATCTAGACAACCACCGGGTGAGTGTGAAGGGAGGGAGGCTGCAGGCTTCAGACCCCAGCAGGGGTAGGAGTGGATTCACTCCCAGAGTGAATCTTCAGCTTCGGAGGTGGGCAGCCTAGCCCAGGCACTGCCAGGAGGGCACAGAATGGGGGAATTAGGGAGGATGCAGATGAATGTCAGCCTCCAGTCCAAGGCTGAGCTTTCCTCTGAGAAAAGGTGGGTCCCTTGCAGTTCCCAGAGATGGTTAGGGAAGAGGGACTCCCAGTCAGCAACAATGCGATCTTGTAGTAAATGCCAGTCTCAGCTCCAGGTTTGGTTTGACCCCACATGTGTTGGTTGTCCTATAGAGCCCTAATACTGGGTCTTAGATGTGTAACACATAGCACAGTAAGCCATGTGTTCTAGCTCTTCACACCTAGCTCTCCAGTTAGATAAACAGAACATTTCCTGAAGCTTTGGGTTGACTTGGTGGTAAGAAACTGAAGGCATCTTATCTGCATTCTCACAAATGTATATTATGGCAAATTATAATACTCTCTATGCTTGTGTGTGTGTTTGAAATATTTCTTAGTAAAATTGGCCAGGCATGGTAGCTCATGCCTATAATCCCAGCACTTTGGGAGACCAAGGTGGGCAGATCACTTGAGCCCAAGAATTTGAAACTAGCCTGGGCAATATGACAAGACCCCCATCTCTACAAAAAAATACAAAAGTTAGCCAGGCATGGTGGCACATACCTGTAGTCCCAGCTACTCAGGAGGCTGAGGTAGGAGGATCTCTTGAGCCTGGGAGGCAGAGGCTGCAGTAAGCCATCATCACACCACTGCACTCCAGCCTGGGTGACAGCGAGATCTTGTCTCAAAAAAAAAGAAAAAACAAATACCTTTTAGTAGAGGCTGGGCGCAGTGGCTCACGCCTGTAATCCCAGCACTTTGGCAGGCCAAGGGGGGCAGATCACTTGAGGTCAGGAATTTGAAGACCAGCCTGACCAACATGCCAAAACCCCATGTCTACTAAAAATACAAAAATTAGCCGAGTATGGTGGCAGTTTCCTGTAATCCCAGCTACTCAGGAGGCTGAGGCACGAGAATTTCTTGAACCCAGGAGGCGGAGGTTGCAGTGAGCAGAGGTCGCACCACTGCACTCCAACCTGGGCGACAGAGCGAGACTCAGTCTCAAAAAAAAAAAAAAAGAAATACTTCTTAGTAGAGGCGGGGTGTGGTGGCTCACACCTGTAATCCCAGCACTATGGGAGGCTGAGGCAGGCAGACCACTTGAGGCCAGGAGTTTAAGACCAGTCTGGCCAACATGATGAAACCTCATCCCTACAAAAAATATAAAAATTAGCCAGGCATGGTGGCATGTGCCTGTAATTCCAGCTACTTAGGAGGCTGAGGCAAGAGAATTGCTTGAACCTGGGAGGTGGAGGTTGCAGTGAGCTGAGATCACGCCACTGCACTACAGCCTGGGTGACAACGTGAGACCCTGCCACACACACACACACACACACACACACACACACAGAAAAGATACTTCTTAGAAGAATAAAGAAGGAAATAAAACTATTCCGTTACTAATTGTGCAGGTGACATGCAGAGAGAGCTATAATTCAATGTTGGTAGGTACATGGCTGAAGTTTTAGAGATTCTAAATTATACCAGATTCGCTTTCAGAACAGAACTCAGACCTGGGAGAATAAAAAATATGCCCAACTAGGCCAGGCACGGTGGCTCACGCCTGTAATCCCAACACTTTGGGAGTCCAAGGCAGGCGGATCACAAGTTCAGGAGTTTGAGACCAGCCTGGCCAATATGGTGAAACCTCGTCTCTACTAAAAATACAAAAATTAGCCAGGCGTGGTGGCAGGCGCCTGTAGTCCCAGCTACTTGGGAGGTTAAGACAGGACAATCACTTCAGCTCAAGAGGTAGAGGTTGCAGTGAGCTGAGATCGTGCCACTGCACTCCAGCCAGTGTGACAGAGCGAGACTCCATCTCAAAAAAAAAATAAAAATGTGTGGTTTTGGTTGAGGGCTTATTTGTATTAAATATTGTTCCCAATGCTATATTTTTGTCCGTGGGTCATAGCCCTTAACCAGCCTTTGTTTTTCTGCCTGTGAAGTGGGTGAGTCACTCTCAGTAAAGCACTTCCTGTGATCCACACTCTCAGAATGTAACAGTGCATTTCACCCACACAGCCCTTCGATGTAGGGGCTATAATGAATCCCATAACTAAGGACACTGATGCTCAGAGAAGTTAAGCAACTGCCCAAGGTCTCAGCTGGCAAGAAATAAAGCCAGGATTTGAGCCCAGGTCATTTGGCTGTAGAGCCCAAGGTCCTTACTGTTACCTTATACTGCTCCCTCGTTGGCCAGGCAGGTCTTGAACTTGTGTCCTCAAGTGATCTGCCTGCCTCGGCCTCCCAAAGTGCTGGGATTACAGGCATGAGCCACCACACCCGGCAAGGGACAGCAGGAGCAGGGTGTTAGGTAATGGGACAGAGGGGAGAAAGCTAACAGTTGGGGTGTTGAGATGTCATAACCATTTCCAGGTGCTCAGGGGACCACCAGGACCCTAAGGCCGTCTTCTCTCCACAGGAGTCTGAGAATAGTGGGGACAGCGGATACCCCAGTGAGAAGCGGGGTGAGCTGGATGACCCTGAGCCCCGAGAACATGTAAGGAACCCCCAGGAAATGAGACCGGTGTCACCTGTTGCCTTGTTTATCCTCCAGGAAAATGAAAACTCCCCTTCCTGGAGGGGGAATATGAGTGGGTCCTGAGAAGATAACAAGTAAATTAATAAAGAGTATTTCAGGCCGGTCATGGTGGCTCACGCCTGTAATCCCAGCACTTTGGGAGGCCAAGGCGGGTGGATCACCTGACATCAGGAGTTCGAGACCAGCCTGGCCAACATGGTGAAACCCCGTCTCTACTAACAATACAAAAATTAGCCTGGCATGGTGGTGCATGCCTGTAATCCCAGCTACTGGGGAAGCTGAGGCAGGAGAATCACTTTAACCCAGAAGACAGAGGTTGCAGTGAGCCAAGATTGTGCCACTGCACTCCAGCCTGGGTGACACAGTGAACTTTGTCTCAAAATAAAATAAAATAAAGAGTATTTCAGATAAAGATAAATGCAAAGAAGATAAAACAGGATCATGTGGACCAGTAACGGGGCAAGTGTGGAGGCTTAGATATAAGGCTGATAATGGCTGACAAATCTTATGGTGAAGTGGGAGTCCTGGGCTGCTGAGCAGAGAGGATCCTGGGTAATAGCTGGACCCACTCATAGGCAGGATCCTGTGAGGCCCCAGGGAGGAGGGCCTTGGAGGTCAGTTTCCTTGGGTAGCCTCCCAGCAGCATCCTGGTGAGGGCAACCTCAGACAGTATCTGCCATTTAGAGGTCTTACCCTGTGCTGAAATGGAGCCTGCACATCAAGGCCAGTCTTGCCAGGACACCTCTGATCTCAGCTTTATGATTGTGAATAAAGAACATGCTGGCCGGGCGTGGTGGCTTATGCCTGTAATCCCAGCACTTTGGGAGGCCGGGGCAGGCAGATCACTTGAGGCCAGAAGTTCAAGACCAGCCTGGCCAACGTGGTGACCCCATCTCAACTCAAAATACAAAAATTAGCCGGGTGCAGTGGTGCACTCCTCTAGTCCCAGCTACTCAGGAAGCCGAGGCATGAGAATCACTTGAGCCTGGGAGGTGGAGGTTGCAGTGAGCCAAGGTCATGCCGCTGCACTCCAGCCTGGACCACAGAGTGAGACTGTCTCAAAAAAAAAAAAAAAAAAAAAAAAAAAAGTAAAACAGCTGGGCCTGGTGGCTCACCTGCAATTCCAGCACTTTAGGAGGGCAATGTGAGAGGATTGCTTGAACCTGGGGAGTTGGAGGCAGCAGTGAGCTTTGATCACACTGCTGCACTCCAGCCTGGGCAACAGAGCAAGACCCATGTCTAAATTAAAATATAAACTAAACATGCAGTAGGAGCTCTGCCCGTTACCCCAGTGGCTTTGTGTTGGGATCCTGCACCATCAAGTCAGTTCCACCTGCTCACACACGGAGGGGGACAGCAAGGCTGTGACTGCACCAGCGTTGTCATCCCTGCCTGTGACCCAGCATCCCTTCTGCTTGGCAGAGAAGGGTTCCAGTGTCACCTGGGAACATAGGGCCAATTTTCTGAGATAAGGGTCACCTAGGAGGGCCAGGCTGGTTCCAGGGAGGAGGGCTGGACCAGCTCTCAGGAGAGGTTCCTGGGAAGAAGCTTGTCGCTTTGGATCAGTGTAATTTCTTCCTCCGTTCAGGGCCACTCATACAGTAATCGGAAGTACGAGTCTGACGAAGACAGCCTGGGCAGCTCTGGACGGGTAATGCGCCCTGAGGCACCCTTGTCTCTGCCTCTTCCCTGTCTCCTCCAGGCTCTGTTGCTGTTTCTCCTGTCTCATATCTCTGCTGCCTGCCCATCTGTCTTGCACATGTGCTAAAGGAAGATTTTGCAAAGCAGCAAATCTGGGCAAATGCTCTTTGAACCTCTGCAGGGCAGGATGCTGGGGGATTTGTGGGGAGGATTAGAGAAGAGCAGCTCAGCCCCATCCTGGAGGGGAAATCACCACAGGGACAGCTCCTGTCTTAAGTGCCTGCCATGAAGGCACTTCGCAGTAATCAGTTTCCTTCTTGCAACCACCCAGAGAGACAGGCTAATGTGACTCTCATCCCCATTTTATGTATGAGAAAACTGGGCTCTTAAGCAACTTTCCCCAGGTTACCCTCGCTTGTATGTCTAACAAGCATCAGCAAGTCTGGGAAAGACCAGCTCTGTGCCCCACCCACCCCTCTAAGTGATTCCCTCACACGCTTTGAACTGCCCATCTTTGGAGCCTTTACTAAGGCAAGTCTCTTTCCTACCTGCAAAGTCCTTTCTCTCCCTCTGTCATCTCTCTTCAAATCCTACCTGCTCTCCAAGCCTGGATCCCAGGGCCCCTCGTCCAGGAGCCTTCCCTGGCCTCCACCACAGGCATGACTCTGGCATCTCCCAGAACACTGATTATTTACCCTGTGGTATTTTGTAGCCAGATTAGGATCTTCTCAGTTAGGTATGGAACAGGGTTGCTCAAGCAAGGCACTACTGGCATTCTGGGCTGAATCGTTCCTTGTTGAGGGGGCTACCCTGTGCATTGCAAGATGTTTAGCATGCAAACGTGCACACGCACAGCTGCCTGGCTGTATCCTGCAAGAGCCTTTGGAGGGGGCATCTTTGGCCAGGAGAAATGATGTGTTTTTTAAACCCATTTCCTACAGCAACCTGCTGATGTTGCTCATGTCGTTGTGGTGCCTTGCAGAGGAAAGCAAGGGGATTTGCTGGAAGGTCTGAAGTGGGAGTCTTCTGGTGCCTTATATGGGGAGCTGGCGAAGGGGTTGGTTTAGAGTGAGACCCCCACCCCCAACCAAATCCAGATTGGTAAATGATGGGGAAGCGCTTCCTTGAGCTGCTGAAATCTGTTCCACTGGCTCTTGAATGCATGAGTTGATGGAATTTGAATGATTAAAATTGGAGCTGTATTAGCCGGGCATGGTGGTATGCACCTGTCGTCCCAGCTACTCGGGAAGCTGAGGCAGAAGAATCGCTTGAACCTGGGAGGTGGAGGTTGCAGTGAGCCGAGATTGTGCCATTGCACTCCAACCTGGGCAATAGAGTGAGACTCTGTCTCAAAAAAAAAAAAAAATTGGAGCCATGTTTTGCCAATAAACTTTGACATCGTGAGGGTTCACTCCCCATCTCCCTCCAGCCAGGCTCCTGTGTAGTAGGGGCTGCTGACAGCTGTGATGCTGCGTCCACCCCCAGCCCCTCGCTTCCCTGGCCGGTTCTTTCCCTTCAGGTATGTGTAGAGAAGTGGAATCTCCTCAACTCCTCCCGCCTCCACCTGCCGAGGGCTTCGGCCGTGGCCCTGGAAGTGCAAAGGCTTAATGCTCTGGACCTCGAAAAGAAAATCGGGAAGTCCATTTTGGGGAAGGTATCGGCGATGCCCATTTTGGAGCCCTGTCTGCACTAACCTGGAGCCCCCCAGCTCCAGCCTCTCCTCCGCTAATCACTTCCTCCCGCAGGCTGGCTGGGCGGTCTTGGGTGCGGCTTTGGCCCGCCAGACAGCCAGGCCGACACCGTAGTCTGTGTGGCAGGTCCATCTGGCCATGGTGCGCTACCACGAGGGTGGGCGCTTCTGCGAGAAGGGCGAGGAGTGGGACCAGGAGTCGGCTGTCTTCCACCTGGAGCACGCAGCCAACCTGGGCGAGCTGGAGGCCATCGTGGGCCTGGGACTCATGTACTCGCAGTTGCCTCATCACATCCTAGCCGATGTCTCTCTGAAGGTGAGCAGGTGGCGGGGACCCAGCTGCAGGTGGGGGTGGGACTTGGTCACCCTGTGGTTCACCTGCCTCCCATCCTGGAAGTCATGCATTCACCTGCCTTCTATCCTGAGGTTTATGCATGCCACAAAAATGTCCCAGGCACTGGTTTGGGGGCAGGCCCCTCCAAGTTAGTTGAAACTGGCAGAATCGATCTCTGTCTTTGGAGAGGGAGGGGAAGGTAAGTCACGTTTCCAGGTAATAACGACATGGTGTGATGGGGGAAGCAGAAGACACCAGTGGAAACATGTGAGGAAGGGCTGTAACTGGGGCCTGGAGGGGTTGGTTCAGGCTTCCTGCTCATCAGTTCTGTGTGTATCCCTAGTGGCTGGGGCCTGGCACTGAGTAGATGCTTGGTAGAGATTCGTAGAATGAACAGATGAAGGGATACCTACCTCAGGCCAGAGTGGTGGCTTAAACCTGTAATCTCAGCACTTTGGGAGGTTGAGGCGGGTGGATCACATGAGGCCAGGAGATCGAGACCAGCCTGGCCGACATGGTGAAACCCCGCCTCTACCAGAAAAATACAAAAGTTAGCCGGACGTGGTGGCACACACCTGTAATCCCACCTACTCGGGAGGCTGAGGTGGGAGAATCTCTTGAACCTGGGAGACAGAGGTTATAGTGAGCTGAGATCACACTACTGCACTCTAGCCTGGGCGACAGAGTGAGATCCTGTCTCCAAAAAAAAAAAAAATTGGGGGGGATATCTGCTTTCGACCTGAAGGCCCAAAGGGAGTGAGCCAGGCCAAGTGGGGGAGGTGAGCAGCTCAGGTAGAAGGAACAGCATGTGCTTAGGCCCAGAGGTGAGAGACAAGGTGCACCCGTGTAGCTAGAGGTGCAGGAGCTGAGGCAGAGCTGGAGCTGAAGCAGCAGGGTGTGGACCTGCAGGGAAATTGCGTAGGAGCCTGCTGCTGCTTCTGTCCCTGGTCCGTGAGCAGAGGGAGGAAAGGATTGAATGGGATCTGGCAAGGCCCAGGCAAAGTGATCTTTTCCCAGGAGAAGTTGAGAAGCCCTTGGCGGGCACATCCTCCCATCTGTTCCCATCCTCCCCATCACGTGGGCCAACGTTGCGCATGGACAGGTGGCCTAGGCTCATTGTGGGTGCAGGACATCAGCTCTCCTTGACGGGTTGGTTTGGCTGTGGCCCAGTGGGTGAATGGATCTCAGACTCGAGGGTGGGAAGATACTCCAAAGTCCTTTATTTATTTAGCTTTTTGAATTGGTAATTACATTCATGTGATTAAAAACTTATTTATTTATTGTTTTGTTTTTGTTTTTTTTGAGACAGAGTCTCGCTTTGTTGCCCAGGCTGGAGTGTAGTGGTGCGATCTCGGCTCAATGCAACCTCCACTTCCCAGGTTCAAGCAATTCTCCTGCCTCAGACTCCCGAGTAGCTGGGATTACAGGTGCCTGCCACCGCACCCAGCTAATTTTTAGTAGAGACAGAGCTTCACCATGTTGGCCAGACTGGTCTGGAACTCCTGACCTCAGGTGATCTGCCCACCTCAGCCTCCCAAAGTGCTGGGATTACAGGTGTGAGCCACCATGCCGGACTATTTATTTATTTTAGAGACAGGTTCTCACTCTGTCACCCAAGTTGGAGTGCAGTGGCATGACTGTAGCTCACTGTAGCCTTGACCTCCTGGGTTCAAGCGATCCTCCTGCCTCAGCCTCCTGAGTAGCTCGGACTATAGGCCTGAGCCACCATGCCCGACCAAAGAAGTTTTTTTTTTTAATTTTTAAATATAAAAAGCTTAACGATGGGTGCAGTGGCTCACACCTGTAATCCCAGCACTTTGGGAGATGGAGGCGGGTGGATCACCTCAGGTTAGGAGTTCACAACTAGCCTGCCCAACATAGCAAAACCCTATCTCTACCAAAAATATAACAAATTAGCCAGGTGTGGTGGCATGCGCCTGTAATCCCAGCTACTTGGGAGGCTGAGGCAGGAGAATCACTTGAACCTGGGAGACGGAGGTTGCAGTGAGCAGAGATCACGCCACTGCACTCCAGCCTGGGCAACAGAGCAAGACTCCATCTCAAAAAAAAAAAGCTTTACAGTGAAAAATCTGCCTTCCACCTTCCCCACATCCTCTCATTCTTTGAATAATAGGTAGCCATCATTATTAGTTACTTATATGTAATTCCAGAGTGTATTCACTTCCTAGGACTTCCTTAAGAAATTCCACAAACCAGTTGGCTTATAACAACAGAAATTTGTTCTCTCACAGTTTTGGAAGCTAGAAGTCCAGAAATCAAGGTGTCAGTAGAGCCATGCCTTCCTCTGAAGGCTTGAGGGGAGAATCCTTCCTTGTTTCTTCGGGCTTCTGGGGGTTGCTGGCAATCTTCAGCGTTCTTGGCTTGGCTCACTGAAATCTCTGTCTCCATCTTTCCCTCGTGTCCCTATCTCCCTGTTTCTTCTGCTCTTGTAAAGACAGCAGTCATATAGGATTTAGGGCCCACCTAACATCCAGTGTGACCTCATCTTAATATAACTATTTTTTTTTTTTCAGTCTTGCTCTGTCATCCAGGCTGGAGTGCACTGGCAGGATCTCAGCTCACTGCAACCTCCACCTCCCAGGTTCAAGCAATTCTCCTGCCTCAGTCTCCTGAGTAGCTGGGAATACAGGTGCCTGCCACCACACCTGGCTAATTTTTGTATTTTTAGTGGAGATGGGGTTTCACCATGTTGGCCAGGCTGGTCTTGAACTCTTGGCCTCAGGTGATTCACCCACCTCGGCCTCTCAAAATGCTGGGATTACAGGCATAAGCCACAGTGCCCAGCCAGTATAACTAATTATATCTTCAAGGACCCTATTTCCAAATCAGATCACATTCTGCATGGACGTGAATATTGGGAGGATATTGTTCGGCCCAGTACACGGTTTCCATATACAAATATGAAATAGGCTCCTATTTTCACCCTGCTTTTTCCTCCAAAGTTAGCATCCTACACACACACTCCTGAACCTAGTGTTTTTCACTTGACAGTGTCCTGTGGACATTTTACCTCAGTGGTATAGAGATAGCTTCCTGATTCTTTTTTTTTTTTTTTAATTTGAGACAGAATCTCGCTCTGTCACCCAGGCTGGAGTGCAATGGTACAATCTCAGCTCACTGCAACCTCCACCACCCGGTTCAAGCAATTCTCCTGCCTAAGCCTCCTGAGTAGCTGGGATTACAGGTGCCTGCCACCAAACCCGGCTACTTTTTTTTTTTTGAGATGAAGTCTTGCTCTTGTCCTCCAGGCTGGAGTGTGATGGCATGGTCTCACCTCACTGCAACCTCTGCTTCCTTGGTTCAAGCAATTCTCCTGCCTTGGCTCCCCGAGTAGCTGGTTTTACAGGCACCTGCCACCACGCCTGGCTAATTTTTGTATTTTTTTTTTTAGTTGAGACAGGGTTTTACCATGTTGGCCAGGCTGGTCTCGAACTCCTGACCTCATGTGATCCACCCACCTCAGCCTCCCAAAATGCTAGGATTACAGGTATGAGCCACCATGCCCAGCCTAATTTTTGTATGTTTAGTGCAGATGGGGTTTCGTCATGTTGTTCTCAAATTTTTGACCTCAAGTGATCTGCCTTCCTCAGCCTCCCAAAGTGCTGGATTACAGGTATAAGCCACCATGCCCAGCCAGCTCCCCGATTCTTTTTGACAGCTGCATAATGTTCTGTTATATGTGTGGGGCATACCTGTGAGCTATTGATGGACACTTGGGTTGGCTGTATTCTTTTGATATCACAAAAATTGCTGTAGTGACTGGCCTCCTGCATAATGGGTGGAACCTCATGAAACTGCTATTTTGGAAGGTCATAAATGGTAGAATATTGGCAGTTTCTTATGGTTCAGTCAGATTACATCATTTGACATGTGGGCAGGGCGTCGCCCACCAGTTTTTGTTTCATGATGGTGAGACAAAAACTTAGATGGTGAGGAGGAGGTTTGGTTGGAAGAGAGGATTTTTCACTTTTTTGTCTCTCTCTATAATCTCTCTCTCTATATATATGTGTGTATATATGTGTGTGTGTGTATATATATATACATATTTTGTTTTTCTTTTTTTTTTTTTTTTGAGACAGGCTCTCGCTCTGCTGCCCAGGCTGGAGTGCAGTGGCATGATCTTGGCTCACTGCAACCTCCGCCTCCCAGGTTCAAACGATTCTCCTGCCTCAGCCACCCAAGTAGCTGGGATTACAGATGTGCACCACCACGCCTGGCTAATTTTTGTATTTTTAGTAGAGAAGGGATTTCACCATGTGGGCCAGGCTGGTCTCGAACTACTGACCTCAGGTGATCTGCCCACCTCGGCCTCCCAAAGTGCTGGGATTACAGAGGTGAGCCACCACACCCGGCCTTTCTCTGGAATCTCTATGCTCATTCAGCCAGTGGTGTGCTGGGGAACATTTGACAATTGACTCTTGGAGGTGGGAAGGAAATGTGTGCCCACATATATGTAAATATATTAAATTTTGCTAATTTAAAGAATAAGTAGGCTGGGCATGGTGGCTCACACCTGTAACCCCAGCACTTTTGGAGGCCAAGGCAGGAGGATTGCTTGAGTCCAGGAGTTTCAGACCAGCCTGGGCAACATAGCAAAACTCCATCTCTACAAACCCCCCACCCCCAAAAAAACAAATTAGCCTGGTGTGGTGCACCTGCCTGTAGTCCCAGCTACTTGGGAGAGTGAGGCGGGAGGATAAAAACCATACACTACAGGAGTTTGAGGCTTCCGTGAGCTATGATGGAGCCACTGCACTCCAGCCTGGGCAAAAGATCAAGACCCTGTCTCAAAAAAAAAAACAAGAAAAAATAATATGTGGTATATGGTTTACAAATAACAATGAAAAGTAAATTTCATATCATCAACTCTCACACAATACTTGCACTGATTTTTGCAAACTCTTACACCCATAGCCAACCTATGGTTGCAATTGATGGAGAAGTGTAGTTCTGACATAAGTGAGATGAAAGTGAAATTAACAAAGACCTATGTTAGAACTGGAACTTCATTTGCCTCTGATGTGAGCGACCTCCTTCCTGAATCAGATGGTAGTTTTAAATACTGGAAGGATATTTCTTCAATTTGCTGTACTCGTCACAATAGAATAGCTACAGGCATGACCCGCTTGTTAGTTTCATCTGCAGTGTTCATGTTTTCCACGCCTTTCTTACAATAGAAAAAACAGTACATCAAACCCTGATTTGCAGCATTGTCTGCTTTCTACCAGGTAAGTTATATGTGACCCAGCAGTTTCACTCATAGCCATAAACCCAAAAGAATAAAAACACACTTTCACACAAAAACTTGTACACAAATCTTCATAGCAGCATTATTCATAATAGCCAAAAAATGGAAAACAACCCAAATGTCTGTCAGTGGATGAATGGATAAACGAAATGTGATACAGCCATACAATGGACTATTATTTGATCATAAAAAGGAATGAAATATTGATATGCGCTACAACACAGATGGACCGTGAAAGCACTGTGCTAAGTGAAAAGAGTCGCAAAGGACCACATATTGTATGACTATATTATTATGAAATGTCCAGATCCAGAATAGGCAATCCATAGAGACAGAAAGTAGACTAATGGAAGCCTAGTGCTGAGCAGGATGAGGAGAGTAGGGGTAGAGGGAGATTGACAGTTAAGCGGTATGAGATTTCTTTCTGGATTGGTGAAAGTATTCTGAAATTGACTGGTGATGGCCATACTGTTCTGTGAATATACTAAAAACTACGGATGTGTACTTTTTTTTTTTTTTTGAGACGGTGTCTCTGTCACCCAGGTTGCAGTGCAGTGGCTTGATCTCGGTTCACTGCAACCTCCGCTTCCTAGATTCAAGCAATTCTTGTGCCTCAGCCTCCTGAGTAGCTGAAATTACAGGTATGCATCACCACGCCTGGTTAATTTTTGTATTTTTAGTAGAGACGGGGTTTCACCATGTTGGCCAGGCTGGTCTCGAACTGCTGACCTCGAACTGCTGACCTCAGATGATCCACCCGCCTTGACCTCCCAGAGTGCTGGGATTACAGGCATGAGCCACCCAGCCCAGCTGTGATGTGTACTTATGATGTGTACTTCTGATGCAGGGCAGGCAGGCCCCACATTGGAGCTTAGCCCAGGAGGGTTTTTTGCTTCACCCAGAAAAGAATTCAAGGGTGAGCCAAATGTAGAAGAAAACAGCTTTATTGAAGTGTCAGTGTTATAGCTTAGGCAGTGGTACAGCTCCATGACTGCTTCTACGGAATAGGGCTGCCCCACAGGCAGTGTGCTGAGATTAGCAGCTTAGGGCAGTTCTGCAGTCAGATTTATACCTACTTTTAATTGCATGCATATTAAGAGGCGGTTTATGAAGACATGTCTAGGGAAAGGGTAGTAACTTCTAGGTTGTGGGGCCATAGCCATAGAAACAGGCAGTAACTCTCAAGTGTTGCCCTGACAATGGTAAACTGACATGTTGCACAGGTGGGCGTGTCTTATGAAAAGCTGTTTTCCCACCCCATCCCTGTTTTAGCTTGTCCTTGATTTGTTCCAGTGTCTGAGCCAAGCCTCTGGAGTCAAGTGCCCCCTCCTATCTCACTTCTATAGCCTCCCAACCCGGAGCTCTCAAAAAACAGGGTGAAGATTGAGTAGTGAGATCTTGGCAGCCCTCGAGTGTAAGCCTCATTCACTCTTCTTTCTCCCTCTTTGGTTTGTATCAACAGGAGACAGAAGAGAACAAAACCAAAGGATTTGATTACTTACTAAAGGCCGCTGAAGCTGGCGACAGGCAGTCCATGATCCTAGTGGCGCGAGCTTTTGACTCTGGCCAGAACCTCAGCCCGGACAGGTACTGCAGCTGTCACCCAGGAGGAGCTGGTAGGAACCTGGGCTGCAGGTGGGCGCTTGTCCTCGGTATCAGCACAGGCCTGGGTTCCAGTCTTGGCTGCCCCATGACCAGTCCAGCAACCATGGGCAACTTATTTTACCTCCCTGGCCTCAGTTTCTTCATATTGTAAACTGGGAGTAATTATAGCACCTGTATCCTGGGGTTGTCCCATGAAGGGTAAACGAGATGCTGACTGTAACCCTTGCGGTGCCTGGCACATAAAGCATGTGGTATGGCTGGGCGCGGTGGCTCATGCCTGTAATCCCAGTACTTTGGGAGGCCAAGGCGGGCAGATCACTTCAGGTCAGGGGTTCAAGACCAGGCTTGCCAACATGGTGAAACTCTGTCTCTACTAAAAATACAAAAATTAGGGCCGGGCATGGTGGCTCACGCATGTAATCTTAGCACTTTGGGAGGCCAAGGAGGGCAGATCATGAGGTCAGGAGTTCAAGACCAGCCTGACCAACATGGTGAAACCCCATCTCTACTAAAAATACAAAAAAAGAAAAGCTGGCCTGGTGGCACACACCTGTAATCCCAGCTACTCAGGAGGCTGAGGCAGGAGAATCGCTTGAACCCGGGAGGCGGAGATTGCCGTGAGCCAAGATCGAGTCACTGCACTCCAGCCTGGGGTACAGAGCAAGATTCCCTCTCAAAAAAAAAAAAAAAAAAGATAAAAGTCATGTGATACGAGGCAGCCATTCTAACCAGTATAGGTAATGATTTGCCTGAGAAAAAAATCTGAAAGACTATGCAGCATCCAGGTGAGAGTGGGTATCCCTAGATAGGATTATGGGTGATTTTAATTGACTTTTCCTACTTATTATTATATTTTAGAAACAGGGTCTCACTCTGTCACCCAGGCTGGAGGACAGTGGTGCCATCATAGCTCACTGCAGCCTCTACCTCCTGGGCTCAAGCAGTCCTCCCGCCTCAGCCTCCTGAGTAGGTGGGACTACAGGCATGTACCACCACACCCAGCTAAATTTTTAAATTTGTTGGAGAGATGGGGTCTCACTATGTTGTTCAGACTGGTCTCGAACTCCTGGGCTCAAGCAACCTTCCCTCCTCAGCCTCCCAATGGGATTACAGGTGTGAGCCACCACGCCTGACTAGGGCAGGTATTTTGGCTCTATTTTTTGGGTGACTAAACTAGTTCTGAGATGTAAAGGGGCTTGCCCATGGTCAAATATTTAGCAAGTGGCAGAGCCAACTTACATCTTCTCACCCCTCCTCTGATGTACTGTCTACTGGCATGGAGGAGAGGTAAACAAAAAAGACTGACATGATTGTATTAGGTCAAATGTCAGTGTATACATATGGTGCCCATTGAGTGCACTGGGGAAGCACATCATGCATGGGGCGGGGCCTGGAGCTGGGCACTGAGTATTTGCATCTGTGCTTTCTCTTCCTGGCCTTTGTCTACCTTTTATTTCCATTTGAGGTGATAAGTTTTTATTGACTTGTAAAAGTTCTTTATATATTAAAGCTATTAACCCTTTGGTATACTTTTCTCTTTATTTTTTATTTTTATTTTTTAATTATTATTATTTATTTATTTATTTATTTTTGAGATGGACTCTCACTCTGTCAAACAGGCTTGAATGCACTGGTGCAACCTCAGCTCACTGCAACCTCCACCTCCTGGGTTCAAGTGATTCTCCTGCCTCAGCCTCCCAAGTAGCTGGTATTACAGGTGCCTGCCACTGTACCCGGCTAATTTTTATATTTTAAATACAGACAAGATTTCACCATGTTGGCCAGGCTTGTCTCGAACTCCTAACCTCAGGCAGTCTACCTGCCTCTGCCTCCCAAAGTGCTGGAATTACAGACCTGAGCCACCACTCTCAGCCTTTTTATTTTATTTTTGAGACAGAGTCTTTCTCTGTATCCCAGGCTGGAGTGCAATGGCGCGATCTCGGCTCACTGCAATCTCCACCTCCCAGGTTCAAGTGATTCTCCTGCCTCAGCCTCCCCAGTAGCTGGAACTACAGATGTGCATCATGATACCCAGCTAAATTTTGTATTTTTAATAGAGACAGGGTTTCACCATGTTGGCCAGGCTTGACTTGAACTCCTGACCTCGGGTAATCCTGCCTGCCTCAGCCTCCCAAAGTGCTGGGATTACAGATGTGAGCCACCATGCCTGGCCTATTTTTTATCTATTTATTTATTTTTGAGACAGGGTCTCTCTGTCACCCAGGCTGGAGTGCAGTGGTGTGATCATAGCTAACTGCAGCTTTGACCTGGGCTCAAGTGATCCTCCTGCTTAAGCCTCCTGCGTAGCTGGGACCATAGGCATGTGCCACCCTACCTGGCTAATTTTTATAATTTTTTGTAGAGACAAGGGCTTGCTATGATGCCCAGGCTGGTCTCAAACTCCTGGCCTCAAGCAATCCTCCTACCTCAGCCTCCCAAAGTGCTGGTATTACAAGTGTGAGCCGCTGTACCTGGCCACATTTCATTTTAAAAGACATTTTTTTTTTCAGATATGTCTACCATAGATAGAGGGAGGGCACAGATGCCACATAATGACCATTGTTTACTGGGTTTGGGGACACACTGGTTTTTAATATTTATTTAGTTAAAATCTATCAAAAGTATTTCTTTATTGCTTCTGCTCTAGTCATTTCCTTATTCTTCTTCCTTATTCAAAGCAGTTCCAACCCCACCCATGCAAAGAACATTAATTAAGGGCCAGCTATGGGTAAGGCAGGGCTCTGTGCAGGCCCAAATTTGCGTTTAAGGGATTCAGGCCCCAGAAGTTACTATCCAATAGGCGAAGGAGAAGGTGCTAGAAACGCCAAGGAAGGATGGACGCCCTCGCCAATGGGATAGCATCGGGTTGGGGTGGACAGGGGTCAGCGATTAGGCCTTTCCCATATGTTTTCAGGCCAATTTTGCTTTGCCCTTTAAGACCAGGGAAGGTCAGAGCAGAAAGGAGATAAACAATCTAGTCTAGTGTCTCCTAGTCAGTGTTAAAACCGAGCCCAGCATGGTGGCTCATGCCTGTAATCCTAACACTTTGGGAGGCTGAGGCGGGTGGATCACGAGGTCAGGAGATTGAGACCAGACTGAACAACACTCTGAAACCCCATCTCTACTAAAAATACAAAATTAGCTGAGTGTGATGGCAGATGCTTGTAATCCCAGCTACTTCAGCTACTTGGGAGGTTGAGGGAGAAGAATCACTTAAACCCGGGAGGCAGAGGTTACAGTGAGCCAAGATCACATCATTCCACTCCAGCCTGGGCAACAAGCATGAAATGCCGTCTTAAAACAAAAACAAAAGTTTGTTGAGCATGTCACCAATAATTTTCAAATGGTCCATTTTTTAAATTTAACTTTTATTTATTTATTTATTTGAGACACAATCTTGCTCTGTCACCCAGGCTAGAGTGCGATGGTGTAATCATAGCTCACTGTAGTCTCAACCTCTCAGGCTCAGGCTATCCTCCCGCCTCAGCCTCTCGAGTAGCTGGGACCATAGCCATGCACCACCATACCCAACTAACTTGTATTTTTTGTAGAGCTGGGGTTTTGCCATGTTGCCCAGGCTGGCCTCAAACTCCTGGGCTCAAGAGATCCTCCAACCTAGGCCTCCCAAAGTGCTGGGATCACAGGCATGAGCCATATCTGGCCATTTTTTAATAAGATAAAATAAAGTCAAGATTATTTCCTGAGCACCATCCCAGCCAGCCACTTGCTTGCTTTTTTTCATTTACCAGACATTTATTGACACTATGCTGTTTGCCAGACCCTGGGAATGCAGTAGACAAATACAGCAAAATAGACAAGGGTCTCCTGCCTTCATGGGGCTTACCTTCTAGTCAAGGGACACCATGATAAACAAGTGAATAAGGAGAATTAAAGATTTTGGTAGTTGTAAGAAACAGTGTTTGGGGGCAGAATCTCTAAAGAGGTGATATGTGAGCTGAGATTGGAGGGATGATGAGTGTCTTAGCCTGTTCTGTGCTGGTAACAGAATATCTGAGGCTGAGGAATTTCTCATGAACAGAAATTTGCTGGCTCTTAGTTCTGGAGGCTGGGAAGTCTAATATCAGTATGCCAGCGTCTTGCATGGGCCTTCTTGCTGTGTCATCACCTGGCAGAAGAGAAGGAGAGGGAGAGCAGGTCAAGCACGGTGGCTTATGCCTGTAATCCCAGCACTTTGGGAGGCTGAGGCAGGAAAATCACTTGAGTCCAGGAGTTCAAGACCAGCTTGGGCAACCTGGTAAGAGTGTGTCTCTATAAAAAAATTTTAAAAATTAGCCAGGCGTGGTGACATGCCCCTGTCATCCCAGCTACTCAGGAGGTTAAAATGGGAGGATTGCTGGATCCCAGGACTTTGAGGCTGCAGTGAGCTATGATTGTGCCACTGCACTCCTGCCTGGGCAACAGAGTGAAACGCTATCTCAAGAAAAGAAAAAAGAGAGAGCAAAAGGGGGCTGAACTCGCCCTTTTATAACAAATCCACTTTCCTCATAATGGCAGAAATCCATTCATGAGGGCAGAACCATCAAAGCCCAATCACCTCTCAAAGATCCCAACTCCTAATACCTCACAATGGCAAGCAAATCTCAACATGGGTTTTGGAGGGGACACACGTTCCAACCAGAGCAAGGAGCCAGGTGCAGAAAGAGTTGGAGGAAGAATCTTCCAAGGTGAGGGAACAGCGGGTGCAAGGGCCACAGAGCAGGCAGGAGCAGGCATCGTTGGGGAATGGATGGCAGCCGGTGAGCCTGGTGCAAAGGTAGACAAACAGGAGACCGTCCTGGAGGGCAGCGCCTGTCAGACAGGGCCGCAGAGGGCACTGTGGCAGCAAGGCAGGGACAGCAAGTCATCAGACCTATTGCTTCTGGAATGTTTCACGAGACCCACAGGCCTTCTTACCTGTGTCGCTGTATTTGCTCTTTCCTGATATACTATAAATAGTTACTCACACGGATTACACCCAAAGAAAAAGAGCCCTCCGCCCTGTTTGCTGTGTATTCTGTGGTGCGTGGGTTTGGCTGGAAACTTTGTGTGCCCTGGCTGGTTTGGCCATACATGGGCTGCAGTAGGAGGAGTTGAGGGTCGACGGGCAGAGCTGGAAGTGGAGACTCAACTATTCTGGGGTGAGTTCTGCATTGTGCTGGAGGCAATTTTACATAACAAAATTCACAGCTGTCCCGCACAGCAGAGCATACGGTGATTGCCATTAGTGCAGATGGCTCTAGAGGCCTCTGCAGAGGACCCCGCCCCCAATCCACTTCTCTACAAGTCAGAGGGCAGCTTAGCTAGGACACTCAGGCATTGCTAATGCTAGCTCATGGCTGCCTCTGTGTAGACTGTAAAAATGGGCCCCTTCCTCAAGGGGGTGTCCTAGCTAAGCTGCCCTTTACTTTCATCTATGGGAAAATTGTTGTAATATACTGATTTTATTAAGGAAAGCAACTTGACTCCTCTTTTTTTTTTTTTTTTTTTAACACAGGGTTATACTCTATTGCCCAGGCTGGAGTGCAGTGGCATGATCATAGCTCACTGCAGCCTCTAACTCCTGGGCTCAAGCTATCCTCCCACCTCAGCCTCCGGAGTAGCTGGGACTACAGGTGTCCATCACCACACCCAGCTTTTTGTGTGTTTATTGTATTTTTTAATTTTTGTGGGTACATAGTAAGTGTGTATATGGGTTACATGAGCTATTTTGATATGGGCATGGAATGTGTAATAATCACATCAGGATAAATGGGATATCCATCATCTCAAGCATTTATTCATTGTGGTATAAACAATTTCTTTATACTCTTTTAGTTATTTTAAAATATACAATTACATTATTTTTGACTATAGTCACTGTTTTTTTGTTGTGTTTTTGTTTTTTTGTAGAGACACGGTCTCTCTACGTTGCCTGGGCTGGTCAACTGCTCTCTTAATAAATATTGGCCGAGCACAGTGGCTCATGCCTGTAATCTCAGCACTTTGGGAGGCCTAGGCATGTGGATCACTCGAGGTTAGGGGTTCGAGACCAGCCTGGCCAACGTGGTGAAATGCCGTCTTTACTAAAAATACAAAAAATTAGCTGGGTGTGGTGGCGTGCACCTGTAATCCTAGCTACTCAGGAGGCTGAGACAGGAGAATTGCTTGAACTTGAGAGGCGGAGGCTGCAGTGGGCCGAGATTGCACCACTGCACTCCAGCCTGGGCAACAGAGCAAGACTCTGTCTCAAAAATGAATGAATGAATGAGTGAATGAATATCACAGTATGAAGGTGCCTCATAGATGTATTGGCCTTGGACAAGATAGGTCGTGAACCATAGGTGGTGGCCCTGCTGGGATCCCTGACTTGCCCCTCCTGCTGGAAGGCCCTCCTCCTGCCACCCTGTTGCCATGGTAACCTCCACCTTTCCCTCTGTATCTCCTGGCAAGGTGCCAAGACTGGCTAGAGGCCCTGCACTGGTACAACACTGCCCTGGAGATGACGGACTGTGATGAGGGCGGTGAGTACGACGGAATGCAGGACGAGCCCCGGTACATGATGCTGGCCAGGGAGGCCGAGATGCTGTTCACAGGAGGCTACGGGCTGGAGAAGGACCCGCAGAGATCAGGTAGGGCCTGGCAGACCTGCCCCTGGGCTGCAACAGGGCTGGGCAGGGAGGAACCTAATTTCCATTCCACTGGGAGTTATTTATGACAAGATGACAGGCTGAATCTTCTTCCAGGGAGGGGAATTTATGGAGCTAGTATGAAGATGAACATTGTTATTTTAATGGTTATATATTACGGCTTTGTAGGGGGTTTTTGCAATTTTAAAAACTGAATTGAGATTTTCATAACAAAATTCACCATCTTAAAGTATATAGTTTAGTAGGGGGGTTTTCCTTTCCTTTCTTTCTTTTTTTTTTTTTTTTTTTGAGACGGAGTCTCGCTCTATAGCCCAGACTGGAGTGCAACGGCATAATCTTGGCTCACTGCAGCCTCCACCTCCCGAGTTCCAGCGATTCTCCTGCCTCAGCCTCCTGAGTAGCTGGGATTACAGGTGTGCCACCATGCACAGCTGATTTTTGTATTTTTAGTAGAGACAGGGTTTTGCCATGTTGGCCAGGCTGGTCTCGAACTCCTGACCTCAAGTGATCGGCCCACCTCGGCCTCCCAAAGTGCTGGATTACAGGCGTGAGCCACCACACCTGGCCCAGAGTTTCACTCTTGTAGCCCAGGCTGGAGTGGGCCATCTCTGCTCCCTGCAACCTTCACCTCCCAGGTTCAGGTGATTCTTGTGCCTCAGCCTCCTGCATAGCTGGGACTACAGGCACACACCCAGCTAATTTTTCTGTTTTTAGTAGAGATGGGGTTTCACCATGTTGGCCAGACTGGTCTTGAACTCCTGACCTCAGGTGATCTGCCCGCCTCAGCCTCCCAAAGTGCTGGGATTATACGTGTGAGCCACCATGCCTGGCCTCCTTTCCTTTTCTTTCTTTCTTTTTTCTTTGAAATAGAATCTCACTGTGTCACTCAGGCTGGAGTGCAGTGGCACAATCATAGCTCACTCCAGCCTGGAACTCCTATGCTCAAGCAATTCTCCTGCCTCAGCCTCCCAAGCAGCTGGGACTACAGGCACTTGCTTCCACACCCAGCCAATTTTTAAAAGTTCTTTGTAGTGACAGAGTCTTGCTATGTTGCCCAGGCTGGTCTTGAACTCCTAGCCTCAAGCAATCTGCTGCCTTGGCTTCCCAAAGTCTTTGGATTACAGATGTGAGCCACTGCACCTGGTCCTAGTGGGTTTTAGTATAGTCATAATGTTGTACAATCATCACTGCTATGTAATTCCAGAACATTTCCATCACCCCAAAAAGAAATCCCGTACCAGTTAGCAGTCCTCCCCGAACCTAGCAGCCACTATACTTTTTGTCCCTATAGATTTGCCTATTCTGGAGATTTTATATAACTGGGAGTATACAATTTGTGGCTTTTTGTATCTGCTTCTTTCATTTAGCATAACTTTTTCAAGATTCATCTGTGTTGAAGTGTGTTATCAGTACTTCATTCCTTCTTATTACTACATAATATTCCATTGTGTGGATATACAGCCTTTATCCATTCATCAGTTGATAGACAAGTTATATATATATTTTTTCTGTTACATAATGTATTAGTCTTCTTGGGCTGCCAAAACAAAATACTATAGAGTGGGTGGTTTAAACTAAAAAAATTGCTGGGCACAGTGGCTCATGCCTGTAATCCCAGCACTTTGGGAGGCCAAGATGGGAGGATCACTTGAGTCTAGGAGTTCAAGACCAGCCTGGGCAACATAGGTAAACCTCACCTCTACAAAAGAAATTGTTTTAATTAACTGAGTGTGGTGGCACACTCAGTGAGCTATGATCATACCACCGCACTTCAGCCTGGGCAACAGAGTGAGACCCTGTCTCAAAAAACAACAAAAAAAATTATTTCTCCCAGTTCTGGAGGCTGGGAATTCCAAGATCAAGGTGCTGGCCAGTTTGGTTTCTGGCTTGTAGAAAACAGCTTTCTCACTGTGTCCTCACATGACCTTTCTCCTGGATGCAAGTGGGGAGACAGCAAGAGAGCTCTGCTGTCTCTTTTGCTTCCTAAACGGGAATGAGCTCTGTGTGATTAGGGCCCTACCCTTATGACCTCATTTAAGCTTTATCACCTCCTCACAGGCTGCTAGAATATGAACGTCCCCTCCAAGTCTCATGTTGAACTGTAATCACCACTGTGAAGGTGTCAAGAGGTGGGACTGTTAAGAGGTGATTAATGTTGTTATCATGCAGATTGGTCAGTCATCACAAAAGTAGCTTTGTTATAAAAGCAAATTTGGCCCCCTCTTGCTCGCTTGCTTTCTACGTCTCTTGCTCTTTGCCTTCTGGCATGGGATGATACAGCACCAAGGCCTGTGCCAGATGCTGGTGCTATGCTCTTGGACTTGCCGGGCTCTAGAACTGTGAGCCAAATAAATTTCTTTTCATTATAAATTATCTAGTCTGTGGAATTCTGTCATAGCAACATAAAATGGACTAAGACACAGACTGTGTGTCTCCAAATACAGTGCAGTTACATCATGAATGAAGAGTTCAACATATGAATTTGTGGATGGGGAGCCCAGTGGGGACACAGCATTCAGTCCCTAACATATAATAAACATACTAAGTTCCTAATTTCACAGGTATAGGATGAGGCTAAGTTTTAAAAGTTTTTAAGTTATATTTTAAAAATTAACAAAGAATAATGCAAATCTAGGCTGGGCAGTGGCTCGCGCCTGTAATCCCAGCACTTTGGGAGGCCAAGGCAGGCAGATCACCTGCGGTCAGGAGATCGAGACCAGGCTGGGCAACATGATGAAACCCCATCCCTACTAAAAATACAAAAATTAGCTGGGCGTGGTGGCAGGTGCCTGTAATCCCAGCTACTCAGGAGGCTGAGGCAGGAGAATCGCTTGAACCCCAGAGGCAGTGGTGACAGTGAGCTAAGATTCCGCCACTGGACTCCAGCCTGGGTGACAGAGTGAGACTCCATCTCAAAAAAAAAAAAAAAAAAAAAGAAGAAGAATGATGCAAATCTATAATCTTTTATTTGAAAATTTTAAATCCAAAAAGCTCCAAAAACCTGAAGTATATTTGTATGTTTTACACAAATTCACTTGGTAAAACCTGACCTAGCTGACATGAAGCTGTTTGTAAGTCGTTATTTCTTCCACTTTTGCACATCCCCACTTAGTTCTGCAAAAGTTCTCACCCTGATTCTCATTGGCTCAAATTAGTTCTCAGCCTGATTCTCATTGGCTCAAACTCAATCATCTACATACCCCAAACCAACAGTAGTTGTTTAGATGGCTTACTCTGATTGGCCATGACTAAATCTGGACCAATCGCTGTAGCTTGGTGGGGGATAGGAGGAGTGCTATTATTGGCTAGATTTTATCACAGGCCCACCTTTAGAGCCCCGCCCGGAACACCTGGAGGGAGAGGGCACACGGAGTAGTTTGAGTTCTTAAGGAAACGTCAGGGTGTTCTTCTGGGAGGGGTGATGGGGGACACTGGGCTGGCAAAAACAACAGGTGGTTCACCTCTTTTTGCCCCCCTTTGCTGTCTTTCAGGGGACTTGTATACCCAGGCAGCAGAGGCAGCGATGGAAGCCATGAAGGGCCGACTGGCCAACCAGTACTACCAAAAGGCTGAAGAGGCCTGGGCCCAGATGGAGGAGTAACCAGGAAAATCACTGCCGGCTAGTCCCAAGCAAACGGGCTAGGAGGAAAGATTAAAAAAACAACAACAACAACTTATTTAGTTTGGGGAGGGGAAGCATTTTTAAGTGTGTTGTAAAATCAAATTTTATATTTCATTTTTTGACTCTTGAAAAATGTCTTTGCTCCTTGGCAGCTACCAGCAGAGACTCTATAGCTGTCTCTTAGGGCAGTATTTTGGGGAAGTGGGGCTTGAAGAAGCAGCCTAATGAACCAACATACCGTTTTGTGTGTGGTTTTTTTTGTTTGTTTGTTTGTTTGTTTTGAGACAGAGTCTTGCTCTGTCACCCAGGCTGGAGTGCAGTGACATGATCTTAGCTCACTGCAACCTCCGCCTCCTGGGTTCAAGTGATTCTCCTGCCTCAGCCTCCCAAGTAGCTGGGATTACTGGTGCACACCACCACACTCAGCTAATTTTTGCATTTTTAGTAGAGATGGGGTTTCACCATGTTGGCCAGGCTGGTCTCGAACTCCTAACCTCAGGTGATCCACCTGCCTCAGCCTCCCAAAGTGCTGGGATTACAGGTGTGAGCCACCATGCCTGCCCATTTTGTGGTTCTATTTTCATTTTTATTTCTTTTTTTTTTTTTGTCACGAGATATAAGAAAGTGCTTTTTGCCTTGAATGGACAATTTTAGGGCTGTGCTCACTAGTCTTTTCAGGCTGGACTGAAATGTCGGGCCCATGGAGCCCTGTGTTTTGTGCATCGGGATGAGAAATGAAGCACTTCACGCTGGCTTTCCTAAGTCACGGGGCGTGTATTGCCGTGGCTTAGTGCAAAGCATTCTTTCTCAGAGCATTTAGAGGCATGCGTGGCATTTTTTCAGTGGGTGTGAGATTGCACAATACCCAGGCTCCCTTCTACTGTGGGGAAGGGCCTGCATGTTGGCTGTTTTTTAAACTTCTAGTTCAATTTCCTTCCATAATGCTACTGATTTTCTGGCATACAGCCGAATTCCATCTTTTAAGCATGCTTTCTACGGTGGGCTTTTCAAAACAGGTTTGAGTTTTGTATGCACACGTTTACTACCTCTAACTCCTACATCAGCTAGTGTGGAAGAGGGTGCACCTCAAAGCTTTTACACGTAAGGACAGCGGCTTGGAATGTGAGAGCCTTTTCTCCAAGCAGACCCACACTCTGCATCTCAGTGGCAGCTCCCACAACGTGACTGCAATGTCTCTTATACAGTATTCCTTGGTGTTTTCTTAGTGTCTGGATGTTCTTACGTGAAATCTGCTCCCCAGCCCTGGTCCTTGGCATTTTCTGCTTGAAGCTGGGCTGATTTTCTTGTAATTTACAGCAGGACGCTTTCAGCAGCAGTCTCTTGGGATTTTATCTAAGATGTTTGAGGATGAGAGGGCAAGAACTATAAACACTCATTAATTCTAGTAGTCTCCCCATGGCCAGACAATGGCGATTGTTATTTAATGAGCTTTTCCTTTCAATGGAATTCAGCTCTCACATTAGTATGATTTCATTTGATGTTTCAAATAGCAAAGATGCTAGGTGCGGTGGCTCCCGCCTGTAATCTCAGCACTTTGAGGAGGGCCAAGGTGGGAGGATTGCTTGAGCTCAGGACTTCAAGACCAGCCTGGGTAAACATGGCGAGACCCTGTCTCTACCAAAACAACAAAAAAAAGACAGACTGCTTTGATCAACCCTAAATGCAAAAGCAGCCTATTTTTCTTTGTTTAAAAGTCAAAACATAAAAAAGCAGAGTATAACATACAAACCATTCTTAACTATTCATTAAAATGGGTCCTTCAACACCTTAGTGGGGTTTGTTGTTGTTGCTTATGCAGAGAGATTATTTTCTTTTTATTATTTTATAATTTTTGAAATAGAGATGGGGTCTCACTGTGTTGCCCAGGCTGGTCTCGAACTCCTGGACTTAAGTGAGCCTCCCGCCTCAGTCTCCCAAAGCGCTGGGATTACAGGCAGGAGCCACTGAGCCCAGCCAAGACTTCAGTGTTGACTGCTTTGGAGGCACAAACCCATGCAAGCGTTAGTTCCAAAGTTCAGTGTGTACCCTTAAATGAACAATGAAGCAGGTAAAATTACCCTTGAAAAAAATCCCTTGGACCACCCATAAATGACAGTGACTTTTTCAATATGGACTCATCATAGCCAGTTTTCCTTTTGAAGTTGGAACTGATCACCCTTTTGTCATCTGTACCAGATCAGTAGTTGGCTTGTGTTACATTTTGTGTGTGTGTGTGCGTGTTTTAAACCAGTGCATATAAATTGTATGTTAAATGTAAGTAACTTTAAGTTGACTTATCTCTTCACAGTAATCAAGCCTCACGTAATTCATGCTTTTTAAATTCAGCCAGCCCCCCCTCTCTGAAATTTTATTATGTAAATAATTTGTGTTCCCTGATCACTCGTTTAAGTTCTTAGTTGTATGTCATCTCTTCTCTAGCAGGAATTGGCAAACTTTTTTGTAAAGGGGTAGAAAGTGAAGATTTTAGGCTTTGCAGGCCATATAGCCTCTGCTGCAAATGCTCAGCCCTGCTGTTGTAATGTAAAAGCTGCCACAGACACTACATGAACACGAATGAGTGTGGCTGGTGTTCCAATAAAACTTTATTTACACAAACGGGTGGCCCTTTTGGGCTGTAGTTTGTCAACCCTTGCTCTAACCCTTGACTGAGAGCTACTTTATTAAGCCCTGAGGGCAGGAGCTATCCCAATTTTGTGTTCCCCAGGGCACCAAAACACAGTGCTTTGGCATAGAGTAGGCACTCAACAAGTGTGTGAACAGATGGAGAGCCAGCCCTAGTCAGTGCACTCACCCTTTGAGGCTCTGGTTCCTCCAAACAATGATTCGTTGTCTGGATTGGCTGGAACTGTCACCCCCGCAATTCTACTCCCCACCCACCCATGTGACCTTAATGTCAGTTGCTGGTCTGTTGCTCTTCGGGGAGGGAGAGATGGCCTGGATACAGAGCTAAGCAAATGCTTCTTTAAGGGCCCTTAAAAGTGAAAAGTAACTTGCAAGAGGTTGAGATCCTTCTGAGCTAGGAGAACTTATTCCACCTTCAAAACCTAGTTTGGGCTGGGTGCAGTGGCTCACGCCACTTTGGGAGGCTGAGGTGGGCGGATCACCTGAAGTCAGCTACTCGGGAGGCTGAGGCAGGAGAATCGCTTGAACCCAGGAGGCAGAGGTTGCAGTGAGCCGAGATTGCGTCACTGCACTCCAGCCTGGGCGACAGAGTGAGACTCCGTCTCGAAACCAAAAACAAGAAAAACCCCTAGTTTTGTGCCTTCTGAAGATAGTTAGGACATCTTCTTTTTCCGCAAATGCTGGACATGCCAAAAACCTAACGCAAAACCCAGGACATTCCAGCCCAACTGGGACGATATCAGAGACCATCTTCAAGTGCAAGAAGCAGGTGAAAGCCCAGGAAATTGGCAGAGCCAGGATTATCATCCAGTACTTTCATTTCACAAATGGAGAAACCGAGGTTCTGCCAGCTAGATTTTTTTTCACAGTGTCACTGCTAGCAAGCCACTAAGCTGGAGCTGGGATTTGAGAGCTGCTGCTATTTAGAGGATCTTGGGAATAAAATTTAAACTGGAGTTTAATGGCCCTTTCAGTTTTGCTATAGGCAAGAGAATAAAATGAATGAATGGATAGGTGGCTTTATGGGTGTAAGAAAGAAGCGAAAAAAACTCCCAAACCCCAGTGTTCCTGAATATCTGTTCTCCCCCTGACCACTCTGGGAATTTATCAAATGCAGCTTTGACCTCCAAGCCAAGTAAACTGCTCTTGTTGCTATTTTAGTGGTTTTTGTTTTTTTAAGACACAAGGTCTCACTTTGTTACTCAGGCTGGAGTGCAGTGGCATGATCATAACTCATTGTAGGCTCAACCTCCTGGGCCCCAGTGATCCTCCTGCCTCAGCCTCTCAAGTAGCTAAAACTACAGATGTGCACCATCACATCTGGCTAATTTTTTTTTTTTTTTTTTGAGGTGGAGTCTCGCTCTGTTGCCCAGATTCAAGTGCAATGGCACGTTTTGGCTCACTGCAACCTCTGCCTCCCAGGTTCAAGCGATTCTCCCTGTCTCGGCCTCCCGAGTAGCTGGGACTACAGGCACCTGCCACCACGCGCAGCTAATGTTTGTATTTTTAGTAGAGACGGGGGTTTCACCATGTTGGCCAGGCTGGTTTCAAACTCCTGACATTAGGTGATCCACCTGCCTCGGCCTCCCAAAGTGCTGGGATTACAGGCATGAGCCACCGTGCCAAGCCACGCCTGGCTAATTTTTTAAAATTATTTTTTGCAGAGACAGAGTTTCACTATGTTGCCCAGGCTGGTCTTGAACTCCTTGGCCTCAAGTGATCCTCCCACCTCAGCCTCCCAAAGCATTGGGGTTACAGGCGTGAGCCACTGCACCTGGCCCTGTTTTCATGGCTTTTATTTCCTTTCATCCCACACATTTGTCTGCAGTACTAGACATGTTTTACAAATCAACAAGTTTACACAAGTATATGCAGCTTGTTTTGGGGGGAAAGGAGACAAAATATGCATATTTTCTGTGTGGATTTGTGCCTCTTAATTGTGTTTCTAGTCTCTAAGGTGACCCTTTAACCTACTCAAGATGGGGCCCAGAGAAGTGGCCTGCGTTACAGATTTATTTTGGCATATGTACTAAGTTCCATTTTCTCTTTACAAATAAAGTGTTTTCTTTCTTTTCTGTCTCAGACTCAAATGTCTCCTGGTTTGGAAAAAAAAAAAAAATGGCCAGGCGTGGTGCCTCACGCCTGTAATCCCAGCACTTTGGGAGGCCGAGGCGGGCGGGATCACCTGAGGTCAAGAGTTCCAGACCAGCCTGGCCAACATGATGAAACCCTGTCTGTACTAAAAATACAAAAATTGGCCGGGCATGGTGGCGCACACCTGTAGTCCCATCTGCTCAGGAGGCTGAGACAGGAGAATTGCTTAAAGCCGGAAGATGGAGGTTGCAGTGAGCCCAGATCCTGTCATTGCACCCCAGCCTGGGCAACAAGAGCGAAACTCCATCTCAAAAAAAAAAGGTGGGGGATCGGGTGCGGTGGCTCACGCCTGTAATCCCAGCACTTTGGGAGGCTGAGGCAGGCGGATCACAAGGTCAGTAGATCGAGACCATCCTGACTGACATGGTGAAACCCCGTCTCTACTAAAAATACATTAAAAAAAAAAAAAAAAAAAAGCTGGGCGTGGTGGCAGGCGCCTGTAGTCCCAGCTACTCGAGAGGCTGAGGCAGGAGAAAGGCGTGAACCCGGGAGGTGGAGCTTGCAGTGAGCTGAGATCACGCCGCTGCACTCCAGCCTCGGCGACAGAGCAAGACTGTCTCAAATAAATAAATAAATAAATAAATAAATAAATAAATAAATAAAGCTGCTGCAGGCAGGGGTCAACGAGAAGGCTCATACCCCATCTGAAAGGGGCAGCCATGATTCAACTTCAAATGATTGCCACCATGGGAAGCGCGGGCTCAATGTTACCCTATTTTCCAATTTTTCAAGAGCTGCTGAAAACTTTTTTTTTTTTAATGCAAGGCCTTCTGTTCTTTAACATTTGTAATAAATTCTAATAACTTTTCAAAGCCTTCCAGATTTGGCTCGTCTGCTGTCAGTTTGCTTTAGAGAAAGTATTAGAACCTCTCGTTTCTTCATTTGCTCATCTATAAAACATAGAGTTTTTCTGTTTGTTTTTCAGACAGTCTCACTCTGTTGCCCAGGCTAGAGTGCAGTGGCAAGATCTTGGCTCACTGCAGCCTCTGCCTCCGAGGTTCAAGTTATCCTCCCACCTCAGCCTCCTCACGAGTAGCTGGGACTACAGGTGAGCACCACCGCGCCCGGCTAATTTTGAAGGGGGGCAGGTTGTGTTTCATCTTGTTTTTTCCTTTCTTCCAGTGGAGACAGGGTTTTGCCATCATGCCCAGGCTGGTCTCGAACTCCTGGGCTCAAGCAATGCACCGGCCTTGGCCTCCCAAACTGCTGGAATTGCAGGCGTGAGCCACCGTGCCCGGCCTGAAGAATAATTTTTACCATTACAGAGTTGTAAGCTTCAGAGAAGATAATACATGGTAAAGTGTTTTTTTTTATTTTTATTTATTTATTTTAAGATGGGGTCTCATTCTGTCACCCGGGCTGGAGTGCAGTGGTGCGATCTCAACTCACTGCAACCTCCGCCTCCCGGGTTCAAGCGATTCTCCCGCCTCGACCTCCCTAGTAGCTGGCATGGCAGTACAGGCGCACACCACCATGCCTGGCTAATTTCTGTATTTTTAGTAGAGGCAGGGTTTCACCATGTTGGCCAGGCTGGTATCAAACTCCTGGCTTCAGGTGATCTACTCACCTTGGCCTCCCAAAGTGCTGGGATTACAGGTGTGAGCCACCACGCCCAGCCTAAAGTGCTTTTTTAATTCCAAGCTTAAGAAAATCTTGGTTACCAGTTGATCTTTTGGTTTTAAGCTAATTTTTTTTAATTTTAAGAAATTTGAACATTAGTATAACTATGCATGGTAGGTTGAACATACATATTTAGGTCCACTTGTTCCTAAATCCCCACTGCAATGACAGGAAGTGGATTCTTTTGTTTGTTTTTTTGTTTGTTTGTTTGTTTTTAAATAGCATAAGCCGGTGAGGATGAAGAGAAAGAGGATTGAACAGCAAGTTTTGGGTGCTGGAAAGTAGGTAGACTGTAATTGAATTAACAGACCCAAGAAGTCTGGATCCTAGATCAGCAGTAGAGAAATCTGAGAAAAACCCAATTTTCATTGCTGAACAAGTCCTGCAAGGCTGAGAAATTGGCACGAGGAGGCCTGGCACCGTGGCTCACACCTGTAATCCCAGCACTTTGGGAGGCTGTGGTGGGCAGATCACTTGAGGTCAGGAGTTAGAGCCCAGCCTGGCCAACATGGTGAAACACCATCTCTACTAAAAATATAAAAATTAGCCAGGCTGAGGCGGGAGAATCACTTGAGCCCAGGAGGCAGAGGTTGCAGTCAGCCGAGATCACACCACTGTACTCCAGCCTGGGTGACAGAATGAGACTCCATTTCAAAAAAAAAAAAAAAGATTAGAGAGAAGTTAATAAAGAAAACTTTTCTGTTGGTTTTGTTACAGCATACGTCAAAATTTTATTACAGTCTTGACCGGGCGTGGTGGCTCACACCTGTAACCCTGGCACTTTGGGAGGCCAAGATGGGAGGATTGCTTGAGGCCAGGAGTTCAAGACCATCCTGGTCAACACAGTGAAAGCCCATATCTTAAAAAAAAAAAATCACAGTCTTGCTGCAAGTGTAAACCCACTGGGAATTCAAAGATTTATACTTGGTAGGGACATTTTCTAAAAATTTATTTTTTATTACAGTCTGCCTATGTAGATTAAACTGCACGCTCTTAAGTATACAGGTTGATGAATTTTTACATTTGTACACATCTGTGTCTTAACAACCCAATTCAAGATATTAGAACATTTGCAGGCCTACAGAAGCCCCCCTGGACCCCTTCCCAGGCAATACACCCTCTCTCCACCCCGAAAAATGTTGGCCACTCTTCTGACCTCTATCTTGATAGAGACATTTTCTAGGAGAAGAAAATGATTAGATAATCACTGTTAGACAAAATAGAAAAGAAAAGAATGTTCCGTTAAAGGTCACTGCACTCTTGACTGACAAATGACCATCAACTGAGTGAGTAGAAAGCTAGTTTCCCAGTGTAAATCTCAATGCTCTTAAATTTCAAAAGAAAAATGCTCAATGCTCGAGCATTTATCAGAAATGCTAGTTTCTTTCCAGAAGGAGGTTCTTACAGAAAGATATGGTCTCAGGCCAGGTTTGAGAGCATTTTCCTTTTATGGGAGCAAGGGAGGAAAGAATGGAGGGGATCCAGGACTGAGACCCCACACCCATTTCCACTATCCACAGCCTAGTGTTTATGATATAGGGACAGGCACACAAAGAATAGTCGGAGTTTCAGCCCATCCCTCCCTTGTCAGGCATCCCGCTGCTGAGACCTTGTAGGTCCAGGGGTTCTGATGCAACATTCTGCATCTCTTGCTCATTGATTTCATGTCTGATTGTCATGAGAAAACTGTGTAAGGGGCTGCTGGACTGTAAGAAACTCTCAAAAGGGTGCTGTGCCTTCCAGGATCAGCTGTTTCCCTGCAGGCTTCCTCTTAATTAAGCATCCTGCTCAGTATGTGTTTGTAGAAAGAGACAAGTTGCTCCAGAATGTTCTAGCAGAAATATCTCAGCCTTAGGAGTTCAAGACCGGTCCTGGCAACATAGCGAGACCCCTGTCTCTGTGAAAAAAAAAAAAATTTTAAGTAGCCAGGCATGGTGTCATGCTCCTGCAGTCCCAGCAACTAAGGAGACTAAGATGGGAGGATCATTTTAGCACAGAAGGTCAAGGCTGCAGTGAGCAATGATTGTGCCACTGCACTCCAGCCTGGGAAACAGAGCAAGAACTTGTCTCAAAAAAAAAAAAAAAAATTCTACACACACACACACACACACACACACACAAAGACACACACACAGCTTCATTTGAGCCTTTGCCTTGCAAGGGGGAGGGGGTTATTGTTTACAGTTGACAACTACCAAGTAGCACTGGGCTTTAGCAGAGAAAGGGAATTTATTACAGTGATAAAGGGATGCCTCCAAGAGTGGACAACCCACTGGGCCTTGGAAAGGGTCTGGAGCTGGAAGCCAGAAAACCATCAGGATTTCCCTGACTCTGCTCTTCTCACTCTCTCATTCCCTCTTTTTCTATACACTGGCTTTTGTCTACCTCTCCAACTCACCTCACAGAATATAGCCATGCGAAATCCCCCTTTCTTCCTAGTTTTAGCCAGCCTCAGAGACTAATTCCAACGCAACACGGTCAAATTAACAAATCGGGCCGGGTGCGGGGGCTCACGCCTGTAATCCTAACACTTTGGGAAGCTGAGGTGGGCAGATCACTTGAGGTCAGGAGTTCGAAACCAGCCTAGCCAACATGGTGAAGCCCCATCTCTAATAAAAACACAAAAAAATTAGCCCGGCATGGTGGCGTGCATCTGTAATCCCAACTACCTGGGAGGCTGAGGCAGGATAATTGTTTGAACTTGGGAGGCAGAGGTTGCAGTGAGCCGAGATCACGCCAGTGCACTCCAGCCTAGGCAATGGATCGAGACTCTGTCTCAAAACAAACAAACAAACAAAAAAAAAACAAAATCAGTAACTCACGGAGTCTCAGTTCACATTCTCAAGAGAGAATTTGATTGGTCCAACCTGAATCCTACGTCCACTGAAGAACGGTAGAACCCACTAGCCATGGCTGTGGGGGTGGGGCGTGCAGCACAAAGGTGGCTGCCAGGGACCCACTCTCTGGCTGGTCAGGCAGTTCCTAGAAAAATCAGACTGGGCAAAGATGCCAGCAATTATCCTTGACTGTGAGGATATTTCCTTTTGGAAAATCCAGTACCCAACTCACAAACAAAGTCCTTCCTGGTACTAAAATACCATGACAAACACTCCTATTGACTTAAAGGGGTTATTCCTCATTCAGCTTTGAACTCCCCACAATGCCTACCCTTTGTCTTCAATCCATGGCTGCTTCTGTATTTTTTTTTAATGTCTTGAAGAGCAACAAACTTTTCTAGCACAAGAAAATCTTTGCATATCATTACATATGTTAAAGGTAGATGGATGGCCAGGTGTGGTGGCTCACTCCTGTAATTCTAGCACTTTGGGAGGCTGAGGTGGGAGGATAGCTTGAGATCAGCCTAAGCAGCAAAGCAAGACCCCGTCTCTACAAAAATACAAAAGTTAGCCCAGTGTGGTGGCGCGTGGCTCTAGTCCCAGCTACTTGGGAGGCTGAGATGGGAGGATCATTTGAGCCCAGGATGTCAAGGCTGCAGTGAGCTGTGATCATACCACTGTACTCCAGCCTGGGCAACAAAGCAAGACCCCGTCTCTCTAAAAAAAAAAAAAAAAAAGGTGGTGGATGGAGGGGGAGAAAAGCCAGGCTAAGGAGGGATTGAAGAGGAAAGACATAAAATGCCCAAATGTTAGGGGTGTGTACCAACTGGATATTAGCCAGAAACTTGAATCATGGCCCTGAAAAGTCTAATACCAGTCAATGCAAAATGAGAATTCTACTTATAAAAGTGTGATTTATATAGTTTTTGATGTGTCTAAAGCATCACCAGCGTTCGTAGAGTTCCTGCCTAATTCCCCCATTCAGTCACCTTAAGCATTGACTCCACTCCCTGTGTTGAACAGAACTAATGGAGAAAGTAATCCACGTAAATGACAGAGGGAAAGAGAAACGATAGAGAATGATAGAGGACAAAACCTTAGATATGAGGGATATTTGAGATTTCTTACGCCAATAAATGTGAAAAATCAAGTAATGGGGCTTTGTTTTCCCAGAAAACGACAACTTGCCAAAGTTGACTCAGGAAGAAATAGAAAAAAAAAAAAAGTCATCAAAAGTCATATAATTTGGCAAAATGGAAAAATATATGCATATCTATATCTATATAGAGAGGGTCTCACTCTCTCACCCAGGCTGGAGTGCAGCACCTGAATCTCGGCTCACTGCAGACTTGACCTCCCTGGCTCAAAGGATCTTCCCACCTCGGCCTCCCAAGTAGCTGAGACTACAGGCACATGCCACCATGCCCGGCTAATTTCTTTTCTTTTGTTTTTTGGTAGAGACAAGGTTTCTCGATGTTGCTTAGGCTGGTCTTGAACTCCTGGCGTCAAGCAATCCTGCCACCTCAGTCTCCCAAAGTGCTAGGATTATAGGAGTGAGCCACTGAGACCAGCCTATTATTAATATTATTATTATATAATACTAGGGAAAGTATAAATATAGACCAGCAATTTCATTTCTAGTGTATACCCTAGAGAAATGTCCATACGTAAGACAAGGAGCCATGTGCAAGGATACTTCCTGCCATATTGTGTGTAATGACAAAAATTTAGTAACAACTTAAAAGTTGTACATGGCATGGAATGAATGAATTAGATCTATAGGCATCATAACAGACCTCAAAAACATAATGTTGGGCCTGGCACAGTCTCTCATGCCTGTAATCTTGGCTACTTGGGAAGCTGAGGTGGGAGGATGGCTTGAGCCCGGGAGGTCTAGGCTACAGTAAGCTATGATTGCACCACTGTACTCTAGCCTGGGTGACAGAGCAACACTCTCTTAAAATAATAATAATAATAATACTGTTGAAATGAGAAAAGCAAGTTTTAGGATATCAGTACAATGTGCTAACATTTATATAAGTGAAAAACATACAGATAACCATTTTAGATATTATTCATAAATTTTATAGTAAAAATGTAAGAAATTATTGGAAAGATACACATCAAATTCATGACAGTTATAGACAGGGGAGAATGGGAGGGGGACTTATTTCTATTTGCAATGGTCTAATAATTTCTATTTGTAATAGTGTGATCTATTTTTTATTTATTTATTTATTTATTTATTTATTTATTTATTTATTTATTTATTTATTTATTTGAGACCGAGTTTCTCACTGTCGCCCAGGCTAGAGTGCAGTGGTGGGATCTCGGCTCGCTGCAACCTCCGCCTCCCGGGTTCAAGCAACTCTCCCGCCTCAGCCTCCCGAGTAGCTGGGATTACAGGCATGTGCCACCACGCCAGGTTAATTTTTGTATTTTTAGTAGAGACGCTTGAACCCAGGAGGCAGAGATTGCAGTGAGCGGAGATCGCACCACTGCACTCCAGCCTAGACAGCAAGAGCGAGACTCCACATCAAAAAAAAAAAAAAAAAAAAAAAAAAAAAAGAAAAGAAAAAAGAAAAGGAAAAAAATGCCACAATACTAAGTCATTAATTTAATGCCAGGTGGTGGCACTATGGATGATAATTTTTTTCTTTGTAATTTTTGTGCATTTTTGTTTTTAATATCTTTGCATATCCACACGGATAGGTATTTTAAAATACAGTCTGGTGAAAAATAACAGCCAATTGCAGATCTATATGAATAATGTGACAATATTTGTGTTCAAATCCATACACAATAAAAACAAAGCTATCTTCTATGGCTATATCTATATATATCCATATAGATATAAACATATAAATTCACAGCAAAAGATCTAGAAAGATATATAGTGTTTTAGTCCATTTTCTGTTGCTTATAACAGAATACCTGAAACTGGGTAATTTGTAAAGAAAAGGAAGTTATTTCTTACAGTTATGGAGTCTGAGAAGTCCAAGGTCAAGAGTGTGCATCTGGTGAGGGCCTTCTTGCTGGTGGGGGACACCTGCAGAGTTCCCAGGCAGTACAAGCCATCATATGGAGGGGGTGCTGAGCTGCTCCCTTGCTAGCTAAGGTCTCTCTCCCTCTTCTTATAAAGCCATCAGTCCCCCTCCCAAGATAACCCATTAATCCATTAACCCATTAATCCATGAATCCATGAAGAGATTAATCCATTCATAAGGGCTCCACCCTCATGATCTAATCACCTCTTAAAGGGCCCACCACACAATACTGCCACATTGGGGATTAAATTTCCAACACATGAAATTTGGGGGACACATTCAAACCATAGTTCATATTAAACAGATAATAATGGTTAGTTACCTCGGCGGAGGGGCCTAGGATGCGAGTCAAGGTCAAAGAGCATTTGTACCTTATCTGCAAAGTTTAAATATTTTGCAATAATTCGCGTGTTATTTGTGTAAGTAAAAATTTAAACATAATTTTTCAGAGACAACTGCCCAGACCAGCTCCAGGGTTTGGCCGTCAGATCCCCTGGTGCATGTTTCTGATCAGATCAATTTCTTCTCCCGGAGACACCCAATCCGGGTCGTATGGATTACCTGTGGGTTAACCAGGGGTCTCCGGGTTAACCATCCAACTCAGAGTAAAGTTTCTAAAAATGCGTTTTGCTCTAATACCTATTCGGAACCAACCTGGGTCTAAAGACTGGAGCAAGTGTTTATTTTCCAAAACACGGCTTTTTAAAATAATTCTATAGGGATCACCTTGAACACACGTTAAGCAAAAAAAAAACCTCAGCGAAAACGCCTCGCAATGTCCAGATTAAATGCAAAAGCAAAAGCATTAAGTAGCTTTCTGGCATAAACATATTGCAGCTGGGTAGCGTGGCCGAGCGGTCTAAGGCGCTGGATTAAGGCTCCAGTCTCTTCGGGGGCGTGGGTTCGAATCCCACCGCTGCCAGGGTTGCTGTCTTTTTGTCCCCGCTGCATACACTCCTGGCTCAGTTTTGCGCGTGCCATCAGCGCCCCCTGCTGCAGGGCGGGGCTCACGGCCTGCATGAATGGCGCGGCGGAGGGGGCGGAGCCGCGTGCACCGGGGCGGGGCATTGTGGGTAAGAGGAAACGCTGGGGCCGGCCCGCTCCCCCCCACGTGTCCGCCGGAGTTTCTCCACCAGCAACATGGCCGCCGCCTGAGAGGAGAGCCGGGCCGCCGCCGTCTCTGCAGCCCGCGGGTAACTGGGCCGTTGCCGCCGTCCGCGCTCGGCCCCCGCGGAGAGGTGAGTCCCGTCTTGGCAGTGCCCGAGCTGGGGCTTGAGCCGGACCGCACTCACGACGTGGGCCTGGGCTAGATTCCCGAGTAGGCCAAGGAGGCCCGCGCCGCGCTGTGCCTAGCAGCTGGAGGCCTCTCGGGACTCGGGCGGGGAGGAGGGGCAGCCGGCTCCAGGCCGACCCCGGACTCTGACTTCCTTGACCTGACACCTGGGAGTTGGGGAGGCCGCGGCCGACGCTGGCGGCGGTGACTCAGGGTCCAGCCGACCTGCCCTATCCGGGCCTGGGAGGCCTCCTACGGAAGAAACACCTGTCCGCGCGTCGGGTGTAGTGGCGGCTCGCGGCAGGGACTGCGTGGTGGGCGTGAGAAGGGGGGCCTGACCACCCGCGAGGGAGCAGAAACCCATTGGACAGCGAGGCTCGGGATCGGCGGCCCGCCCCGATGGGCAGGGAGGGCACCTGCGCCTGCCGGAGCCCCCACTTCGCAGCTGAACCGGATTAGCCTCTGCCCGGCGAGGCCAGGGATTCCTCATTCATTTATTCAGGCAACCATTCAGTGTTTACCGAGCCAACTCTGTGTTCCGGATACAGCCCTGACCATTCGGTCCGAGGAGGTGTCAGTAAACAAACAAGGTCGTTCCTTTGGGTTAGCTTTAGAATTCCTTGGGCTTGGAGGCGGAAAGAAGAGATCTTAGCGATCTCCACAGTTTCCTCATCTGTGAAATAGAGATAATAGAAATTCCTACCTCATAGGGTTGTGGTGACGGCTCAGTAGAAACCGGGTGACGCTCCTGCTTGCAGCGTTTGACTTGTGGCTTAGCGTCATTACCCGCTTACGTTGGCAGAAAACATGTTGTCAAGTAATAACAAACCTTCCCAGAGGTTACGTTTATTAGCGTCCTGTCCTTACTCCTTCCCCGCAGGGGTCTGGAGGTCGGTACTTAGTTTCCCTACTTTAGGGATGAAAATAGGGAGGAATACCAAACCCAGACAACTCAGGTGGGTCACAGATGCCAAGCAGCTGTGGTGGGATTTGAACCTGTACAGTTTTGTTCTCGGGTCCAAGCTCTTACCCACTTAACCATACTGCCGTTTATCAGAAAACCGTGCAGTATAGTGGTTAAGAATAAGAATAAGGATCTTTGACATAGCGAGACCCAAGTTTCTGTCCTCATTCCACCTTGGATGAGTTGCTTATATCTGAACCTCAGTCTCGTCATTTCCAAATTGAAGATGATAAATCTCTATTGATAGGGCTAATGAGAAGATTAAATATAAAGTATTCTTTGTACTATATTGAGTGTCAACTTCGTGCCAGGCACTGTTCTAGGTATTGAGAGAACCAGCACTGGATTTTTTTTTTAAAGTAATGCTCCCCATAACAGCTTTGATGAAGTAAAGTATGATTGTCTGCATTTCATAGTTGAGGAAACTGAAGCACTGAGAAGCCTTCATGGAGCTTACGTTCTATTGCAGAAGACAAACAACACCTGAGCAAATAGACCAGGTAGTTCCAGATTAAGATGAGACCCACCAAGGAAAGAAAACAGAGATGTGGTAGGGCCTGGGAGGAGGCTGGGGGAGGCTTTTAAAATAGGGTGGTCAGGGAACCTATCCTCTCCTGCAGGCGGTGATGATATTTAATAAAAAGGAGCAACCTTGGAAATCCCTGTGGGAGAATAGATGATGTGCAAAGGACCTGGGGTGGACTGGGGCTTGCCTTGTTGGAGGCCCAGCAAGTGGCTACCAGCCTGGATGGTGAGGGGAAGACAGAGACAAGATTATGTAGGGCCTTAGGTGGCTCATGGAAAGGAGTTTGGGTTTTATTTTATGTGACAGTGGCAGTTGACAGGTCTTAGGCAGGGAAATAATATGATTTACTTTTTTTTTTTTTTTTTTTTTGAGATGGAGTCTTGTTCCGTTGCCCAGACTAGAGTGCAGTGGCAAGATCTCGGCTCACTGCAACCTCTGCCTTCTGGGTTCAAGTGATTCTTCTGCCTCAGCCTCCCGAGTAGCTGGGATTACAGGCGTGCATCACCACGCCTGGCTAATTTTTGTATTTTAAGTAGAGACGGGGTTTCACCTTATTGGCCAGGCTTTTCTGGAACTCCTGACCTCAGGTGATCCGCCTGCCTCGGCCTCCCAAAGTGCTGGGATTACAGGTGTGAGCCACCGTGCCTGGCTTTGTTTTCCCCCCAGTAGAGATCGAGTCTCACACTGTGACCCAGGATGGAGCGCAGTGGTGTGATCATAGCTCACTGCAGCCTCAAACTCCTGGGTTCAACCAATCCTGCTGCCTCAGCTTCCCAAGTAGTTGGGACTGCAGGCCATGCCAGGCTAAAATTTTTTTTTAAAGAGAGACCGGGGGGCGGGGGGCGCCTCACTATGTTGCTCAGGCTGGTCTCGAACTCCTGGTCTCAAGCAGTCCTTCCACCTAAGCCTCCCAAAGTGTTGGGATTACCGGCATGAGCCACCATGCCAGCCTGATTTACTTCTTTCCAAAGACTCACTGTTGCTGGGAGACTTGGAGGTAGGTATAAGGAGCCGTAGGGAGACTTGGATGAGTGCTTTTCACATTGCAGGTTAAAATTTATTAGTGGGAAGTAAAATCAATTTAAGGGAATTGAAGCTAGCATTTTTTGTTTTGAATGAAGTAGAAAACATCACGGCCTGACATATAGTAGGGACAGTTATAGTTACGTGAAACCTTGTTTCAGTTATGCAACTGTATGTATGTTCTGGGTTATTTATATGAGATGGATTTCTTACTGTGGTGGATCTTAGGCTGAAAACTTTGAAAGCCACTGAGTTGGATCACCTCGGCCTGGAGGATGAAGGGAGGTGACACTCTTTGTATCAACCCAGATGTACTATCCAGAGGAAGGAGCTCCAGCTCTCTAGCTGACAGGGCACCTCAGCCTCCCTGATCCCTGGCAGGGCAGAGGCCAACAGGGCATAGCAATAGCCAAGAAAGAACAATTGCGTCTTGGGAACCTCCCAGGCCCCAGCCTCTCAGTTGTCCACTGCCCAGCTGCAGAGAAGGCAGGAGCTTGACATATCTGTGGCACTTGGCAGCCGGTGCAGATGGGGTGAGGCCTTGGGCTCTCCGCTCTACACTGCCCTCTGTCTGCACAGCAGACAGTCGAGATGCACTGAAACTGTCCAGATGCGACTCCTGATTTTCATTCCATCCTCCATCTCTGGGACTGTTACGATAGCTGTTTCCCTGAAGTTTCTCTTTCTACCCGCTCCATGTCTTCCTCTGCCCGAAATCCTTCTGTAGCTTCCTATTAAATAGCATTCCCATGGTTCATTTATTTAGACAACAAACATGTATTGAGTGCCTGCTGTGTACTAGGCACTTGGGGTACCACAAGGGACAAAATAGACCAAAATCTCTGCCTTCACATAGCTTACAGCTTAGTGGCAATAGAGATGGGCACAGATGCAGAGCTGTAAACTGTCACATGGTGATAGACACCTGCTATGGAGAAAACCAGAGCAGAGAAGGGAATTGAGGGGTGGGGGAGGCAGTTTGCAATGTGATTTGGAGAGGGAAGGTCTTAGCCACAAGGTGACATTTGAGCAAAAACCGGAAAGAGGTGAAGGGGGGACCATGAGGTTATCGGGGGGGTAGAGCAGCTACAAAGCCCCAGAAGTGGGTTTGGAGCAGAGAGGAGGGTAGGAGGCTTGTGGGAGATGAGGTCTGGCAGGTCAAGGGGCAGGAGATTGTTTAGGGTTTACATGGGATGATAAAGACTTTGGCTTTTGTCTAGGTGTGGTGGCTCATGCCTGTAATCCCAGCACTTTGGGAGGCCAACACAGGTGAATCACTTGAGGCCAGGAGTTCGAGACCAGCCTGGCCAATATGGCAAAGCCCCGTCTCTACTGAAAATACAAAAATTAGCTGAGCGGATGGTGCATGCCAATTATTGCAGCTACTTGGGAGGCTGAGGCAGGAGAATCACTTGAACCTAAGAAGCAGAGGTTGCAGTGAGTCAAAATCACGGCAGAGCACTTCAACCTGGGTGACAGAGCAAGACATGTCTTAAAAATAAATAAATATTAGATAGTTCAAATGTTAAGTAGATCAGACAAAAATCATGCTGGTCTCAGCCGGGCGCAGTGGCTCACGCCTGTAATCCCAGCACTTTGGGAAACCAAGGCGGGCAGATCACCTGAGGTCAGGAATTCAAGACTAACCTGGCCAACATGGCAAGTCCCTGTCTCTACTAAAAATAGAAAAATTAGCCGGGCCTGGTGGTGCATGCCTGTAATCCCAGCTACTTGGGAGGCTAAGGCAAGAATCGCTTGAACCCGGGAGGCAGAGGTTGCAGTGAGCCGATCGTACCACCGCACTCCAGCCTGGGTGACAGAGCAAGACTCCGTCTCAAGAAAAAAAAAAAAAAAAATTCATGCTAGTCTCACCCAAGAGCAGAGGTTTGGGAACTGCTGAGGCCTGGGGGTGCCTGAGTACCATCCTACCTATGACCACCCCTCTTCTCTTTGGGTATGTGAAGGGGCAGACCAGCTGAAATACTCAACCTGCCCCGTGGAGACCTACAGCCTTCCCTCTTCCTGGAATTTCTCCTCCCCTCTGTTGTCATGACTTGCCCAAAGCTCTCTCTTCTTCCAGGCGCACCTAACGTGCCTCCTCCCCAGCAGAAAGGCCTTTCCCGCCTCTCAACTCCCCTACCTGTACCTGTCACCTGAGGTCAGACAGCCTGGATTTGAAGTCCAGTTCATCATCCTGCTTGCTATGTGACTTTGGGTCAAAATGCACACAGTATCTCTGAGTTCCAGTCTGTTCATTATAAAACAGTGACAATCACCACACCTCATAGGGTCATTGTGTTGAATACAGGACAGAAGAGTGTGTGAAGAGGTCATTTTTAGACCAAAAACACAGAAGAGTCATCTCACTCAGGATTCGAGTTAAAGTCAGCTTGAAAATCAAATATCAGAGAGCTTTGGACTGTCTGTCTTCCTGTTCAACTTCTGGCTCCTCTTTAAAGCGTCCCCAGGGCCCTCAGTTCTCCAGTGTTTTAATCATGGCTGGGACCAGCCAACCTCTATCCTTCTGTCTGGCAGTGAATTCTCTGTGAGCAGAGAAGAAACCATTAAAGCCAGTCATTTGCCTTTCCCCGCAGGTGCAGCCCACACTTGTTGGCTTGGTCTACCCGCTTGCACCCGCTGCTTGAGTGTTTCTTTTTTTCTTTATTTCTTCTGGCTGATGGGGTATAGGGTTGGTCATCCATTGTTGACTTCAATGTAGATGTAGAAAGAAGGTCAGTTGGTTGGTTGTGGGCTCCCCCTCCCAGTGCAGGGCCTGTTGCAGAATAGGCACAAGGAAATGTTGGTTGAACGACTGATGGTCCCAGTCTCTCGCCCTCCTTTGCAGATCGAGCTGAAGGACTGCGCGGCTGGCTCTCCTCTAGTATGGCCAATGAAGAGGATGACCCAGTTGTACAGGAGGTAACTGCTGCTCTCTGTCCCCTGCCGCCGGGGCTACAGGCAGTGGAATTGGGTCCTTTCCATGTGTCCTCAGGCCAGTCTGGGACCTGTTGATGTTCTGGGACCCCTAACCCTTGCTGTTCCCTCTGCCTGGTCCCCTCTGCTGTCCCCCAGACCCCTGCGTGGCTGACCTCTCCCTTCCTTCAGGTCTCTGATCTGGCATCACCTCATCAGGGAGGCCTTCCCTGACTGCCCTTCCACACCCAGCTCCCCTCCTGCACCCTCCCGTGCCTCTCTCTGCCCTTACCTTGGCGGTAACTCATACTTGGCCTAGCCCCCGTCATCCCCTAGATATCAGTTGATTGCTTTCTTTCCCGTCCACTGCTGTGCCGCAAAGCCGAGTATAGTGCCTGGCACCCAGGTACCCGGCGACTATTTGGTGAATGAATGAATGAATAAATGGGCTCAGCAGTCCCTCCTTCCCAGGCTTACGCAGATGTAGTCATTCAGCAGCTGTTCACTGGACCACTGTGTGCTGGGGGCTGTGACACATCAGTGAGCAGGGCAGGGTCCCCTTCCCTGGGAAGCTAATGGGCTGTGGGCAAGACTGATGAGGCAGGAGTCTCCGGGTACAGGCAGTGGGAGGCAGATTTCCCTTTTTTTTTTTTTTTTTTGGAGACAGAGTCTTGCTCTGTTGCCCAGGCTGGAGTTCAGTGGTGCCATCTCGGCTCACTGCAACCTTCACCTCCCAGGTTCAAGCGATTCTCCTGCCTCAGCCTCCTGAGTAGCTGGGATCACAGGTGCCCATCACCACGCCCGACTAATTTTTTTTTTTTTTTTTTTTTGAGGCGGAGTCTCACTCTGTCTCCCAGGCTGGAGTGCAGTAGTGTTATCTTGGCTCACCGCAGTCTCTGCCTCTGGGTTCAAACGATTCTTGTGCCTCAGCCTCCTGAGTAGCTGGGATTACGGGCGCCCGCCACTACACCTGGCTAATTTTTGTATTTTTAGTAGAGATGGGATTTCACCATGATAGCCAGGCTGGTCTCGATCTCCTGACCTCAAGTGATCACCCACCTTGGGCCTCCCAAAGTGCAGAGATTACAGGCATGAGCCACCATGGCCGGCACAGGTTTCCCTTCTTAGAGAAAGCTGTTGATAGTCAAACTCACCTTTCAGAATCCTTTTAACCCAGGACTTAGACCTTTGGAAGGCAAAAGGCAAAAAGTAACTGCATCTGCCTTCAGCCTCCTTATATGCGGAGCCTGACCTCCAGTGGGAAGGGCAGGGGCAAGGAGAAGGTCCTCGGAGATGAATAGAGGTGGTTTTTCCTTGCTTGGGGGATGTTGCTAAGTTATTAGATGTGAGTTATTTAGATGCATTTAAGCTGCATCTACACTGCAGTAGCAGGAGTTACAACAGGGGGGTTGGTGATGGGATAGAAGAGTCCAAGGGACTCCGAGGACAGAGGCAGTGCCCTCTGCAGCCAGGGGGCCTGGAATGCTTCCTGCCCAAGTTGTGCCTCAGCCAAGTCCTTGGAGGAGCGAGCAGTCAAGGCTCAGGGGAGGCATGTGTGAAGGGCTCTGTAGGTATAGGGAAAAGCATGTGCAAAGGCCCAGGGGTAGGAGAGCATGTGGTTTATAGGAGGAGTTAGGAAGCAGGAAGGTAAACTGCTGCGTGGCGGGGTGGGGGTGGTTAGTGTTGGGAAGAAAGGAAGTGGAGCCATCAGTCACAAAGGGCCTTGCAGACCCCTTAAGAAGGGGTGACAGGCTGGTCCAGGAGGGGCAGGTGGAGGGCCCAGCCAGGAGGCACAGGCCTAGGTGAGCCCTCGCCTGCCTGCCTCTCAGAAGAGCATTTGCCCAGGCTGTAGGACGTTTCCCGATCAGTGCAGCCCCAGGGAAGATGTGTGCTTACTGGGGGATTGTGAACTTGGGTGGGGGTACCAGGTGAACTCTTGCCCTGGTTCCCCTGGGAGCTTTCAGGAGGGATTCCTGAATATACCCAGTGTGCAGCCTTGGATCCGCTTGCTTTTAGCATGAGCTGAGCTATTTCCTCCTTCCCCAAACTGCTTCCCTGAGCCACTGCCCTTAACTGAAGCTGGAAGCGCTGGCATAGCCCGGGGAGGTCAGCACTGTGTCCAGTCTCCCGGTTAAGTCGTCTTCCCTTCTTCCCAGATCGATGTGTACTTGGCCAAGAGTCTGGCGGAAAAGCTGTATCTATTTCAGGTAATTATGGGACTTGAAGGTAAAGAGGGGAGAAGCAGGTGTGGGTGGGTGGTGTGGACTCAGGAACACGGGCAGGAAACGATGGGAAACCTCAGCTAGGGTTCTCGGTGTGGAGAGTGTCATGGGGTCTCTTTGCTTTCGTGGGTGGGTTAATATTGGTCTCATTTCAAAGATGGGAAAACTGAAGGAACACAGGAGAGGCAGAAGTGTGCAGCAGTTAAAGCTGGGGCTCTGGGGTCAGACCGGATTGAGATCCAACTCCATCACACCATAGCTGCGAGACCGTGGGCAAGTTTCTTAATCCTTCTGTGCCTCACTTTCCTCACTTGCAAAGTGGTGATGGTGATAATGCCTGCCTCATAGGTCCCCAGGAGGACAGGCTGAGTCCACAGTGAAGTGTTTAGGATGCCGCCTGGCAGAGAGTTGGTGCCAGTGATGATGGCCGCTGTTGTCATGGAGGCTCCAAGGGGCAGCTCCATGGCAGCGTCTGTGAGCCCTCAGTCCTGCCAGCTGCGAGGGCCCCGGGTTGCTACCTCTGCCCCCTCCCCTTGCTGCTGGGCCAGCAGCTTGTCATTGTGGCCAACATGTATTGAGCATTGACCGTATGCAGACTGTTGAAAGCATTTACCTCAGTTACCTCTTTAACCCCACAATAACCCTATGGTGGTGATTATTACATTTTATAACCGATATATTGAGATAGAATTTACACACCACACAGTTTCCCCATTTCAGTGTGTAATGCAATGGATTTTAGTCTACTCATGGGGCTGTGCAACCAGCGCCACAGTCTGTTTTGGGACAGTTTTGTCCCCCTTTAAAGGAACCCCTTGCCTATTAGCGATCAGTCTGTGCCCCCCATTCCCACCTCCAACCCCAGGCAACCATTCCCCTTATTTTCTGTTTATGGTTTTGCCTATTCCGGACTTTTCACATAGCTGGAATCATGCAGTATGTGGCCTGCTGTGATTGGCTGCTCTCACTTTGCATGATGTTTTCAGGGCTCATCCACATGGTAGCTATAGCCTGCATCAATATTTGAGCTTTTCTTTTTTTTGTTTGTTTGTTTTGAGACACAGTCTTGCTCTGTTGCCCAGGCTGGAGTGCAGTGGCTTGATTGCGGCTCACCACAACCTCTGCCTCCCAGGCTCAAGTGATTCTGCCTCAGCATCCTGAGTAGTTGGGACTACAGGCACGCGCCACAAGCCCGGCTAATTTTTGTATTTTTAGTAGAGATGGGGTTTCACTATGTTGGCCAGCCTGGTCTCGAACTCCTGACCTTGTGATCTGCCTGCCTCGGCCTCCCATAGTGCTGGGATTACAGGTGTGAGCCACCGCTCCCAGCCAATATTTGATCTTTTACTGATGAATAATGTTCCATTGTATGGGAGACCACAGTTTGTTTATCCATTCATCAGCTGATGGGTATTTGGGTTATTTCTACTTTTTGGCTATTATAAATAATGCCACTGTGGACATTCACATAGAAGTTTTTATGATGAACGTGAATTCTCATTTCTTCTAGGTATATGCCTGGTAGCAGAATTGCTGGGTCTGCGTTTAGCTTTTTGAGGCACTGCTGGGCTGCTCTGCCCCATGTTGCCTTCCCACAGTTAGAGTCAGTGTTCATATCCCATGATGCACATGAGAACGTGAGGCACAGGGAGGCCTTCACGGGCACGGAGGCCTGGGGCATGCCACAGCAGCAATGTTGTAAGCCTGTGCTGGGAGGGCCTGGCCTCCACTCCCTGGGGTTCACCCTTATGGGCCGTGGGAATGGGGCCTGTCCTGTGTGCCTGCTCACCCTGTTTCCTTGACTGGCTGCAAAGTGATGGTGGAGGTGCCAGTGACCCCCGTGTGTCCAGAGTTCCAAACCCTGAGCCACCATCGGCTCTGTTTGCCTCCTCCGTGCTCACAGCGGCCTTGGGAGGTGAGGATGCTTAGCCTCAGGGAGGCGAGGTGCCTGCCTGAGTCCACAGTTAGCAAGGGGAAGGATGAGGACTGGAAGCCAGGCCTGTGATTTCAGAACCTGCGCCCTTCAGCCTTCCCACCCCCAGTCAGGTGATCTCAGAACTGCCCCCAGCCCCAGCCCAGGAAGCAGGGAGGAGTCACGGCTTTGCTGTGTGAGTGAGCTTTTAGGAAATGACCGTCTCCTTGCGCTAGAATGTAGCTGATCTGAAAGGGCCTATTTTCCGCACTGCCATACCTCCACCAGGCTCATTCTACAGGCTGTCATGAGACCAGGCAGAGCTTTTGAGGAGGGGTCCAGACTTTGACTCCTTCACCTGAGAGAGAGAGGGACAGTGTACTGTGAGGACAGATGTGGACAGGAGCCCCTGCGTGTTGAGCGCATTGCTGTGTGAGCCATTCACATAAAGATAAGAGCGGGCCATGGCTGCCTGGCTCCCTTTTCCAGCATCTTGTGAGGAAGCTCACACAACCAGATAAGGAGAGCGAATGGATTCACGAATTCCCACCTGCCCGTCGTCTGGCCTCAGCAGTGAGCAGCACGTGCCGGTGTTGCTTTCACTCTTTGCTTCCTCATGGACTCCTTTTGGTCGTCCTTCTCTCCCCGGATGGCCTGTCCACTGGTAGTTAGGCCCTGGACCCCCATCCTCACCTCCCATGGCCGTGCTCTGTGGGTTCCTGGAGCAGCAGCGTGCCGGTTTGGGTTCCTGTGTGTAGACACGTCCCTCGGAAGTCAGAGACATCCTGCAGTGGCCCTTTGGAAGGAGGCCGTGGGGAGCTGATGAGAATAGGGCTGCGGGTGGAGACTGGCAGGGGTGCCTCATGGTAGGGCTGGGCAGCTTGTACCCTTGTGGTAGGGTAAGGCCAGTCTCTGCTTGGGGTGGGCTTGGAGATAGCTGTTGATTCTTGGCCAGGGCCCAGCTCTGGGCATGGCTGGGCAGAGTGGACTTAATGGCTCCCTTCCCCTCCCCAGTACCCTGTGCGTCCAGCCTCGATGACCTACGATGACATTCCGCACCTCTCAGCCAAGATCAAGCCCAAGCAGCAGAAGGTGGGGCTGCCCCCTGAGGGCAGTTGGGGCCGAAAGAGAGGGTGATGAGGGTGGGAGCTGGTGGAGGCGAGAAGCTCAGAGAAGGAGTCATTGGAGAAGTAGGAGAACCAGCAACTCCCAGGCCCTTGAAAGCTGAAGAAGGAAAGTGTCCAGAAAGACAGGGATGGGCAGCTCCAGAGAGGCCAGGGACGCATGAGGCTGATGAATGAGAGAATGGGGCCAGATGTGAGCTTAGGTTCCCAGGATAAGACGAGGGCGGGCGGGTGAACATGGAGTAGGTTTGATGGGAAGAGAATCTAGCGCCTATCCATGGAGGGTCTGCAGCTCTAGCCCCTCCAGCCACATGGAAGTGCCATCCCAGTATTGCCAGTTCTGCTGGCTTTTCAAGAGAAGTGGGAAATAAGGATTTTTATGAGAAATCTCTTGATTTTTAAATGTTGGCACCTAATTTAGGTCTTTGGGAGTGAAGTAGAGGACAAACAAGATTACAGGACTCTCCACTTCCTTCTGACATTTTTGTTGGAATTTGGGTTTGTGACCCTTGGTGTGGACTGAAGTCCAGGGGCCCTTGGGGACATGTGTCAGTCTCGCTTCCGGGCAGGGTCCTGGTTAGGAGGTGGCCATGGTGGGGTTGGGGTGTCCCTTGAGGAGCCATGCCTTGGGGTCCTCATAGCTGGTGGGGGTGCTTGGTGCCTCCAGGTAGAGCTTGAGATGGCCATCGACACCCTGAACCCCAACTATTGCCGCAGCAAAGGGGAGCAGATTGCGCTGAACGTGGACGGGGCCTGCGCCGACGAGACCAGCACGTATTCCTCGTGAGTTTCCGGCCCCAAGCCTGTCCGGTTTCCCTGCGTTCACACAGGAGCCTCCAAAAGACCTTAAAGACATTGACCCCCTTTGCCCCGTCACTGGGCTCCCCACCAGTGTCCCAGCCTTTGGAGGGCTGGGCCTGTCTCAGACTCTGCCCTCCTGAACTAGCTGGTCCCAGAGCTCCTACCCACTCCTCGTCTCTTGGTCTACAAACAAGGCCATGGGTTTTCTCATCCCCAGGCTGCCCTCCTGAGACCCGCGTAGGCTGCCCTGCGGCCTTGGTCCCTGGCTGTGGCACTTCAGAAAGTGTCTAGGGGGTGGGGTGCGCTGTGGCCACAGGCCCTGGCTCGGAGCTGCCTTCCCCTGTGACGTTGCTTCTCCCTGTGCTCCAGGAAGCTGATGGACAAGCAGACCTTCTGCTCTTCCCAGACCACCAGTAACACATCCCGTTATGCCGCTGCACTCTACAGGCAAGGTACCCGGGGCTGGGTGTCCCGCGGTGGGGACATGGCATTGGGGGGGGCTGGGCAGGGAGAGTACCTCCCCAGCCTGGTGTCCATCTCCCACCTGCCCTGAAAGCTAGACACCTGTGGGGGCCGGGCAGGTGTGGAAATAACAGAAATGACACATTGTCAGGGGACTGGAAGTGGCCACCTTTGTGGACTGCTGGCTGGACACTGCCTGACCAGATGGGGTGGGGCTCCAAGTTCATTTGTCCTCCCGGGACACAGATACATACAAGTAGCTAACATAAGTTTAGGGACAGAATTTTGTCTTTAAATATGAAGCTTATGACAGAGCAATTCCATTCCTAGGCAGCATCTATCCAAAAGAAATGAAAACATGTGTCCACACAAAACCATACACAGTTGTTCACAGTAGCATCTTCATGATAGCCAAAAAGTGGAAACAACCCAGATGCCCATCCGCTGGATTCATGGAGAAACAGAATGTGGTCCATTCACGCAATGGGATGTTATTTGACCATGGAAAAGAATGAAGCAGTGATGCTACCACGCAGATGAGCCTTGAGAACATTGTGCTAAGTGAAAGAAGCCACATGCTTCTTCACTCGCAGCTACGCGCTGTGTGATTACGTCTCAGTCAGCGACCGACCACATACTCAACGGTGGTCCCATAACATTATAATGGAGCTGAAGAATTGGCTTACCTAGTGATGTCTTAATGAGCCTGACCCTGTGTAAGCCTAGGCTAACTCGTATGTTTGTGTCTTAGGTTTTTGCTTGTTCGTTTGTTTTGTTTTGTTTTGAGACAGAGTCTCGCTCTGTTGCCTAGGCTGGAGTGCAGTGGCACAGTCTCGGCTCACTGCAACCTCTGCCTCCTGGGTTCAAGCGATTCTCCTGCCTCAGCCTCCCGAGTAGCTGGGATTACAGACATGCACCACCACACCTGGCTAATTTTTGTATCTTTAGTAGAGATGGGATTCTGCCACGTTGGCCAGGCTGATATCAAACTCCTGACCTCAGGTGACCTGCCCACCTCGGCCTCCCAAAGTGCTGGGATTACAGGTGTGAGCCACCATGCCCGGCCTGTGTCTTAGTTTTTAGTAGAAAGTTTAAAAAGTTTAAAAAAAAAAAAAAAAAAGGTAAAAAGCATATAGCCGGGTGTGTTGCCTCCTACCTGTAATCCCAGTGCTTTGGGAGGCCGAGGCAGGCCCAGGAGTTCCAGACCAGCCTGGGCAACATAGTGAAATCCCTTCCCTACAAAAAATACAAACATTAGCTGGGCATGGTGGCACATCCCTTAGTCCCAGCTACTGAGGAAGCTGAGGTGGGAGGATTGCTTGAGCCTGGGAGGCGGAGGTTGCAGTAAGCTGAGATTCCGCCATTGCACTCCAGCCTGGGCAATAGAGCAAGACTCTGTCTTGAAAAAAAGCATATACAATAAAGATATATTTTTCATAAATTTATTTATTGATTTATTTTTTGGAGAGGGAGTCTCACTCTGTTGCCCAAGTTGGAGTGCAGTGGCTCAATCTTGGCTCACTGAAACCTCTGCCTTCCGGTTTCAAGCAGTTCTCCTGTCTCAGACTCCCGAGTAGCTGGGACTACAGGTGCACACACCACCATGCCCAGCTAATTTTTGTATTTTTAGTAGAGACAGGGTTTTTGCCATGTTGGCCAGGCTGGTCTCGAACTCCTGACCTCAGGTGATCCACCAGCCTTGGCCTCCCAGAGTGCTGGGATTATAGGCATGAGCCACTGTGCCCAGCCTTTTTTTTTTTTTTTTTTTTTTTAATAAATTTAGTGTAGCCTAAGTGTGCAGTCTGTATGAAGTCTACAGTAGCGTGTAGTAATGTCATAGGCCTTCACATTCACTCACCACTCACTCATCCAGAGCAGCTTGTCCTATAAGCTGGTTTTAGTCTTTTATACTATACTTTTACTGTACCTTTTTTATGTTTAGGGTTTTTTGGGTGTGTTTTTTTGTTGTTGTTTGTTTTGGGGTTTTTTTTTTGGAGACCGGGTCTCACTCTGTCACCCAGGCTGGAGTACAGTGGTGATCATAGCTCACTGCAGCCTCTATCTCCTGAGCTCAAGCAATTGCCTTCCCTCAGTCTCCTGAGTAGCTAGGACTACAGGCCATGCCACCACATCTGGCTAATTTTTTAAAAAATTTTTTGTTGAGGTGGGGTCTTGCTATGTTGCCCAGGCTGGTCTCGAACTCCTGGGCTCAAGCGATCCTCTTGTCTCTGCCTCCCAGAGTTCTGGGATTACAGATATGAGCCACTGCACCCAGCCTAGGTATATTTAGATACACAAATACCATTCTGTTACAACTGCCTACAGTATTCAGGGGAGTAACATGCTGTACAGTGTGTAGCCTGGGAGCAATAGGCCATACCATAGAGCCGAGGCGTGTAGTAGGCTCTGCTATCTGGGTTTCTGTGAGTGCACTCTGCGATGTTTGCACAACGATGAAATCACCTAAGGATGAATTTCTCAGAACGTATCCCTATTGTTAAGTGATGTGTGGCTGTATGTGAAATGTCCAGAATAGGCAAATGTACAGAGGCAGAAAGTAGATTAGTGGCTACCAGGGACTAGTGGGAGAGTGGAGTGGGGACTGCCTGGTTCTTTTTGTGGTGATGAGAATGTTCTAAAATTGGTTGTGCTGGCTGCACAGCTTTGTGAATACGTTAAAATACATTGAATTATGGCCGGGAGTGGTGGCTCATGCCTGTAATCCCAGCACTTTTGGAGGCCGAAGTGGGCAGATCACCTGAGGTCAGGAGTTCGAGACCAGCCTGGCCAACATGATAAAATCTCATCTCTTCCAAAAAGTAGAAAAAATTAGCCAGGCGTGGTGGTGAGTGCCTGTAATCCCAGTTATGCAGGAGGCTGAGGCAGGAGAATCGCTTGAACTCAGGAGGCGGAGGTTGCAGTAAGCCGAGATCGCACCACTGAATATCCTGGGCAACAGAGTGAGACTCCATCTCAAAACAAAAATACATTGATTAGTATGCCTTAAATGAGTGGACTATATGGTACGTGAGTCTTGTCCCAAAGCTGGTAAAAAGTACAAGGCGCGGCCGGGCGCAGTGGCTCATACCTGTAATCCCAGGACTTTGGGAGGCCAAGACGGGCAGATCACAAGGTCAGGAGATCAAGACTATCCTGGCCAACATGGTGAAACACCATCTCTACTGAAATACAAAAAAATTTAGCTGGGCTTGGTGGCACACACCTGTAGTCCCAGCTACTTGGGAGGCTGAGGCAGGGGAATCACTTGAACCGGGGAGGTGGAGGTTGCACTGAGCCGAGATCATGGCACTGCACTCTGCACTCTGGCCTGGGTGACAGAGCGACACTCCATCTCAAAAAAAAAAAAAAAAAAAAAAAACAGTAAAGTGCTTAAGTATTTAGTCTCAAAAGCAATGAACGAAACTAATCTGAACACTTAGGAAACAAAATGGGATAGGATCAAAAGTAGTGTCATATAACTCGCGCGTTCTGTTTAGAACCCATGTCTCAAGCATGTAATTCTTGAAAGCCACATCCCTTGCAGCGGGAGGGAAAGTCATGATCTTTATCAGAGGCCATGTGGACACTCCACCCAGTTCTAGCAGGGCCTCTTCTCCAGCCACAGTGGCACTAGTGGACTTCCTAGTGGAACGGGTGGGATTTTGGCGGGAAAAGATGGAGGATAAGAAGGAGAGGAAATCCAGGTGTGTGGGGCGGGACAGTAAGGCTGAGCTGGCCGAGGCCTGGAGGGTAAACAGCAGGGCGAATTTGATGAGGATTAGCTGCCTAGTGTTGCAAAGCGAGCAGCTGGGGAGAGGGGCGTGGAACCAGACTGGGAGGTGGGACTGAAGGAAGTGGCTTCGAACAGAAGAGTCCAGGTTCCTGTCCTAGTCTGGGCTGTGTGCTTGCTGTGTCCAGCAGGCCAGGTGGAGGTGGGGATGGTCCCTGGCCTGGTGGTCCCAAGACTCTAGGATTGGGGGCTGCAGCGGGAATGGGAGGCGGTTTGATGGTGGGCCTAGGCCTTCACGGGACTTGGTGACTCTCTTGAGCCAAACTGGGTGGGTTTCTAGAGTTGAGTCCAAGCCCTTCTTCCTCCGCCAGGTGAGCTCCACCTGACACCTTTACATGGCATCCTGCAGCTGCGGCCCAGCTTCTCCTACCTGGATAAGGCTGACGCCAAGCACCGGGAGAGGGAGGCGGCCAACGAGGGTGAGCCCGGGATCCCCAGCCCTGCTGCCTGCCTGCCTTCATCCTGGTGGGATGGCTTGGTCCTGGGAAGAGGGATGGGATGATAGGATGTTTAGCAGGATCCCTGGCCTCTACCTACTAGATGCCAGAAGCACCCACCCCACAGTCGTGACAATCAAAAAGGTCACATTGCCCAGTATCCCCAGGGTAAAGGGGCAAAACTGTCCCCGATTGAGAACCACTGGCTTAGGCAGCTCCCTCTGCGAGGAGAACTCCCAGCACCCCGGCCTGAGGCTTCCCTGGCGGGTGGGGTTGAGAGAAGGGAGGTGGAGGCTCCCCAGGACTGCAGTCAGTGGCTTGTCTCTCTTGCAGCAGGGGACTCTTCACAGGATGAGGCGGAAGACGATGTTAAGCAGATCACGGTGAGCCCTGGCCCCTGGAGGAGGAGGGTGCTGCCTGGGCGGCAGCAGGACCAGAGACCAAGGGGTAGCGGGTCTTCACAGAATGCAGGTGGAGCAGACAGGGCCCATGCTTTTGAGCCTTCTTGCTGGGCTACCTGGAGGGAACAACCTGAGTTGTTCCAGCTATACACAAGATGGAAGCCCTGGCTGGATCCAGGAGATGTGTGCCTGGGGCTTGGCTAGAGTCACCTGGGAGCAGGAAGCTGGGGCCAGGAGCCCTGAGGACCCGCAGACCAGCTCTGCCATGAACCTGTATCTTAACAGAGCCAAAGTCAATTAACTGTGATTCTATTCTCTTTATGGGGCACGGATGAATAGTTTTCGTTTTAATAGTTATTCCTGAATTTTAAAGATTTTTCAAAGAATCTTAACCTTCCATTTATGGTTTGTAAAGTTTTCCCTATTTAAGCATATTTAGATTAAAATGAGTAGTACCAAAAGAAAAATGCTACACGTAGAATGATGATACACAAGTATGGCTAGAGAGTGGTGAGTGTTTGGAAGCCCTTGAGGACCGGGGAACACGGGCGTAATGGACATGGAGGTGGCGCAGGGAGCTCATCCTGTTCTCTCCGTAGCTTATTAGGACCTTAGAAACTCCCTTCCGCTCTGGGGAACTTAGAAAAGGCATCCTGGGCCTGTCTGCTTTAAGGACTCTGCTGGCTCTGGCGCCTGGGACTCTAATCCCCCTCAAGCCTCTGGGCTGGGCAGGCACGAGCAAGTATAAGCCGTTCCCTGGCGTGTGCAGGCAGCTCTGGGAGGGACACGGTTGGAACGGAATTTAAACGACCTGTGCTAGGAAAGGAAGGGAGAGTGGAAAACCCCTATACGGAGTTCTCTGGTCTTCTGGCAGGGGCTGAGACGGCAGTCCAGCAAGGGTCACAGGCCTGACGGTATGACCTCTTCCCCTTCCCACCGCAGGTGCGGTTCTCCCGGCCGGAGTCAGAGCAGGCCCGCCAGCGCCGTGTGCAGTCCTATGAGTTCCTGCAGAAGAAGCACGCAGAGGAGCCCTGGGTCCACCTGCATTACTATGGCCTGAGGGTGAGCGGGGCTTCGTGGGGTCCTGGGGGAAACACCTCGGTGCCCGGAAGGGTCATGGTGTGGCCTCCGTGTCTCACCTTGAACTTAAGTCAAATTCATGAGTCATAGCCACAGATAGAGGATCGAGTCCTGTGGGCAGTTTACACTTCACTCCAGCCGAGCCACTTAGCGTGGGCCCCAGGAGAGCAAGAGGAAAAGATGCGAGTCCTTGGTTCCCTGGGTGGGGTTTGGCCCCTGGGCATGGGCATCTTGCTGGGCTTGCAGTGGGGCTAGTGCCTGGTAACATATTTTCGCTGCAGCCCAGGCCCTAAACGCAGGCCAGATGCATTCTCCGGTTCTGTCCTAGAGGGTCGGTCATGTGTTGCCACCCCAGAGTTCCCAGCACCACCTGCCCAGGGGATTTTCTTACTGTGCTTGGTTTTCATCTGGTACGCTGACTTTATTTACTTTTATTTTTATTTATTTATTATTTATTTATTTATTGAGACAGTCTCATTCTGTCACCCAGGCTGGAGTGCAGTGGCTCGATCTCAGCTCACTGCAACCTCCGCCTCCCGGGTTCAAGTGATTCTTCTGCCTCAACCTCCCAGGTAGCTGGGACTACAGGCACCTGCTAATTTTTTTGTTTTTGTTTTTTTAGTAGAGATGGGGTTTTGCCATGTTGGCCAGGCTGGTCTCGAACTCCTGATTTCCAAGTGATCTGCCCACCTCAGGCTCCCTAAGTGCTGGGATTACAGGCGTGAGCCACGACCACCTGGCCCTGGTGCATTGATTTTAGAACCTAACCCTTGAAACTGTGTACTGAGTGAGGGATGCTTCCAAAGACACCATGGGCCAGGGCTCCCAATATTTTCTGGGGTGGGGAACAACTCCTGATTTCTCTGGAACCTTCTTGGAAGAGATTTGTGTTAACAGACCCTTAGACTCGGGGTCAAACTTCTAGACACTGCTGTTTCCTGCTGTGTGACCTTGGGCATGTTAGCTAACCTCTCTGAGCCTCAGTTTTCTTAATTATAAAATGAGAGTAGTAATAATAGTACCTACCTTGCCAAGTTATTTTGAGGGTGAGATGGGTTAGTATATTTACAGTCAGTGGAACAGAGTCCACCACATCCTAGATGCCCAGTGAATGTTAGCCATCATTTTGTCATTGCTGGTGGTGTACCTGTGTTACAGACAAGGCATCGAGGCTTGGGGGCTGGGGCTGGGCAGGTCATAAGGCCAGGAAGATGAGTGGCTGAGGCCACGTCAGAGGCCTTGGGTGCCGTGCTCAGGAGGTTGGATGTGGTCCTGTGGCTGGCCATGGAGTGGAAGACGGGAGGCCTTGGGGGAGGGGGCCCAGGCCAGGGCCATCAGCTGAGGCTCCTCTCACACCCTGCCCTCCTCCAACAGGACAGTCGCTCTGAGCATGAGCGTCAGTACCTGCTGTGCCCCGGCTCAAGCGGGGTGGAGAACACGGAGCTCGTCAAGTCACCCAGGTGGGATGGGCTGGGCCAGCATGCAAACTGGATGCCTGCCCAGGGTCCCCAGGGGTCCTTGGTGTGGATCCTCCCAGAGGACTGTGGCCCCTCCTGTAGCATGAGGGTGGAGCCCATTGTCCCCTGGAGAAGGCCAGGAGGGTGGGCCTGGAAAGAGATGGTCCACTTTTCTGCAGGGGCTCAGGGCTGCTGGGGGAGGGCGGGGGTGGGCTGTCTGCACCCTCTCCCCAGACCCTCACTTGGGTGGCTGGTGAGGAGGGTCCAGCCTGGATCAGCCCTGAGCCTCTGCCCCTGCCATGTCCCTGCAGTGAGTACCTGATGATGCTGATGCCACCCAGCCAGGAGGAGGAGAAGTGAGTAGAGGCGGCAGGACACCCTCTCCCTTTCCGGGCTGGCTGCCTCTAACCCGTCCCCTCTGCTTTTCCCAGAGACAAGCCTGTGGCCCCCAGCAACGTCCTGTCGATGGCCCAGCTGCGCACGCTGCCCCTGGCCGATCAGATCAAGATCCTGATGAAGAATGGTGGGTGCCTACCCCCTGCCCACCCGGGGGCCCCAGTCCCAGTGGCTCCTGAGGAATGGACTCTGTGGGACAGTGAGGACCAGGGGACAAGGCCAGAGGCCCCTGCTGCCCACAGCCTGCCCAGCTTTGCAGCTGCATCCTTGTCTGGAAAGATAACGCAGGACGGCAGTGCGGCCAGCTCCCGCAGGCAGCCCGGGTTCCCGTGAATGTAGGACAGTAGTGTGTCTGGCCCCCACAGGCGGGCTCGGGTTCCTGTGCCATGCTCACCACTTGTCTGCCATGCTCTTGGGCAGGTCATGAACCTTTCTGAGGCTTTGTTTGTTTTTCTGTGAAAAGAGACTAATGATAGTTCCTGGGGGCCAATGTGAGGAATCAGAGAGAGGAGGCTTCTAAAGTACAGGGCCTTGCAGGCGAACACGGACTAGGGGCTTTTTGTTGTTGTTGTTGTTGTTGTTGTTGTTTTTTTTTTTAAGGTTTTTTTAAAGGTTTTAAAGGTTTTTTTTAAAGGTTTTGCTGTGTAACTCCTGGGCCCAAGTGATCCTCCTGCCTCAGCCTTCCGAGTGGCTGGGCCTACAAGCAGACGCCATTCACTGCACCGGCTCAACTAGGGTCATTTTCATGACAGTGTCTTCACTGGCATTGCTTCTGGGTACTCTTGCCAGACCTGGCACCATAAGGACTGGTCTCCTTTTCTCAGAGGACTCTGAGTGCCAGAACCTTTAGGGTACCCGTGGCTGGTGAACAACAGACCTGATCCTTGAGTTCAGAATGGAGCCGCAGAACCTGGGCTCGTCCTTTGAGATGCCACCATGAGCTCTTAGGAGTCTAAGGAGAGAGGGGAGCTCCATGATATGCTCGGGATTTTAGGCTTCCTTCCTGCAGAGGACTTCGAACTTTTTTTTTTTTTGAGACAGTCTTGCTCTGTCACCCAGGCTGGAGTGCAGTGGCACAATCTCGGCTCACTGCAACCTCCGCCTCCCGGGTTCAAGCAATTCTCATGCCTCAGCCTCTGGAGTAGCTGGGACTACAGGTGCCCGCCATCACGCCCAGCTAATTTTTGTATTTTTAGTAGAGATGGGGTTTCGCCTTGTTGGCCAGGCTAGTCTCAAATTCCTGGCCTCAAGTGATCTGCCTCCCTCGGCCTCCCAAAGTGCTGTGATTACAGGTGTGAGCCAAAGCGCCCAGCCAAATTTTGGACTTTCCCTGGGCCCTGCCCAGGGCTCACTTGGGCGGGAGCAGAGCACAGTGATTGAGGGTACCAAGTGGAGCCAAGTGGCTTGGGTTCACTTCCTGGCTCTGCTACTTCCTAGCCAAGAGATCATGGGTGAGCTTTGAAGCCTTTCCAGGTCTGAGTAGTAATAGACCCTTCCTCCTGAGGCACCCCTCAAGTCTTCCTTAAGGGGCACTTCATATAATCCTCAGATTTCATGAGGTGCCCAGTGCCTGGCATGTAGTGAGCAGCCTGAGAGTGTCAGCTGTTGGCTATGATGGGTGTCATTACTGTTAGTTATCACATTCTGGGGTTATTACATGAACTTGAAGCTATGCGGACTCTCGGTGGAGGGGAGGGAAGGGCCCGGCCCCTCTTCCTTGTCTGATGTCTCCTGCGTCCTCCTCAGTGAAGGTCATGCCTTTTGCCAACTTGATGAGCCTCCTGGGCCCCTCCATCGATTCCGTGGCTGTTCTGCGGGGCATCCAGAAGGTGGCGATGTTGGTCCAAGGGAACTGGGTGGTGAAGAGGTAAGTTGCTTTTTTTATTTTTTATTTTTATTTATTTTTTTCCTTGAGGCAGAGCTTCACTCTTGTTGCCCAGGCTGGTGTGTAGTGGCGCAATCTCGGCTCACTGTAACTTCTCCCTCCCAGGTCCAAGCAACTCTCCTGCCTCAGCCTCCTGAGTAGCTGGAATTATAGGTGCCCGCCACCATGCCCAGCTAATCTTTGTGTTTTTAGTAGACACGGGTTTCACCATGTTGGCCAGGCTGGTCTCGAATCCTGACCTCAAGTGATCCACCCACCTCGACCTCCCAATGTGTTAGGATTATAGGCGTGAGCCACCGGGCCCGGCCTACGCTGTATTCTCTTAATGGGAGCATTTGGTCCTTTTAAATTTAATGCAGTTACTAGTGCTTTGGGTTTAAATCTACAGTGCTTTCTATTTGTCCTGCCTACATTGCATTTAAACTGTTTTTTGTTTTTTTGTTTTTTTTTTTGAGACAGAGTCTCGCTCTGTCCCACAGGCTGGAGTGCAGTGGTGCGATCTCGGCTCACTGCAAGCTCTGCCTGCCGGGTTCACGCCATTCTCCTGCCTCAGCCTCCCGAGTAGCTGGGACTACAAGGCACCCGCCACCACGCCCAGCTAATTTTTTGTATTTTTAGTAGAGATGGGGTTTCACTGTGTTAGCCAAGATGGTCTCCATCTCCTGACCTCGTGATCTGCCCGCCTCGGCTTCCCAAAGTGCTGGGATTACAGGTGTGAGCCACTGTGCCTGGCCGCATTTAAACATTTTTTAAATTGACACATAATGTACATATTTATGGGGGCAGTGTGAAATCTAAATACATGTATACAATGTAATGATCAAATCAGGGCAATTAACATATCTATCCCCTCAAACATTTCTCATTTTTGTGTTGGGCACATTCAAACTTCACTTTTCTAGCTATTTAAAATTATACAATAAATTGTTCTTAATTATAGTCACCCTGTAGTACCCTTTGTCCTGCCTACATTGGATTTTTATATCATTCTTACCATCTGCTGGATTCATTTCTGTTTCTATTTTTTCCTGCTAACTTGGAAGTTACACTGTTTGGGCTCATATATTGATTACCCTACAGTTTTCAGCTTACATTCATGACTTAACACATTTTAATGTTAATTGCTGCTTTTTACCCCATTCCAATCTATTCAGAGATCTTAGAATATTTTATATCTATCCTCATACTTACACACTGCTAGATTGGTATATATATATTTTTTTACCTTTTTAATTTGCCAATCTTCTCTAGTGTTCCAATTTTAGTATATGTACTGCCGAAGAGAGCACAGGATTGGTGTATTTTTATTTTTTTTTTGAGATAGTCTCTCTCTCTTGCCCAGGCTGGGGTGCAGTGGCACAGTCTCAGCTCACTGCAACCTCTGTCTCCCGGGTTTAAGCGATTCTCCTGCCTCAGCCTCCCAAGTAACTGGGATTATAGGCGCTTGCCACCACGCCCGGCTAATTTTTGTATTTTTAGAAGAGGCAGGGTTTTGCTGTGTTGGCCAGCTGGTCTTGAACTCCTGACCTCAGGTGATGCACCCATCTCGGCCTCCCAAAGTGCTGGGATTACAGGCGTGAGCTACCGTGCCCGGCCTGGTGTATTTTAATTCTCTGTATGTTTTCAGCCCCATAAGACATTACTGTATCCAGTCAATCAATATTCTTTACTCGCATGTTTATAATTTAGTCATCATTTCTTTCTGCATCTCTAAGTTTCTATCTGGGATCATTTCGTTCTGCCTAAAGAATGCTATAGTATTTCCTTTAATGTGGGTCTGTTGGTGATGCATTTCCTTGGTTTTTGTGTGTCTGGAAATGTCTATTTCACCTTTGTTCTAGAATTCTAGATTGGTGGTTATTTTCCTTTCCACGCGTTGATATGATTTTGTTGTGTTCCGACTTCATTGTTTCTGTTGGCAGTTTTGTTCTTATTCCTTTGAAGGCAGCCTGCCTTTGTTTTCCTCTGGCTGCTTTTAGGAGTTTCTCTGTTTTTGGTTTTCTACGGGTTCGTTTAGATGTGTCTTTAAGTGTGAATTTTTTACATACTCTGCTGGGGATCACAGGTCTTGAGCGTGGGGCTTGATGCCTTTCAGTGGTTTCTCTTCGGCGAATCCTCCCCTAGACCATGTGCTGCCTCCACGAGACCATCAGTTTCAAGGGATTAGGGATGTCTGTTTTGACTCCTGCTTTATGTTCCCAGTACCCGGAATAATGCCTGGATATTACCAGTGCAGACCCTTGGTAAATAATGTGGCTACGTTTTACTTGAATTATATTGATTCTGAATGATGTAGCATTAATTGCATTAATAACTCACTTTTTAAGTAATGTAGTTTAAGGTGAGCAATGTGACAAAATGTGAAATGTTGAACATTTTAAGAAAATACAATGCCTTGAAAGCTCCTCATAGTTGTAGAGTATATTCGTGTTACTGCCACCTGGTGGCGCCCTTGCACTGCTCCACAGGTGCCCAGCGCAGTTTGTCAGCACCTTGCGGCTGTTGTCCTTTGTTACACGTTTTCATCATGGAAGGCTTTTGCAATGGCGCATCGCGTATTACATAGGACCACGTGTGTATATTTACACCATAAGTGAATGAAAGCCAAGAGGGGTCCTCCCGTCACACACCTGAGGACACTGGCCCAGAGAGGCATGGGACTTGCCAAAAGTCTTGCAGCAAGGCAGCCGCAGAGCCCTGTTAAAACCTAAGCCTCATGGCTCAGCCCTGGGCTCTGCACCCAGCACTGCATGTGTCCCCTGGAGGTGCTGCCCCTTTTAGTTTCGCCCTGTCCTGGGGACTGGAAGGTAGGGACTTGGGGACTGTGGGCATTTCACCTGCCCCGGCACTTCTGTAAGCCCTACTCTGCTGCTGCCCATGCTGCCATGTCAGGGGCCCCTGGGTGAGGGTCCTGTGTGTGCCTGTGAGGAGACAATGCAAAATCCATGCCTCCATTCAGTCACTATGGCTAGACTGCTCGTTCTGTGCCATGGACCGGGCTCTCATTCAGACACTGCCCCTGGGGATGGCGGCTGTTACATTTGAGCTCCCTGAATGCAGAGATCATGGCATGGACCAGGTTTGTTTGGTCAGCACACACTTAATAGGTACCTTCGCTGTGGTGGCAGCGATGAGCCACATCGGCAGAGTCCGTGTCCCCACAGAGCGTGGCCTTGCAGGATGAGTGACAGTTGGTTGCCAGGTGGACCTGAGCAGGGGGAGGAGGAGGGCTTGGCAGCAGAGGGAGGGACAGTCAGAGCACAGGTGCCGCAGCAGGGGCTGAGCCGGGGTTGCAGGGCCTGTGGCTGGAGCTGGGTCAGGGCTACACTCTGGAGATTCTCGTGCCCTGCTGTCCAAGGCCCCGGCCTTTCCTCTGAAGTTCCCTGAACCTTGAGTGCTGAGCCTGTTCTCTCCGAGGGCTAACATGCCTCCCCTGCCTCTGACCTCGGTTCATGCCCACCTGCCCCTTTCAGCAGGTGGCCAAGGGCTTGCAGATGGCTTCATCCCTGGTTCTCTTGGTGTCACGTGCAGGGACCAGTTGTCTTCCAGAGTCCTGGGCTCCTTGAGGTCCCGGGCTGTTCCTCACCTTGTCTGTCTCTGAGCCCGTGACCTCTCCCTGAATGTGCAGGGGTCTTAGGATGAGGCTGGTGTGCATGGCGGGTTGAGGGGTAATAAGAGGAAGAACTGGGGGGATGTGTGGGGTAGAGGGGTGCTTCTTTCCCATGTCTGTGTTCACAGATGTGGCTCCTAAGGGGAGGTCTTGGGGCTCAGGCCTGTACCCAGCCCACGGTGGAAAGAAGCATGGACTGGGGCTTGGCCGGGAGGGGTAGCGGTAGAGGGGGCTCAGGGCAGGGACTGACCTGCCATCCTCACCTGCATTGGCAGTGACATCCTATACCCCAAGGACTCGTCCAGCCCTCACAGCGGCGTGCCTGCTGAGGTGCTCTGCAGGGGCCGAGACTTCGTTGTAAGTACCTTGGGTTCTCTGGACTCACGGTGGGGGCGTGGGAAGAGGGGGGCAGCGGTGCAGGGCTTCTGAAGACCGGGGCCCGGCAGAGGCTCCAGGTGGAGGCGGGTGTGTGAGGAGGCCCTGGCCTCTGCCTTTCTCCTCCTTCCTCTCAGAAGCCTGGAGTCTCGGGCTGGAAAGAACCTTCCAGTTCCTCTAGCGCAGTCGGGGGGTGGGTCAAGAAGCACGTTTCATTCGGCCTGAGTGGTGGTTTAGAAATATTGCCTTGGTTGTCAGATTTTATAAATTGAAATTTTGATGTAAAAAAAATCTTGATGCTAGACAGATGTCTAGCTGTCAAGGGTAATTGGACTCCCTGACACCCCTGGGGCCACTTCCCCACAAGGCGCTGGCGGTCTCCAGTTCACCACAGTCCCAGGTGCCTTTGCCTCCCTTGTGCCTGTCCCTGGAGTTTGGGACTCCTGAGCTGGTGTCTCCCTTCTTCCCATCACCCCACCCATGGCCTCCCTCCCAAGGCCTGGAACTCCATGCAGCTGGGAGCCACAGTCTTCCTAGGCTTGGTGCTGGCTGAAACGTGCTGCCCAGGAGCTGTCCCACACCCCTTGGCACGCTGGTGTGCCGTCCCAGTCACAAGGCAGCCCTTAAGCTGAAGGAAGCATCTGCCTCTTCTCTTCCTGAAGGAGCCTCCCCAACTCCTCTGGGCAGTCGGTGTCCAGGTGCCCGAGCAGCATCTTTGCTCCTAGGGGTCAGCATGTAACAATCACCACTCCCAGGCTTGCCTCCCCAGATACAGTGCCGTTTGCCCCCAGCTGCCCCTGCCCGCCCCGCTCCAGTGTGTAGACACTGTCAGAACTGGCGGCTTGGTGGGGGTGTGGTCCAGTCTATGTTAGCGTAGGTGATAGTCATCCATTCCCTGTGTCTCTCAGCCAGCCACCCTTCTCTCTCCCAGTCACCCCACAAATCTAATCAGAGTGCAGGGGAGCTGTTGAGGCAGAGTGGGGGCTGCAGGGGGCTGAGAGCTTCTGGAAGGATGGGCGGCCTCCAACCAGCCATTAGCAGCCACCACTGTGAAGTGCCGCCTATGCAGACAGCGTGTGTCTGTGGGAGCCCCTCCCAGCCCGAGTCCTCATCGTATCCTCGGAGCTGGGCAGGGCATCCCCAGGGAGCGCTGTGGTCTAGGTGGGGTGGGATGGTCCCATGGTCCCCTTGGAAGAGATGGGCCTGGAGCTCCTTTATGGAGGAGAAAAGGAGGGAGGTGCAGAGCTGAAGGGACTGCCTGAGGCCACACTGTTGGGAAGAATCAAGGCCAGGAGCCTAGGACTGTCCCAGGCTCCAGCTCCCAGGCCTGCCAGGTGAGTTCCCGGGACAGTCCTGGGAGCAGTCCGTGGCCGCCCCTGGAATGTGCTGCTTCTTCTCCCTCAGATGTGGAAGTTCACGCAGAGCCGCTGGGTGGTTAGGAAAGAGGTGGCAACCGTGACCAAAGTAAGTGGCGTTTTTGTGGTCTGAGGCCCAGGCTGCTGCTGGAGGGGAGGGGGCTGGCTGTGCCTCACGCTGGGCCCCCTCCCCTCCAGCTCTGCGCCGAGGATGTGAAGGACTTCCTGGAGCACATGGCCGTGGTGAGGATCAACAAAGGCTGGGAGTTCATTCTGCCTTATGATGGGGAGTTCATCAAGAAGCACCCGGATGTGGTCCAGCGGCAGCACATGCTGTGGACGGGTATCCAGGCCAAGTAAGCACCCTGGGCCAGGGAGGGGCAGCCCGGTGATCCCAGCAACCCTGCATCCTGGGGAGCACTGTCAGGGTGGATCCGAGCAATCTCTAGAAACCCCACATCTGGGGAGAGCGCAGTTGGGCTGGATCTGGGTGTGAAGGGCAGGTGGGGGTCCGCAGGCCCCACGCTCCTCACCCACACTGATAGGCATTGCTGGCTGATCCCACCATCCTTTCAGCACAGGACACACAGCCAGTACCTGCTCATCAGGGTGGCCGTGCTCTGAGGGCTCAGGGAAGAGGGATGTGATGGAGAGAGGGAGCACTCAGGAGCAAGAGCTGGGGCCTGGGGACCAGAGGGGTGTTGGCAGAAGACTGATGGGGTCTGGGTGGTCCTGGGGCTGTGCACTCTGCCAGAAGAGGGACTCAGTAGGGCTGGCTGAGCTCCAAGCCTGCGCTGTCAGTAACCAGCGTGTCCTGGGGCCTAAGGGGTGGTTGTTTCTCTTGTGAAGCAGATGGTAGGGGACGTGGTTTAAAGTTAATGGGGTTACTCTTCTTTTCAGACTGGAAAAAGTCTATAATCTTGTAAAGGAAACCATGCCAAAGAAGCCGGATGCACAATCAGGTGTGTGAGGGGCTTTGGGCTGGGAGGCCCCGGCTCCTACACTGTGGCTCCGGAAGGGCTGCTGTGCTAGAGCTTGTCAGGCCCGGACCTGGAGAGGGTGGAGGGCTCTCACCGTTCACCCTTCACCCTCCTTCCTTTCCTGCCACCCACAGACCGCAGCTGGTCGCTTGCCCAGCAGCAGAGCCTCAGGGACGGAGGCTTGCGGATTCCAGGGCTGAGTCTGGGTTCCAGGTCTCTGAGGCTCACTCACCCTCTTGGGTCAACAAGCGGGCCCGGAAGAGCTGCTGGGGGGAGGAACTCAGCAGCACCCTTCCCCGCATGACTCTCGGCACGCTGGGACGGTTCTCTCTTCCACTGATGGGGTGGCTGATTTTCGAGAAAGGTTGGGGATGAGACCAGGACGGGACCACTTGCTGCAGCCCCGCGGTCCCCTGCTGGGCTTTTGGCTTCAGATCCCTGTGCCCTCCTGAGCAGTGCTGCCTCCCTCCCCGCAGGGCCTGCCGGGCTGGTCTGTGGGGACCAGCGGATCCAAGTAGCCAAAACCAAGGCCCAGCAGAACCACGCGTTGCTGGAGCGGGAGCTGCAGCGGCGGAAGGAGCAGCTGCGGGTGCCTGCGGTCCCGCCCGGTGTGCGGATCAAGGAGGAGCCCGTGAGCGAGGAGGGCGAGGAGGACGAGGAGCAGGAGGCGGAGGAGGAGCCCATGGACACTTCCCCCAGCGGCCTCCACAGCAAGCTGGCCAACGGGCTGCCTCTCGGGCGGGCTGCGGGCACAGACAGCTTCAACGGGCACCCGCCCCAGGGCTGCGCCAGCACCCCTGTGGCTCGGGAACTGAAGGCCTTCGTGGAGGCCACCTTTCAGAGACAGTTTGTGCTCACGCTGAGCGAACTCAAGCGCCTCTTCAATCTGCACTTGGCCAGCCTGCCCCCCGGCCACACACTCTTCAGCGGCATCTCGGACCGCATGCTACAGGACACGGTGCTGGCCGCCGGTTGCAAGCAGATACTGGTGCCTGTAAGTAGAGCCCTGCCTGCCAGGGGCATGGGGGGTGGGGGGTGGGGAGAACCAGCTGTTGGGAGGCCACGTGGGGACACGGGAGGCCATGCTTGGTGAGCATCTGCTCTCACGTGGGCCTAGGTGTGACATGGGCAAGTCAGCCTCTCTGAGGCTCTATTCTCATGAAATGGGATCATGTTGGGTTTTATGTCACAGGACTGTGGTAGGGGCTAAATACGGTGTCTGAAGGCCCGGCCTATTGCCTGGCCTGCAGCAGGGCCTAGTGAAACAGGGCCCCTGCCTGGTTTCTCACCCTGTCCCCCACCAAGAACACCTGTTTCCTACTAGCTTTGCCATTGTTTGGAATGATTTAACTTCTAAGATCGTTTGATCTTCTTTGCAATCTGCAGATGAAGAAACTGAGGCTCCAAGGAATGAAATGTACGTTTAAAGGTCACTACCTAGGAGGTAGTAGAGCTGGAATTTGGACCTCAGTATAGTGGCCTGGAGTTTTGAATCCTTTCTGCTCAGCTAAGATGAGCTGCTTCCCCACAGCTGCGCCACGCCCCAGCTTGGGCCTGGGTCCTGGCGGCCTCCCTGTGCATCAGAAGCAAGCTGACCAGCTCAGCGCTGTGCTCTCAGCACTTCCAGTGCCAGGCCTTGAGTGTGGTATTGCAAGCCTCCTGCCCCTTCCCCCTGGGCTGCTTTTCTGTCACTGGGAGGGGCCCTGACGGGGGAGCAGAGTGCTTGCTGGGGACCGTTTCCCTGCGCTGAGGATAGAGAGCGCCAGGTGCTGCCTGAGGCACGCCTTTCCCGTGCTCCTTTTCCACAAGGCTCTGCCCAGACCTGGCAGCAAAATGGGGTGAGGTGGGGCTGTGGTGGTCTCTAAGAAAGCATTGATGTTTTCATTGCCAAGGTCAGGAGCGGGCCTGCAGCCTTGGGTGATGATCTGAGGCCAAGGCCCATCCCTGTGTATGAGGAATAGAAACTAGGACAGGAGGCCTTGTGGAGCCTAGGCTGTCTCAGGGGATCGGCCCTGCTGGCAGGCAGCCCCCTGTGGGAGGTACTGGCAGAGTTCGGAGCTCCTGCCCACCCAGCACATGGGTCTGGGTCTCCACAAGCTCACCTTTCTTCATGAGCTGGGCCAGGACAGGCAGGACACCTGCCTGACATTAGTTGTTTTGGGCCGCTGGAGTGGACAGAGGTGAGGGGTGGGACATGGCCACCCTCAGACACCCTCACCCCTCCTTCCGGACCCCCTCTGTCCATGTTGCTTTGGGGTGGGGCCAGCGTCTCCAGGAGACACCATGGCCCTAACTGTAATGCTCTCCTTGCCATCCTGACAAGGAGACTGTATTGTAGTCACATCCAAGACGTAAGAGACCTCCGATCCCAGCCACCTCTGTGTTGTACATGAGGGAGCTGAGGTCCAGGGCAAGTGAATAGATCGAGAACTTGACTTGAACTCCTGGTTCTGCTGCTTATTAGCTGTGTGACCATGGACAGTGAGCAAACCTCTCTGAGCTTACTTTTCCCCATGTACTACCTCCCCAGTTTCTAATGCTCAAATGCAAATGTGTATTGGAGGCCTCACAGGGCTTTTACTGGTAGTAACCATTATTGCTACTTGTGTGATGGAACCAGGACTGGAAACTACCATCCCAGATGCCCCCTCCCCTGTCCCCTTCTCTCCAGGACCCAGGCCTGTGTCACACTTGTCCTGGTCTACCTTTGGACCAAGTGGCCTGGATTGCTTGGGAGTCAGGCAGTGCCTCTAACCCACACTGACATGGTACATGTGGGAAGCAGTTGAAAAGAACCCCCAGGGTACCCCAAGAGTTATGGGGAAGGGGGCGCCCCTCCATCAGGGTTGGCATCTTCAGGAGGGAGGACTCTGGGTGTTAAAGCACAGTTGAGTTGGTGCCAGGCTGATGGGAAACAGACGCAGCTTCCCCACTGTACGGAGGATATCTGCAGACTCGAAGCCGGGCATTTCACTGGGCCCATCACACTCCCCCTCTCGCTGAAGCCCTGTCAGGCCCTGGGGGGTGTGCTGGCCTCCTCCCCATGGTGAGGTGAGAGGCACAGGTTTGTGGCTGCCCAAGGCCCTCAGAGATGGTGAGTAGCAGAAGCTGGGATTGGAACCCATGTTCCTGCATCTGGGCTGGGGCAGACAGGGAGGGATGAGGCAAGCAAATGGATCCATGGGGTAGAGATGGACAAGCAACTCACCCCTGGGCCTTGGTCAGTTTCCCCCCCAGACTGCTGCTTCCCCGGATGAGCAGAAGGTGTTTGCCCTCTGGGAGTCTGGAGACATGAGTGATCAGGTGAGGTGAACTTTGCTGCCATCTTCCCGAAGAGCCAGGGGGGTTTCCTGCAGCGTTGGAGGCCTTGGGGGACATGTGCACCCAAAGTGCAGCCACACATTTCAGATTTTCTGGCACACTCGGTTTTAAATATCCTGCTCCAACTCTGTACGCTAACAAAATAAGCTGTATGTGCCAATAGTTTGAACCTAAACCAGTGGTTCCCAGATGCCAGTCTGTGAGCCAGCTCCATCAGAATCATCTTTTAAAAAATACAGGCTGGGCGTAGTGGCTCACGCCTGTAATCCCAGCACTTTGGGAGGCCAAGGTGGGTGGATCACCTGAGGTTGGGAGTTTGACACCAGCCTGACCAATATGGTGAAACCCCATCTCTACTAAAAATGCCCATAGTCGTGGGAGGCTGAGACAGAATTGCTTGAACCTGGGAGAGAGAGGTTGCAGTGAACCGAGATTGCACCACTGCACTCCAGACTGGGCGACAGAGCAAGACTGTGTCTCAGAAAGAAAAAAAAAAAAAACATAGATTCAGTTCTGTTCAGTAGGTATGCGGTACTGTCCTAGGTATCTGAATTTCTGTAAAGCTTCCTGAGCAACTCTGATCCAGCCAGGCTTATAGAGCACTGGTGAAGCACATTTCTCAGGCGGCCTCTGGCAGCAGGAATCAAAAGGATTCCTTGTCAGATGTCAGGTCCTGGACTTTTAGGTTAAAGAAATTGGTCATTTTGCCTCTAGTCATACTGTGATGGGGAGGGTCACAGGTGTCCAGTGCCCAGAAATGTGAGTGGAAGCAGCAGCGCCTTGCGTGTGTGTGGTGTAGTCATGGACCCTGCATCCCAGCTTTTCTTAGGCCGTGAACGTACCTAATTTGATGGTCGAAACGCCAGTCGGTCTGACCGTGTCTAGGCCCTGCTCCTAAGGTGTGGGGAGAAGGGAGTCAGCAGAAATCCCACTGAGCTCTCTGTCCCCAGCTGCCTCTTAGGGGAGCCAACTGGCAGGCTGAGGATCTAAGGGGCTGGGGCCTTTTCCTGAGCAAGCTTGAGTGCTTTTGTCCAGAATAGAGGGTATCTGAAATACTTTGATAACAAAAAGGCAAAAAAACAAAAGTCATAAATGCAGATTTTTAAACATCAAATCAGACTAGAAGTTTTAATAGGAAAGCTCTTGCACTGCTGGACCTGACTGCCACCCCTCAGAGGTGACCACTTTTATTACTACTTTTTTAATAGAAACAGGGTCTCACTATGTTGGCCAGGCTAGTCTTGAACTCCTGGCCTCAAGCAGTTCTCCTGCCTCAGCCTCCCAAAGTGCTAGGATCATAGGCATTTACATCACCAAAAGATACCACTAAAATAGCTGCCCCCATTTAAAAAAAAAAATCAGCCTGTCATTAGCAATGGGCTTCCCATTGTGGTGGATGAGATTTAGCTCTCAACTATTTTAGGAGACTGTAGAGATAGATATGTTACGCCAGTTTTTTTTTTTTTTTTGAGATAGATAGCGTCTTGCTCTTGCTCTTGCTCTGTCATCTAGGCCTGGAGTGCAGTGGTGCCATCTCAGCTCACGCCTCTTGCGTTCAAGCGATTCTTGTGCCTCAGCCACCCGGGTAGCTGGGATTACGGGCTTGTGCTGCCTCACCCAGCTAATTTTTGTATTTTTAGTAGAGATCGCGGTGGTAGGGGTCGGGGGGTGGTCCCACCATGTTGGCCAGGCTGGTCTCGAACTCCTGGCCTCAAATGATCTGCCTGCCTTGGCCTTCCAAAGTGCTGGGATTACAAGCGTGAGCCACCACACCAGGCCTTTACCTCTTTTTAATTGGCTATCATTGTTTATAGCATTGTCACAGAATGAACTGAAAATCTATCCATTGTAGAGCCAAACATCAGTAATATACTATGATTGCATTTCCTTGTTCACTGCTTCCTGTTTTCACTTGTGTAATTTTCTGAACACATGTGTACCGAGGGTGATACTTTGCTTAATTAAGCCTGGTTCCCGGGAAGCCTCTCCCTCTGCTTCTCCAGTGAGACTCGCTCTTCCCCATGTCTGTTGCTGAATTCTGGAATCTCTGCTTCTTCCTTGCTTTAGCTTCTGAAGAGACAGAGGAGTTGTCTGCATTCTTTCATGTCTTAAAATGGATTACAATACAGTATTACTGTTTGTCTGGGACTAGAATTTTAAGAGGCAAAGGATACTTCATGTAGCAGTCAGCTGTTTACATGAACCATAGCAAAAAAAAAGGAGAATCAAATCCATCTCCTCTTAATGTTTGCAGAAAGATGCAAACAAAACCAGCTAAGTATGGAACAATGTGTGAGGTTATCAAAGTTTCTATTTTTACGTGATCAAATGATTTGCCTCTCAAAATTCTAGTCCTAGACAAATAGTGATACATGAAGCATCCTTTTTTTTTTTTTTTTTTTTTTTTTTTTTTTTTTGAGACAGAGTCTCCCTCTGTCAGCCAGGCTGGAGTGCAATGGCACGATCTCGGCTCACTGCAACCTCCGCCTCAGCCTCCTGAGTAGCTGGGATTATAGGCGTGTGCCACCACGCGTGGCTGATTTTTGTATTTTTAGTAGAGACGGAGTTTCACCACGTTGGACAGGCTGGTCTCGAACTCCTGACCTCAGGTAATCCGCCTGCCTCGGTCTCCCCAAGTGCTGGGATTGCAGGCGTGAGCCTCTGCGCCCGGCATGAAGCATCTTTAAGAGAGTTTCCATTGTTTAAGTTTTCAGAGTTGTTGAAATTCCATAACATTCTCCTTCTTGGTCTTTTAAATTTGGCCTGTATTCTTTCCTTTATGCCAAACTGCAGAATTTTTCATTATTCTGTATATCAGTCAGTGCCATTTCAGCTGTGCCCTGGTGCGGGTCATTATTGTACTAGACAATTGAGTTCTTATAAAATCCTGTGAGTTGTTACTTTTTTTTGTTTTTTTCAGAATTCTTATGACAGATATTAGACATACTGAATCCAATCTTTTCCATTTTTATTTTGGGGTGTAACGTATTTTACGGCATCCTGTTTCATGGATGCAGTGGCATGTTTGTGCATTAAGACTTCACACCAATTTTGACACCCTCTTCTCATCTCCGTGCAGCTTAGATTGTCGCTTCACCTGCTTGCTAAGTCCGATGCACGCCTGCATTTTACCATGCAGAAATATGTTCAAGCCACTCATCCTCTCATGTCTCTTCACCAGTTCTTTTGTTATGCTGGCATATACCTTTGTTTTTATTTATATTCAAGTTTCCAGACATAGCATTAATGCCTTTACTTTTGTGTTTTTATTTCTGTACACTGTCTTGCTGGGTCTCTAGAGATGACTTGGCTCATCTTTAACCAGAGGTGCTGCGTGAGGGTTTTTATCAGAGACTGCAACACAAAGTCAGGTGCATGGCTTGGGTGTCTTGTTTGGGGATGTTTCTCTTTTTAGATCACTGTTTCCCATCATAACGTGTTTTTGCTACTAAAGCATCGACAGGTTTTGCTTGAAATTTTTTCCAAAAATTACCGGGTACGCCGAAACATGATCCAGTCTCGGTTGACTCAAGAGTGTGGAGAAGATCTCAGTAAACAGGAGGTGGATAAAGTACTAAAGGTACATCCATTTTGTGCATAACAAACAATATCAAAGGCTCTGGAAGGGGCTGACAGTGTGTAGAAGGGACTCTAGTGTCTTTGTGTATATGAAATCAGGCTTCCTTGGGACCACTCCCCAGTCAGTCTTGTCTTGAGCAACTGTTAATGATTGATTGATTGGCATTGGTTGGGGAAGGGGGTATGTGCCAGAGGACTGACCCCTTCAAACAATATAGTCACAGTGGTGTCCAAGGGAAAGAATACAGCCATGGATGCTTTGTTTCTCTTTCTGGTTGGGCCAGGCCAGTAATGCCCCTTTCATCCCTCTTCTCTGCTTGTCACTAGAGACAGAAACTAAAAACCATGGCTTCAGGCTGCTAAGAGCCTAAAACAATAGAACAACAAAAAAATATGGTAGGTTGGATGAGCTTGGCAGTGGGTAGGCGTCTTCTAAAATGATAGGGCCTAGTTGAGAATCCTCACTCTACTCTCCCTTGAATTTTGAACTATCTTCTGATTGTTGCCATAGCCACACACATGACTTTCAGTAGAATCCATTCTTAAATTTAGTTTAAAAAGGAATATGATCTGTTTACTATATGAAAGCACCTAATGTACAACCTATAATGCTTTTCTGAAGTGACTGTAGTACAAATACCAACCATATTTGCAGCAACACTGAGAGACAGAAAACTGATGACAATGTCTTGTTTTGATTAAACATCCAGAGCCATATAAGTAATACTGTTTTTTAAGCACCCTTGTTCTGGGCATGTCAGTATCTGTATTTCGTAGACCCCCTTTTTTTTTTTTTTTTTTTTTTTGAGATGGAGTTTTGCTCTTGTTGCCCAGGCTAGAGTGCAGTAGCACAATCTCGGCTCACCGCAACCTCTACCTCCCAGTTTCAAGCAATTCTCCTGCCTCAGCCTCCTAAGTAGCTGGGATTACAGGTGTGAGCCACCATGCCTGGCCCACCCTCACTTTTAAAATGCCCCTGAGGAATGGCCAGGCGCGGTGGCTCACACCTGTAATCCCAGCGCTTTGGGAGGCTGAGGTGGGTGGGTCACTTGAGGTCAGGAGTTTGAGACCAGCCTGACCAACATGGAGAAACCCCATCTCTACTAAAAATACAAAATTAGCCAGGCGTAGTGGTACATGCCTGTAATCCCAGCTACTTGGGAGGCTGAGGCAGGAGAATCGCTTGAACCTGGGAGGCAGAGGCTGCAGTGAGCCAAGATCATGCCGTTGCACTCCAGCCTGGGTAACAAGAGCAAAACTCTGTTTCAAAAAAAAAAAAAAACACTACCCCTGAGGAAAGGGTGGCTGGTAGTAGCCATGGTGGTATGGTTAGGCAGTTTTTGATTTCCCATTTGTATTCTATTCACTAATCATAAATCGAGTGTTGACATTGTGGACAGAATGTAATTAGCTCCTTTTCCTGCAAAAATCTGTGCTTACCCTGTTTCTCTCTCATAGGACTGCTGTGTAAGCTATGGTGGCATGTGGTACCTTAAAGGGACAGTACAGTCTTGACAATAGTAGCAAACTACTAACCCAGCAAATCTAAGCCCAAGGAAGAAGGGCGGAACCAGAAGTAGGGCCTCGACTTGCTTCAGACGACACAGAGCAAGAGGAACTGACCATCTCATGACCTGTGGCATTGCACGGTGCAGTGGACAGAAGGGATTATCCTCAGCCAGTCGCAGGGTCAGCTTAAGTTAGTTAGATCACTCCCAGAAGAGACCAGCTGGGACCTTCTTTGCAGTACAATTTGAAATTCCTGATGTATTTTGCTTATTATTTGGTTTCATTCTCATAATAAAGAGAGTGTATACTGACATGGGCAGGATGATAAAAATCATGGTTTAATATTTTCTTTTGTAAACTTAATGCCAACAAGGTCTAAGTTATGTTTACAACATGAAGAAAACCTCAAAGTTCTTAATTTTTAAAATGCCTAGAAGACAATATTTAGTCTTGGATTATCTATCTGCTAAGACCTCCACCAATTTCATTAAACCAAATTGAATTATTCTATTCTTGGGATTCTGTGGCCACTTCACCTTTGACAACAACCTACTTTATGTAGCAGTCTCAACTGTTTACATGAACCATAGCAAAAAAATCAGAATCAAATCCATCTCCTTTTAATGTTTGCAGAAAGATGCAAACAAAACCAGGTAAGTATGGAACAATGTGTAAGTGAGGTTATCACACTTTGATGTAAAAATTTCTATTTTGTGTATTTTTAAAATAAATGCAAACACTAAACTAGCATCATGGTGCTATCTTCAAATGGTTACAGGAAGGCGATCTTGTTGGGCTCAGCGTTACGTGTATCTAGAGGGAACGGAGCTAATGGAGGAAGACAGAGCAGCACTGTCCACTAGAAAGAGGCGAGTCACGTACATAATTTTGAAAGTTTCTAGCAACCACATTAGTTTAAAAAGGTCATGTTAGCATATTATTTAGCTCAAAATATCTAAAACATCAACATAAGGTAAAAGTCTTCAAAATCTGGCATTTTACACTTTCCTCAACACTCAGTTTGGACTAGCCACATCATAAGTGCTCCGATGCCACATGGGGCTATTTGCGACAGTATTGGATAGCACAGCCCTAGAAACTGATGGAAAAAATAAGAGTAAGCTAGGTTGGATGACATGTGAATTTTGGTATCTAGATAAGGCTTTCGCCATCTTTTTTGTACAACACAGTCACTAATTGTCTGAAGGTTTAAATGACGGTCTATGCTATTTCCCCACTCCCCCCAAAATAAAACATCTAATATTTTAGCTATAGAATCACTAAGGCATTGATCAAGGATGTACTTTGCCAAATAAGTATTTGGTAACATCACTTAACAAGTTGATCGTGTATTGATTCTGTTAACATATGTGAACCTGAAAAGTAAAGTTACCAAAAGCGATTTGGAATATGTCTCAGCTTTTCCATCCTACTTCCTTCTCACTTTGAAAGGGGAAATGCTCATGTGGGACGGCACAGAATGTTAGTCCCATCACCTTGCAGAACTTAATTGGCTCAGTGGAGAAGTCAGAGCCTTAAATACTTTACATTGATAAAAAGAACTGGTTAAAACACCAAACTCAAATAGCAAGAAAAAGAAACAAGGAATATAGGAGGGAACTATTGTTTTAAAAAAAATTGAGGGAACTTGGGATGTCAGAATAGGACTTTCCAGCACTCATCCCCCTGCAGAAACATGAATTTAAACAACTGTCCACACACAAAAATACCTTCACAAGAGTTAAGGAACCTCTAGAGATTACAGCACCTTGGTGTACCACAGAAATAAGATGTACTAAAGAGGATAGGAGGGACAATTTTACATTACCTAGCTTACCCCCTCCCCAGCCCCAGGCAGCACAGGGTGGAGAGAGAGAGAGAGAGAGAGAGAGAGACCCTCTACTTGGAGGAAGGAGAACATTGGACCCCAAAATCATGCCAGCCCCAGACTCCAGGCCTGCGCCAGGAACACAGGCTCTAAGCATACCCACTGCCAGGCCTGCACCCATGAGCTCACACTCTAGCAGGCACCCCCTCCCCACCCTGGTCCAGCCCCATCTGAGTAAACCCCAGCACTGGGCTGGCCCTCACAGACTAGGCTCCAATATCCCCTGCAGCCCCAGGTTCTAGGCCAGCCCCCATGGCCCCAGGATCCAAGCGAGCCCTCAGAGACTAATCTCCAGGCCAGTATCTATATACCCCTGGCTCCAGGCTGATCTATATGCCCCCATGCCAGCACCCACAATCCCAGGCTCCAGTACAATACCCCTGGACCCAAGGTCCATGTGTGCCTCAGCACCAGGCTCCAGTGGACCCAGGTTCCAGGCACATACCTCAGTAAGCCTCAATGCCAGGCATGCCCTGGCGGACTGAGGCTCCAGAACAGTCCCTATGGACCCAGAACCTAGGCCCACCCCTGCAGGTTTTTAGGCTTCAGGTCAGCTCCCTGGATGCAGGCTCCAGGCCTGCCCTTGTGGACTCAGGCTCTGGTTGTACCCCTGCAGACCCAATCAACTGGCCCACTCCACTGGACCTACGTTCCAGGATTAATCCTATGCATGCAAGCACCAGGCTCATCCATCTGCTGACCTAGGTACTAGGTCAGCCTGCTCAAGGACTCCAGCAACAAGCCTGCCCACAGAAGACCACACCAGACAACTTGCCCAGAATCTCTGAATGGGCTCACTGGTAAACGGCTGTTCCAGGCAAAGTCAGACTGCAAAGATTAGAATCAGTCCTTACCACTTCATCCAATGTACAGACATCAACATATGACCACAAGGATCAAGAACAATCAGGGAGACATGCTATCACCAAAGTAACAAAATAAAGCACCAGAAATCTACCCTAAAGAAATGGAGATTTATGAACTGCCTGACAACTCAAAATAGTTTTAAGGAAGTTCAGCAAACTTCAAGAAAATACACAGATATAACTCAACAAAATAAAGAAAACCAAATCAAGAAACCTAATAGATTGAAGTTATATATTTTTTACAAACCATTCTGAAGCTGAAAAATAATATGAATGAAATGAAAAATGGAATAGTGAGCATCAACAGAATTGATCAAGCAGAGAATCTATGAACTCAAAGACAGATTATTTGAAAATATAGCCAGAAGAACAAAAAGAATGAAAAGGAATGAAGAAAGCTTAAGGGATTTATAGGACAGCATCAAAAGAGCAAATATTTGAGTTATAGAAGTTCAGTAAGGAGAAGAAAGAAATAAATCACAAAATAGTAGCAGAAAACCTTCCAGATCTGGAGAAAGATATAAATATCCAGGTATAAGAGTATCAAAAGTCTCCAATCAGATTCAGTATGAACAAAACTATACCACGACACATTATAATGAAATTGTCAAAAATCAAAAGACAAAGGGGAAGATCCTAAAAGCAGCTAGAGAAAAGAAGCAGATCACATATAAGGGAGTTCCAATAAGGCTAGCACTTCTCAGCAGAAACCTTACAGGCCAGGAGAGAGTAGGATGATATATTCAGAGTGCTAAAGGAGAACAAATTGCCAACCATGAATACTTTATCCAGCAAAACTTCAGAAATGGAGAAAAAGACATTCCCAGACAGACAAAAGCTGAAGCATTTCATCATCACCAGCTCTGTGTTTACAAAAAAATGTGAAAGGGAGTTCAAGCTGGTAGAAAAGGATGTTAATTAGTAACATGAAAACATATGAAAGTATAAACCTGGTAAAAGCATAATGTCAAACTCAAGAATACTCTAATACTGTAATGGTGGTATATATATTGCTTATCTTTAGTATAAAGGTTAAAAGATAAAACTATTAATAGCTAATTTGTTAAGGGATACAAAATATAAAACTTGTAAATTGTGACCTCAAAAACAAAATGTGGGAGAGAGAATAAAGTATAGTTTTTAATGCAATCAAAGTTATCTGCTTAAAATAGTCTGCTATCACTGTGTTTTACATAAGCTTCATGATAACCACAAAGCAAAAACCTATAGCAGATATGCAAAAGATAAAAAGGAATCAAAGCATACCTCTAAAGAAAATAAATCACAAAGGAAGACAGTAAGAGAGAAACAAAGGATCTACAAAACAACCAGAAAACAACAAAATTGCAGTAGTAACTCCTTACCTACCAACAGGGATAGGTAAGGAGTTACTACTGTGAATGTAAATGGATTAAATTCTCCAATCCATTTACTGTGAATGTAAATGGTTTAACTCTTCCATAATCCAAAAACGGAGTGGCTGGATTAAAAAAAAAAAAAAGATCTAACTATATGCTGCCAAAAAGTGTCTCATTTAACCTGTAAGGGACACATAGAGACTGAAAGTGAAGGAATGGAAAATGGCATTTCATGCAAATAGAAACCAAAAGAGAACAAGAGAGCTATACTTACATTAGATAAAACAAACTTTAAGTCAAAACTGTAAAATGAGACAAGGTCACAGTATAATGATAAAGGGGTCACTTAACAACTGTAAATATTCACTCAATATCTGAGCACCTAAATATAGAAAGCAAATATGAATAGCTCTGAATGGAGAGACAGACTGTAATACAATAATAGTAGGGGATTTCAATATCCCACTTTCAGTAATGGACAGATCAAGGCCAAAAAAAAAAAAAAAATCAATAAGAAAGCATCAGATTTTACACATTAAACAAAATGGACCTACCATATACAGGAGATTCCATCCAACAGCAGAATACACATTCTTCTCGAGCATACATGGAATATTCTCCAGGACAGATCATATATTAGGGCGGTATCTTTTCTGACCACAATGGTATGAAACTAGAAATCAGTAACAGGAGGAATTTCAGAAAATTTACAAATACGTGGAAATTAAACATGCTCCTGAACAACAAATAGGCCAATGAAAAAAACTAAAAGGAAAAATTTTAAAAATATCTTGAGACAAAAATGGACACAAAACATGAAATACAACAAAAGCAGCTCTGAGACAGAAGTTTATAGCAATCCCCACCCACATCAGAAAGAAAAGACTTCAGATAAACAACCCAATGTTACACCTCAAGGCACCAGGAAAATAAAAAGAACTAGGCCCAGTTAATAAAAGGAAATAGGCCAGGTGAGGTGGCTCACACCTGTAATCCCAGCACTTTGGGAGGCCAAGGTGGGCAGATCACCTGAGGTCAGGGGTTTGAGACTAGCCTGACCAACATGGAAAAACCCCATCTCTACTAAAAATGCAAAAAAATTAGCCATGTATGGTGACACGCTCCTATAGTCCCAGCTACTCGGGAGGCTGAGGCAGAAGAATCGCTTGAACCTGGGAGACGGAGGTTGCAGTGAGATGAGATTACGCTACTGCACTCCAGCCTGGGTAACAGAGCAAGACTCCATCTCAAAAATACATACATATATACATAAATGGAAATAATAAAGACCAGAGCAAGACTACGTCTCAAAAATAAATAAAAGAAAGGAAATAGTAAAGACCAGAGCTGAAAAAAATGAAAAGATCAACAAAATTCAGTTGGTTTCTTGAAAAGATAAAATTGACAAACTTCTAGCTAAGAAAAAATAGAGAAGACTCTCATAGAATTAGAAATGGAAAAAGATAATCCCAGCACTTTGGGAGGCCAAGGCAGGTGGATCACCTGAGGTCAGGAGTTTGAGATCAGCCTGGTCAATATGGTGAACCCCATCTCTACTAAAAAATACAAAAATTTGCTGGGCATGGTGGCAGGCACCTGTAATCCCAGCTACTTGGGAGGCTGAGGTAGGAGAATCACTTGAGCCTGGGAAGGGAATGTTGTAGTGAGCTGAGATCCCACCACTGCACTCCAGCTTGGGCGATAAGAGTGAGACCTTGTAAGAAAGAAAGAAAGAAAGGAAAGAAGGGAGAGGGAGAAGGGAAGACATTACAACTGATTCCATAGAAATACAAAGGATCAGGCCAGGCACGGTGGCTCATGCCTGTAATCCCAGCACTTTGGGAGGCCAAGGTGGGCGGATCACTTGAGGTCAGGAGTTTGAGACCACCCTGGTCAAAGTGGTGAAACCCTGTCTCTACTAAAAATACAAAAAATTAGCCAGGCATGCTAGCAGGTTCCTGTAATCCCAGCTACTTGGGAGGCTGAGGCAGGAGAATCACTTGAACCCGGGAGGCAGAAGTTGCAGTGAGCCAAGACCATGCCATTGCACTCTAGCCTAGGCAACATGAGCAAAACTCCATCTCGAAAAAAAAAAATTAGCTGGGTGTGGTGGTACATGCCTGTAATCTCAGCTACTTGGGAGGCTTAGGTGGGAGAATTGCTGGAACCCGTGAGATGGAAGTTGCAGTGAGCCAAGATCACGCCACTACACACTCCAACCTGGGAGACAGAGCAAGACTCTCTGTCTCAAAAAAAAAAAAAAAAAAAAAAAAAGAGAAAAGAAAAGAAATACAAAGGATCCTAAGAGACTACCATAAAAAATTACCAGCAAACTGGATAACCTACAAGAAATGGATGAGTTCCTAGACACATACAGCCTACCAAGACTGAATCACAAAGACACCGAAAATCTGACCAATGAGTAAGAAGGTTGAATCAATAATTTTAAAAAGTCTGCCATCAAAGAAAAGCCCAGGACCTGGTGGCATCATTGCCGAATTCAACTAAACATTTATGGAAAACTACTACCTATCTTTCTGAAACTTCCAAAAATTTGATGAAGAGGAATACTTTCAAACTAATTTTACAAGGCCAGCACTACCCTGATATCAAATCCAGACAAGGACACTATAAGAAAAGAAAATTAGGCCGAGCACAGTGGCTCATGCCTGTAATCCCAACACTGCGAGGCCAAGATGGGCAGATCACCTGAGGTCAGGAGTTTGAGAACATCCTGGCCAAAATGGTGAAACCCCGTCTCTACTAAAAATTAACCGAGAGTGGTGGCGCATGCCTGTAATACCAGCTACTCAGGAAGCTGAGGCCGGAGAATCGCTAGAACCTGGGTGGCGGAGGTTGCAGTGAGCCAAGATCGCGCCACTGCACTCCAGCCTGGGCGACAGAGCGAGACTCCACCTAAAAATATAAAGAAAGAAAGAAAGAAAGAAAATAAAAGCAAATTAGACCAATATCCTTATATCCTTGATGAACACAGCTGCAAAAACCTCACCAGAACTAGCAAACCAAATTCAGCACATTAAAAGGCTCATTCACCAGGATCAAGTGGGATTTATCCCAGTCTGGGCAATATAGCAAAACCCCATCTCTGCAAAAAAAAAAAAAAAAAAAAATTTTTTTTTTTTAATTAGCCAGGTGTGGTGCTGTGTGCCTATTGTCCCAGCTGCTTGGAAAGCTGAGGCAGGAGGACTGCTTGAGCCCAGGAGTTTGAGACTGCAGTGAGCTATGACCACCACTGCACTCCAGCCTGAGTGACAGAGTGAGACCCTGTCTCCAAAACAAAGTTGGATTTATCCCTGGGATGCAAGGATGGTTCAATGGTTCAACATATGCAAATCAATAATTGTGATACACCACATTAACAGAATGAAGGACAAAAACCATATAATCTTCTCAATAGATGCAGAAAAAGCATCTGAAAATTAACAACCATTCATGATTAAAAAATCAACAAACTAAGTATAGAAGGAATGCCCACTCTTACCTCTTCCATTCAACAAAACACTGGAAGTCCTAACTATAGCAATTGCACAGGAAAAATAAAAGGCTGGTGGCTCACGCCTGTCATCCCAGCACTTTGGGAGGCCGAGGCAGGCGGATCACCTGAGGTCAGGGGTTCGAGACCAGCCTGGCAAACATGGTGAAACCCCCACTCTACTAAAAATACAAAAATTGGCCAGGTGTGGTGGTGATAAGCCTGTAATCCCAGTTACTTGGGAGGCTGACGCAGGAGAATTGCTTGAACCCAGAAGGCAGAGGTTGCAGTGCGCTGAGATTGCGCCACTGCACTCCAGCCTGGGAGACAGAGTGAGACTCTGGAGAAAAAAAAAAAAAAAAAGGCATCCAAATCAGAAAGAAAGAAGTCAAATTGTTCCTGCTTGCAGATGACATGATTTTATACATAGAAAATGTGTGTATCTACATGCAAAAGAATGAAGTTGAACTCTTATCTTACACCTTACACAAAAATCAACTCAAAATGGATTAAAAACCTATTTTTAGGCTGGGCACAGTGGCTCACACCTGTAATCCCAGCACTTTGGGAGGCTGAGGCAAGCGGATCACTTTAGGTCAGGAGTTTGAGACCAGCCTGGCCAACATGGCAGAACCCCGACTCTACCAAAAATACAAAAAATTAGCAAGGCGTGGTGGAGCATGCCTATAATCCCAGCTACTCTGGAGGCTAAGGCAGGAGAATCACTAGAACCTAAGAGATGGAGGTTACAGTGAGCCAAGATCGCACCACAACTCCAGCCTGGAGGACAGAGCGAGACACCATCTCAAAAACAAAAACAAACTAACAAAAAAACCTATTTTAAGAACTGAAACCATAAAACCTTAAGAAAAAAAAATAGAGGAAAAGGTCTTTGACATTAACCTTGGCAATGATGTTTTGACTGGGACACCAAAAGCACAGACAACCAAAGCAAAAACACAACAGGACTACCTCAAACAAAAGCTTCTGTACAGCAAAGGAAACAACATGAAAAGGCAGCCTACGCACTGGGAGAAAATACTTGCAAACTATATATCTAATAAGGGGTTACTAACCAAAATATATAGGGAACTCAATAGCATTCAAATGAATAACCTGATTTTAAAATGGGCAAAGCATCTGAATAGACATTTCTTCAAAGACATAAAAATGGCCAGCAGGGATATAGCTGCTCAACATCACTAATCAAGAAAATGCAAATAAAAACCACAATGAGATATCTCACGTTAGGATAGCTTTTATCAAAAAGACAAGAAATAGCAAGTGGTGAAGTTGTAGAGAAAACTGAACATTTGTACACTGTTGATCAGAATGCAGATTGGTGCTGCACTGTGGAAAACAGTATGGATGCTCTTAAAGATAGAACTACCATATGATACAGCAATCCCTCTTCTGGGCACATGCCTAAAGGAAATGAAATCACCACCTTGTAAAGACAACTCTGTCCCCATGTTCATTGCAGCATTATTCACAGGAGCCAACATATGGAAACAACCAAGGTGTCCATCAACAGATGAATGGATAAAGAAATTATGCTATAATAATATACATACATACCATGGAACTTCAGCATTAAAAAGGGAGGTCCTGCCATTTGCAACAACAGGGATGAAGCTGGAGGAAGACATCATGTTAAATGAAATAAGCTAAACACAGGAAGAAAAATACTGCATGATCCCACTTATATGTAGAATCTTAAAAACAAACATCATCAACAACAACAAAAACAGTAAAATAGTGGTTACCAGGGGTGGGGGAAATGGGAAGAGGCAAGTCAACGTTGCAGTTATGTGGGATGGACAAGCCTAAGAGATCTAATAGACAACATGAGGGCTTCTAGTTAATAAAATTGTATCATATACTGGTAACTTGCCAAGAGAGTTGATTTTAGGTACTCTTATCACATACACGGGTATGTTATGATGGGTATGTTAATTTGCTTGATCTTAGTAATCACTGTATATATCAAGTATATCAAAACATTGAACATATTAAATATATACAATAAAAAGAACATAAGAGGATACAGACATGTATATAACAAAGGAAAGAGAAAAATGAAAATAAACAAGTTTTATTTGATGAAACAACAAAAATATGTATAGTTCTTTTTCTTTTTTTAGAGACAGGATCCCACTATATTGCCCAGGCTGGAGTACAGTGGCTATTCACAGGTGCGATAATAGTGCATCATAGCCTTGAACTCCTGGGCTCTAGTGATCCTCTTGCCTCAGCCTGCCAAATAGCTGGGACTATAGGTGCACACCACTGTGCCTGTCTCATTTTTGATATAAATTCTTAAAACAGGAATAGATGGATTCCTGATTAATTAAAAAAAATCCAACATTATGCTAAATCAAACAATGGACATATTGTTTAGGATTCAGACAAGCAATTTTACTCCCACCATATTTAATATTCTGGATATTTCAGAGCATTTAAACAAGAATAAGTGTAAAAATTAAGTAGCCAAACAATATTTTTCCAGGTATATCAAAAGAGTCAAATAAAAGATATTCCCCCATGATAATTCAACAAGATAGCTGAAATCAATAGCTTTTCTATACACAACTAGTTACAAAGTATAGCAGGAGAAGAATCCCACTTAAAACATCCAAGAGACAAACCTTTAAAAATATGCGAGACATAAATGGTAAAAATTTGAAAACTGAGACATACAAAGACCATTGGAACAAATGGAAAAACACATAACCGTTCATGACCAGCCTGGCCAACATGGTGAAACCCCGTCTCTACTAAAAATACAAAAATTAGCTGGGCATGGTGGTGGGAGCCTGTAATCCCAGCTACTCGGGAGGCAGAGGTTTCAGTGAGCCAAGAATGCACCACTGCACTTCAGCCTGGGTGACAGAGTGAGACCCCATCTCAAAAAAAAGACATATAGCCATGTTTTTGGATAGAAGCCTCCGTATGATTAAGCCTGTTCTTATTAATCTATTTATTTAACTTGATCTTGATAAAAGTACCAATTTCCCCTCAAGAACCAGACAAGCTAATTTTAAAGCTCATATGGGGAAAAAAAATGCAAAAAAAAAAAAAAAAAACCAGGAAAATCCTGAAAGAGTAATGAGAGTTTAACTTCCCCTTAGCAGTTATGAAAATATAAATATCCAAGTACAGCAACTTAAAACTACAAAATAAGACAATAAAAAATAAAAATTTAAAACTGCATTAGGTACATGAAAATCAGATCCTAGAAGAAATAGGTTAAAATTCATGTAGACATTTAGTACTAATATGGGTGGCATTTCAAGCGTTGGTGGATAGACTTCAGATGGATCAAAGAACTCTCAAACACAAAAAGAGACGTGTTAAAGATTCATATACATAAAAGTGTCCAGGTGTGGTGGCTCACACCTGTAGTCCTAGCACTTTGGGAGGCCAAGGCAGGCAGAACACTTGAGGCCAGGAGTTCGAGACCAGCCTGGCCAACACGGCAAAACCCCATCTCTATTAAAAATACAAAAAGTTAGCCAGGTATGGTGGCACGTGCCTGCAGTCCCAGCTATTCAACTTGGGAAGGCTGAGGCACGCGAATTACATGAACCCGGGAAGTGGAGGTTGCAGTGAGTTGAGATCGTGCCATTGCACTCCAGCCTGGGCAACAGAGTGAGATGCTGTCTGCCCCCGCTCTAAAAAAAAAAAAAAAAATTTTTTTTCATATACATAAAATTGTGCTTGGTGAAAAAAAAATGCCATTAACAAGGTAAAAACTGCTGGGTGTGGTGGCTCGTGCCTGTAATCCCAGGAGTTGCCTTTGGAGTTACCTTTGGGAGGCCAAGGCAGGGCAGATTGCTTGAGCCCAGGAGTTCGAGACCAGCCTGGGCAACAAGGCAAAACCCCATCTCTACCAAAAGTTAAAAAATTAGCTGGGCATGGTGGCACGCACCTCTGGTAGGAAGGCTGAGGTGGGAGGATTGCTTGGGCCCATAAGTCAAGGGCTGCAGTGAGCCGTGTTCATGCCACCACGCTCCAGCCTAGGCAACAGAGCAAGACCTTCTCAAAAAAACAAAAAACAAAAAAAAACCACACACAACAAAAAAATCAGATAAAAATTAAGATAATCTGGGACAAAACACTTTCAAACTTCTAACTGCAAAACTGCATATATAAATAGAGCTCTTTAAATAGGCAAAGGAGACTACAAATGGCTAACAGATTAAAAAATATTGTCTTATTAATAGAAATGCAAACTGTTTTTAAATAAGCTATACTATTCAAACATTAATAGTATAGTTTGAATAGTATAGTTTGAATAGTATAGTTTCTTTGCTATGGTTGATCAAATGTTTTGAGAATCAATTTGTCAAATGCTATTAATTCAGAACCAAGTCTGACATTTCTGAAATAGTGAAAATTACAGAGTATATAAATTTGAAAATGTTTGTCCAGAGTAGTTTTAATGAGCATTTAGCAATATGAGCAGAATTTGTGCTATTAAGTTACACAAATCCAAGGATTCCCTGTTTAAAATAGGAAAAAAAAAATCACTGCAAATCTTTCTCGCGATATTTGTTGGAAGAAAAAAAGTGAACAGTTGGTTATAAGAGCGAAATGGCTTATATTGAAAGTAAGACACAGATCCATCTGTTCATTTTCATAGGTAGCTTTATTTGGTTTTTAGAAAAATATATACAATAATCGGAACATCAGTTCTTAAATAGTTTTAAGTTAAAAGAATGCAAGTGAGAGGATGTTTCCACAGTCAGATCAATACTGCTTAATAAAGTAGATAGGAATTTCTGCAACAAGTCAAAACATTTACAGGAATGGTAAGAACTCTGCAAGAGCAGCTTGTGGCTGGCAAGTCAGCCAGCTCAGAAAACAGGTAGGAAGGGAAGGGGTTTGATCTTTCCCCTTTAGTTTGAATTTGAGAAAGTGATAAAAGATTTACATATTCACCTATCCTAAAGGCTAGAGCTTTGAGTAAAAACATTAGAATACAGGGATGGAGGCCCTCTAGGGCATATGCTAACAAGCTAACTTATATCAAACAAAAATTTGCCATCTCAATTTGGTATTCAGTTGGATTTGGATATATTAGGATTACCTGTCAGTCACAGTTCAACTAGTTCAGATATAACAAAACTCAAGGACTTGGAGTATTGGTTAATGACATTTCTTTTGGATTAGACCCCTGCTTTCTCTCGAACATTCTTCGTAATGAATTCACAGTATTCAAACAGTGTTTGCAAAGATATTTGAGTTTGACAGCCTTCTGACTTTCATCGTTTTGAGAAGTTGCGCAAGGAAGCAATAGGAATTGCCTTAGCTTTGTTCTAACTCGACCCTTTTCCCCCATACTGTAGTAACTCCAGGCCTACTTCTCCAGAAGTATAGCTCTTCCCTCCACTGGTCCTTTTCAGGAACTGAAGTCTAATCAGCGCGCCAGCCAGAGGCCAGTTTGTCATGGGATTTCCTGGGGAGCTTAAATGGAAGTGGATCAGAGAACTGATACCACTAGCCACCTCCTTTCCTCGTTGTATGCATTTGCTAAATAAGCAAAGCAATGAGGCAAACGTCATGAGTAACATTAGGCTTCAGAGTCTACAAACACTTGTCTGAATGGGAGAGAGAGGCGATAGGCAATAGGCAAATTAGTAGTAGAGCTAGAGGTTCAATTAAGAATGAGAGGAGAGTGATCGGTATTTTGTTCTCTGTTCATCTATTTCCTGCTTAGTTTTCTTGATGCAACTAAAGATCTCCTTAAACAACGCTTTGTATTCTGGAGGTGTTGTAGGGGAACTCACGGGCTCTGGGTTGACAGAGGCCAGTTCCCAGCCGCTGGCAACAGGCTCAGACTGGGCGTTCACTCCAGTCAGGTCCTTGGCTGCAGCCCTGGAGGTCTGCACAGCCTTGTGTGACAGGGAGTCCTGTTCCTCTTGGCACTTCTTCAGCAACTCTTCATACTTCACCTTCAGGGCGCTGTACTGCGTGTCCACTTCGTGCAGAAGGGAGATGCCCCTCTGTTTCACAGCCTTGGCCCTCCTGATGCAGGTCTCCTCGTGGCCCTTCACGATGTCACTCCCTGCCAAGCTGCTGAGGATCGTCTCACTGCTGCTGCGCTTGAGAGGCTTTCTATGTGATTCCGGCACAGTCAGGAACATCTCTTCCAGCAGGCTCTGGCTGGGCTCTTTGAAAGGAACATACAGAGAGTCTGGCACCAGCTTCTCAACTCCATTCACAAATGGATGCTCTGACTGCAACATCTGTCGCATCTCTGCCACCTCGGCCTCTAGTTCCAGCGCCCGTGCTCGGTAGGCACCTGTGGCCCCCAGCTGCTGCTCCAGTTCACTGTTCTCCTTTAACACGAGCCCATATTCCTCCTCCATAGTCACCCGCTTCTGCCGCTCCAGGCTCAGCTGGGCCTGCAACATTGTCACTGTTTTTTTCAAGTGCTCATTTTCCTCTTCATCAGGGCTTGGCTGACCTTGCAAGGAAGTGATCTTCTCAGCGAACACATGATCATACACGAAGTGTCTAGGGAAAAAAATATTGAAAGAATATATTACACAGGTCCACTGAAAATGACGAGAGGAAGACTGGTGATTTTTTTTCAACTAAATAAATTTGAGGAGCTGTGACAGTGACTAATTTTTTTTTCTTTTTTTTTGAGACGGAGTCTCACTTTGTCGCCAGGCTGGAGTGCAGTGAAGCGATCTCAGCTCATTGCAACCTCAGCCTCCCAGGTTCAAGCGATTCTCCTGCCTCAGCCTCCCGAGTAACTGGGATTTTAGACATGCGCCACCACGCCCAGCTAATTTTGTATTTTTAGTAGAGACGGGGTTTCTCCATGTTGGTCAGGCTGGTCTCGAACTCCCAACCTCAGGTGATCCTCCTGCCTTAGCCTCCCAAAGTGCTGGGATTACAGACGTAAGCCACCACACCCGGCCAACAGTGATTGGTTTTTAGCCACACTTGGAGCAGTGGCTAAAATGGAATTGTGTGAGGCTGGTAAATAAACACATGAAAGCAAACTCAATTTTTGTGACAAATCTTTTTTTAATGTTAAAAGTACTAGAGAACATCTATTCTAGCAGTATGACAATGACCTCACAAGGGAAACCTTAAAAAGTACTGGTGCCTGGGTCCCAACCCACAGATTCCAACCTAGTTGGTCTGCTACCTGGCCTGAGGGTTTCTAAAGGCTCTCCAAATGATTCATAATATGTAACTACGATTGAATCACTACAGCAAATTACTGTTGCTGTGGTGATTTTTAACCAGGAATGTTCATCAGAATTGCCTGGGCAGCTTTTTACCCGCACCTAGAAATTCTGATTTAGGCCTGAGGAAATGTGTTGGTATTTGCATTTTGAAAAACCCCACAGGTGATCTGATGTACAGCCAAGGTTGAGACCCACCAAATGAACCACCTGGTTTCTCCTGCTCAGTCTGAAGCACCTTGACTATTTATTTGTGTTTTTATTTGCTTATCTGCCGTTCCGTTAGACTGAAAGCTCACAGGGGTAGAAACTATTTTGCTCGCCAACCCTTGGGTCTAGCATACAGCTTGCCACACAAGTGTTCCATAAATACTTCTTAAAGATTCAGACTTATAACTCTAAATTATAAAGGTACTTCTTTAAGCAAAAAATCTCCTGTTCGCTTGAATTTTTGTTTTACCAGTATTTCTGTTTTTCTTCACTCTAATGTAAAACACAACTCCCAAATCTAGTCTATCAGAATTCATCTTAAACTATGATTTAATACATTAAAAGCACTGAAATAAGTGTTCCAAGACTTTCAAAATGAGAACTACTAATATCTAAGAACTCTGTAATTTATATGTTTAAGTGATTTTGTTCAAACCAATGGTAGCTTAATAGCTAAGTGACTTTTCTTAAAATGGTACTTTCAATCTACTGGAAATCAGAATGTGCCAATGACATGAGACAGTCCCTGCTGTAACTCCACAGAAAGGCAGGCTCTTACTGGCGGAGGTCATACAGCTCCTTCAGACATGCAAAGCTGGGTGCCGGTTTCTCCTGGTCACACTTTCCCGGGCTCCTTCTCCCTTGGCCAGATGACTTCAGCTCCTCCACTTGGCTCTGGAGGTGATCAATGTTGGTTTGCAGGCATTCAATCGTTTCAGTCAGGCTGTGAGGAACAGACAGAAGCCACTGCTGCTTGTCATATTGAATCAAGGGCAAAAGCGGTGAGGAGAGATTAGGTGCAAACCACTCACACTGGGCTTTCTTAATTGGAAAGGATGTCTATTTAATCTCCATTCTCCAAAAAGAATTAAATTAAACCTTATCCCATATTGACCCAAACCCACTGCAGCCATGTTCTATTCTAGTTTATACTAAAGAACTTCCCCCTAGTCCTTCCTTGTCAGATTCTAGAAAATTTACCTCAGAATCTTTTGCTGTGAGGCCTTGCTGTCAGCAACTAGCTTTTGATTTGTTTCTTCCAGTTCCCTTGCTGTGACGTCTAATTGTTCATAAACCTTTGCATGTTGTTCGTTCATCTGCCGTAGAAGTTCCACTTGCTTCGTCAGATACTGTAAGAGAAGATCAGGACCAGGTGACACAAACAGATAAGATACCTGCTGTTTCTTGGCTGGCTGCGGTGGCTCACGCCTGTAATCCCAGCACTTTGGGAGGCCAAGACGTGTGGATCACCTGAGGTTAGGAATTCGAGACCAGCCTGACCAACATGCTGAAACCCCGTCTCCACTAAAAATACAAAAATTAGCCAGGTGTGGTGGCACACGCCTGTAATCCCAGCTACTTGGGAGGCTGAGGCAGGAAAATTGCTTGAACCTGGAAGACAGAGGTTGCAATGAGCCGAGATGGCGCCATTGCACTCCAGCCTGGGCAACAAGAATGAAACTCCATCTCAAAAAAAAAAAAAAGATACCTGCTGTTCTGCTGTTCCAACACCAATTCTCCGATTGTCAGCACCAACTCTTGTTGGGGTGGGGCTGACATAGAGTCTCCATCTCTGGGCTCACTGGCCTCCCAGCACTGCCCAGAAGCTCCTTTAGACCCATTTCAGTTTTCTCCAGGTCTTCTCTCACATCAGCATGATTGATTCAATTATTGGCCATTGGTGACTGAACTCAAGCTCCAACCCTTCCCTCTATCCAGAGGTTGTGGGGCTGGGACTGATAGATCTAACCCTCTAATCATGTGGTTGCCTTCTCTGGTGACCAGACCTCAACCTATCAGGAAATTCCAAGGGTTTTAGGAGTTCTATGCCAGAAACCAGGGACAAAGACCAAATATATAATTTTTATTATACCACAATACCATATGTTTATTTTAAGAAAAGAAGAAATTAAACTCCCTGTCTTCATAAGAAATGAGCACAGGCTGTCCTTTATATGCTTAGCTCCTCTAATGCTCACCAATACCCCAGTGCATTGTGAGGCTAATTTTCCAAAGCATATACCATGCATAAAATTAATATTCAACTAAAAAATCTAAAGTGAGACATAACAATCCCTTAAGACAAAAAACATGGAACATGTGATCAAAGTTTAAGCAAAAACATCATGTTTAACAGAAATAAAGCCTAACGTGGAGGATTTTTAAAAAAAATTATACTCTAAGTTCTAGGGTACATGTGCACAATGTGCAGGTTTGATACATAGGTATACATGTGACATGTTGGTTTGCTGCACCCATCAACTCATCATTTACATTAGGTATTTCTCCTAATGCTATCCCCACCCCGACAGGCCCCAGTGTGTGATGTTCCCCACCCTGTGCCCAAATGATCTCGTTGTTCAATTCCCACCTATGAGTGAGAACATGCAGTGTTTGGTTTTCTGTCCTTGTGATAGTTTGCTGAGAATGATGGTTTCCGGCTTCATCCATGTCCCTGCAAAGGACATGAACTCATCCTTTTTTATGGCTGCATAGTATTCCATGGTGTACATGTGCCACATTTTCTTAATCCAGTCTATCAACTGATGGACATTTGGGTTGGTTCCAAGTCTTTGCTATTGTGAATAGTGCCGCAATAAACATACGTGTGCATGCGTCTTTATAGCAGCATGATTTATGATACTTTGGGTACATACCCAGTAATGGGACTGCTGGGTCAAATGGTAATTCTAGTTCTAGATCCTTGAGGAATTGACACCCTGTCTTCCACAATGGTTGAACTAATTTACACTCCCACCAACAGTGTAAAACGTTCCTATTTCTATGTGGAGGATCTTAATTTGGAAAAAAAAATCAATCTCTTTCTCTGAATGAGGCATTCTGGACCAAAAAAAATGAAAAGTATGTTGCTTTGACGAGAAATATATTTTAGCTTAATATGCTTCAAAGACTCCTGTTATTTTTAATTTTATGAGAGTTTTATCACCATTATCCTCCTTATTCACGAGAAATTTATCAGATGATTTATTCTGGTCCTGCTAAGACTGCTTCCTAAATGGCCAAGGATAAAGGGGAATAATCCCAACCTTAATGCCGCAGTGTAAGTCACCTTGATTCCCTCCCTGCTCAGCTCTACCTGAAGACACTAAAACACAGTATATATTCCAAAGGAAAAAGTCACAGTATTTCCCTGGACAGAACCAGAAAGAGGGGAGAAATGGTTTGAAGCTTACTGATGATCAAACTGTAAAAGACTCAGAACTTGACTTTAAAAACACTCTTCTTGGCCAGGCATGGTGGCTCACACCTGTAATCCCAACACTTTGGGAGGCCAAAACAGGCAGATTGCTTAAGGCAGGCCAGGAGTTCAAGACCAGCCTGGCCAACATGACAAAAACCCACCTCTAATAAAAATACAAAAATTAGTCCGGCGTGGTGGCACGCGCCTGTAATCCCACGTACTCAGGAGGCTGAGGCATGAGAATCTTTTGAACGTGGGAGGTGAACGTTGCAGTGAACCGAGATCGTGCCACTGCACTACAGCCTGGGTGACAGAGACTGTCTCAAACACAACACAACACACTCTTCTTGAGGCTTTTTCTACAACTCTAGAAGGATTTGCAAGGCTAACAAACAATGGGCTAAATGACACTCAACGGGCCCTTAAAGTGTTGAAAAAAGCATATATGGCTTTTTTTTTTTCAAATCCATTTACATAACTCAGCAGCAAAGAGTTGAACAAACACTTAACCTAACTTCAACTTTCTCATCTGAAACTCTTGAAGTCAAAAGTGTTTTGGAAAATTCTTTAAATTTTAGAAAGACAACATGGCGCTCATACCTGACACACAGCTGACACCTTATAATACCTGTGAGGTCTGGGCAGCACCCTGTAATCAAGCATTAATATTTCTGCATCAAAAAGTATGAACTAAGACTATAAACAGCCTCACATCAGTTCAGGTAAAGATCTACTACCAAATGAATCTGTTGCAAATTTAAGGGGAAAAAAAAAATCTTGCTTTATAGAGCTTTTTGAGTTCGGAATTAGTAAGTGGATCTGTTAGTACCTACCATGTAGAACTGGCAGAATTAAATGAGAAAGGTGAGCACATGGCACGGTCTATAAAAGCCTGTGTGTAGTCTTCACTGCCTCAACTCCCACCAGCTTCTTCTGGTCCTTTGGAAATCAACCACTAATTCTCATGCGTGAAGCTTTCTCAGAACTAAAGGAGTAGGCCCTTAATCCTGCCCTCGGGCTAGTAATTCCATAGTAGGTTCTTGTCATTGATGGGAACATGTTCAATCTCTTAGGAATTGATGAGATTCCACAGGAGCGGAAAAAAGGCTTAGAATCACAAGAATATATATATAATAGCTGCAGAAATGTTTCAAGCTTCTTTATATCAAGTATAAATTATCAAGTATTCTTTAGGACTCAGAACTACCTTTAAAAAGGCTAATGCATAAGCCAGACATTAATTTATTAATATACAACAGGAACTGTTCCTGCCCAGTGACAAGAATATTCACATCCTCTATTAGGACACAGCTGCCCCACAAAGGGCATGTGAAAGGCCGATTCATGAATGAGAGTCTCTGGTAGACATGGGATCAGAGGAGTCTGATGGGAGGCAGTGGTATAGTAGCTAAGAGCACAGGCTTTGGAGTCAGAACCTGGTTTGAGGTCTTGCTTTGCTGTTCAGAACTGGGTAACCTACAGCAAGCACATTTTTCTAATGTGAGTTCTCCTCATCAACTACTTCATAAGGCTGTAAAGATAAATATGTGTGTGGGAGAGACTGGACTATGTCACCCCAAAGCATGCGTCTTTGGCATAAAAAGGTTCCTGCCTCCTCCCTCTCTACCAGGGAGAACAAAGGTTAACCACTAACAACTTTAGACCTTTATGGGCCAGAAGACAGCACCAGAGGAATCCACACTAACAAGCTTTGCTAACGGGCCTTTATCACCACTTACTTGCCTTCCCACAAGTTCTGCCCCTAGACAAAGTTCTTCCCCTTTGTCTTGTCACTTCTCTAAAAAATTACCATTCTTTGTTGAAGATACTACATAAGCTGGAATTCAAAGCCACCTCTGAGAATGACTCATCCCCTGGGTATCTCCCACACATATAAATGAAATAGATATGTTAGTAAGCTTGTTTTTCTCTTGTTAATCTGTCTTTTGTTGCAGGGGTCCTTTCCAACTAAGCACTCATGAAGGTTGAGGAAAAAAATATTTTTCCTCCCTGACATATACAAATATATAATTTACAAAAACGTTAATATATGTAGAGAGCTCAGCATGAGATCTGGCAGATGGTAAATTGCTCAATAAGGAGAAGCTACTGTCATCTTTATTTAAAGCTACAGTTTTCAAACTTTACATGTGCTAAGATTCACCTGGAAGAAGATTTATTAAAGTGTAAGAACCTGGGTCCCTTCCCCTCAAACGGCTGAGACTGGAGTAGAGCCAGGATTCTGCATTTTTAGCAACAAACCCAGGTGATATTAGTACAGGCAGTCCAGAGATCACACTTAGAGAAATGTTGATCTTGGACATGGAAAATCCTGGACGTCCCCTGCCCTGACCAATGTCCTTTTCTCTTGGGTCTAGGAGACACAGGCATTCACTGGATCAATGATGACTCTTCAGCTTAATGCTCACCGTCTCCCTGCATAGGGCTCAGCTTAGATGCAGTTATCCACTAAGATTAGGTTATATTTTAACTGTACCACAGCAGCATTCATCATCATAACGCTTCACTTTGGTATGTTCTTAACAATCATTAATTCCCTGAAATTACAAACTAGTTACCTTAACCTTGCTTGAGTGATCCTTCCTAACTTCTCAGTCCAAACAAATACTGAATTTCTACAGATGGCTAATCTTATCCACTGCATTTTAAAACTTTCTATTGTGGACCAGGTGTGGTGGCTCATGCCTGTAATCCCAGCACTTTGGGAGGCCAAGGCGGGTGGATCACTTGAGGACAGGAGTTCGAGACCAGCCTGGCCAACATGGTGAAACTCCATCTCTACTTAAAAAAAAAAAAAAAAAATTAGTTAGGCATGGTGGCACACGCCTGTAGTCCCAGCTACTTGGGAGGCTGAGGCATGAGAATCACTTGAACCCAGGAGGCAAAGGTTGCAGTGAGATAAGATCACACCATTGCACTCCAGCCTGGGCGACAGAGTGAGACTATGTCTAAAAATAAATAAATAAATAAAACTTTCTATTGTGGATAATCTCAAACATATATACATGCAGAGAAATGGTTTAATGAACTCCCACGTACCCATCAACCAGTTTCAACAATTATCAACATACAGCCAATCTTATTTCATCTCTACTCTCCTACTTTCCTCGTCCTCCAATCATTTTAAAGCTAATCCAAGGCATCTCAAGTATACATCTTCATACATTTCTAGGACGTTTTATTTTAACCACAATTCCTAAGGGAAAAAAACTCAATAATTCCTTAACATCTATTACGTTTCAGCATTAATATTTTCCCAATTGTCTCAAGTGGTTTTTCCAGCTTCATTTGTTAGCTATTGATTTTTTTAAAATTTCACACTTAGGGGAGATATCTTTGCCTTTTTTGGAGTTGCCCCACTGCAAGGCAAGTGCCTCCCTCCTCTAATGCCTTTACGATCCCCTATCCGGGGGGATGCAGTTCTCCTGGCTGCTCCACCTAAGCCAGCAGTTCTTAGCCTGGGGTCCATGGATAGACTTTAGAGGGTCTGTGAACATGGATGAATTTAAAGGGTCTGAACAGCTACATCTTCATTTTTGTTAACTTCTAAATGAAATTTGACATTTCTTTCAAGTACTAATAGATCTGTTAAAATTTATAGGAGACCACTGGTTTGGACTGAGTCCCTGCCCTAGGCCCAACAAACCAAACCAAAATGGAGTCACTTGTGCTAAAGTTCCATGTCAGCAAGCCAAAGCAAAGTTGTTCATCTGACTTCTGAGAAATTAGAAGAGATAATAGCCAAGCCCCCAAACATGCCAGTTTTAGCCAGCATAAGGGACTTCCCTCTGCTTTAACCTTTACAAATAAATTAACTTTGAAACCACCCATTTTTTGTTTTCTGTTTCTGCTTTCCTCAGCCCCTGTCTATAAAACCAACTTCCTCTGCTCAGCTCATTGAAACCCTCATTCTCTAAGAATGAGGTGTTGCCCAACTTTAGAATCTCAAATAAAAGCTAATTAAGATCTTTATACTATGTTTGTCGTAATTTTTTCTTTTGACAGAGGCAATAAACCACTAGTAGTATTAGGTTTATCTGTGACTTCATCATCAACAGAAATCACAGGTATTTTCATATTGCACTATAGTTGCAGAAATCTTGATTTACTGCCTACATTCATCACTATTTGAAATCATGGTAGTTTCTAGATCTTGTTATTAAATATGTTAATACGTATCTATATTACATCACAAATTTACTTTTTTCAATATTTGACAGGTATTTCATTCTAACAGGTTTCCTTTGTAATTCAATGAATTTTAAGAGGATTATCCTAGATCTCATTAGATAATCAAAGGGATCCATGGCACCAAAGAAAGATTATAAATTCCAGTTATCCTTCTGGCCTCATTTCAAACATAACCTCTTCAGAAGCCTTTTAAGACCACTTTGGCCAGGTGCTGTGGCTCATGGCTGTAATCCCAGCACTCTGGGAGGCCGAGGTGGGCAGATCACTTGAGGTCAGGAGTTCGAGACCAGCCTGGCCAACATGGCAAAACCCCGTCTCTACTAAAAATACAAAAATTTGCTGGGTGTGGTGGCTCATGCCTATAATCCCAGCACTTTGGGAGGCCGAGGCAGGTGGATCACCTGAGGTCAGGAGTTTGAGACCAGCCTGGCCAACATGGTGAAACCCCATCTCTACTAAAAATACAAAAATTCGCCGGGCATGATGGCAGGTGCCTGTAATCCCAGCTACTCAGGAGGCTGAGGCAGGAGAATCACTTGAACCCAGGAGGTGGAGGTTGCAGTGGGCCGAGATCACGCCACTGCACTCCAGCCTGGGGGACAAGAGCAAGACTTTGTCTAAAAAATAAAATAAAATAAATAAAAATACAAAAATTATCCAGGCAAGGTAGTGTATGCCTGTAATCCCAGCTACTCTACTGGGGAGGCTGAAGCAGGAGAATTGTTTGAACCTGCGAGGCAGAAGTTGCAGTGAGCCAAGATCATGCCACTGCACTCCAACCTCAGCAACAGAACAAGACTCCATCTCAAAAAAAAAAAAGAAAAAAAAAAAAAAAAAAGAAGACCACCTTAAAGCAGGTCTAAAGCGGCAGCATTCCCAAGGTACCCTAAATTGATTTCTCTCAAAACAATACAATAATATTCAATTTTTTGTTGTTGTTGAGATGGAGTCTCACTCTGTTGCCCAGGCTGGAGGCACGATCTCAGCTCACTGCAATCTTGGTCTCCCAGGTTCAAGTGATTCTGCTGCCTCAGCCTCCTGAGTAGCTGGGATTACAGGCTTGCACCACCACACCAGGCTAATTTTTGTATTTTTATTAGAGACTGGGTTTCACCATGTTGGCCGGGCTGGTCTTGAACTCCTGACCTCAGGAGATCCACCTGACTCGGCCTGCCAAAGTGAAGGGATTACAGGCATGAGCCACCGTGCCAGGCCAGTACTGTAGTCTTCTAAGAATGGAAGGCTCTTGTGTATCTAGTCCATTCCTGACACACAGTAGGGGACAAAAAAATACTGGCGAACTGGCAGTTTCTAGACTTTTCTTCACAACAGCTTATTGTGCTTGGCATGACTCAGACTGTGAGATGTCAAGGGGGATTTAACTGAAAGGTTTTGAGAAGGGCTTTGGCTTTAGCCCTCTTGGGAAAACAGCCTATTAACCATGAATTCTCTCCCCGCTTTTCCATTTATAGATTATTTCTCTGTATTTATTCCCATGGCAGCAATTGCCCCGGTAATCTGAGGGGGAGACTTTTACAGTTCCTACCAGATACCAGATGGGTCTCAAGTTGTTGTTCTCTTACAGATAGGATGTTCAAGTTAGAGTTGTGGCCAACATACAGGAAACAAGTCAATATGCAAATAAGTACAAACAGGCCATTTAAGAAACTATAGAAAGTTCCTTGTTTGATATATAAAAACCTGTGATACCTGTGATAACAACATAATGAAACCATTTAAGAACTTGTGATATTTTGGTTTTAGATGACTTGGCTTTAACAACAATCTAAAGAATGTCAAGGAGCTTGTTTTCACATGGTAGGAGCTTAATCTTATTATATAAAACCAAAATTAATCAGAAAAGCCCTTCACTTCTCCAAGATTCAGTTATAGGGGACCTACAGAAGAGTCTGACAAAACCAGTCAGCAACTTAAAGAAAAATGATGAGCTCTCTAAGTACGTACTGATGTAAGGCCAGACATCTAGGTCTATGGAGTCAGTGCTTCATTTTTTTTCTGAATCTAGAAGGAAATGGGTTAGCTTATTTCCTACCTCTCATCTCAAGGTACAGACATGCTGCTGACATGCTGGTTTTCTCTTTGATACACAGCCTCCAATGAATCTGACTGCCATAGTAAACAGGAAAGGGAGACATTTAAAGCAAAACAGTGGGGGAAGGGGGTCATGGGGTAGCAGAAATGTGGGCAAAAATGTCAACTTATAGCAAAATGCCTTGGGTTTATCTCACTGTCTAGGAATTTGCACAGACTGTCACCTCAACTATGAGTACAAGGTTCCAGTTATGCACAAAAGCTACAAACAGGCCACCTTTACAATTAAGGTAAATCTTTAAAAAACAAAGGCCAGCAGAATTACATAAATACCTATTTGCAATTGTGGAATCCTAACCTGGAACGCAGGGAAAGATAGAAACAAACGACCCCAAGTAAAAATGCATAGAAATGGAGTGGAAATCTGGCTTGTAAGCAGTGTTGGGATTATCCTGAAATTAAGGATTACAGCCTAAATCCTCTGAATTTACTATCAAAATGAACTTCCACAATAATAAAGAAATATTTCCTATTACTTTTGAAAAATCTCTTTCCCCTGATGAAATATATTTCCCCTGTAGAAATTTGGTGGCGGGAGGCATGAACATGAAAATAGAAACCACCTATAATCCCATTATTAAAATTGTGGGATTAGATTGTTTTTAAAGTCTATTTCCAGTAATTCTGGAAGATTTATTTTTTCAGAATTTAAGTTCTTTCATGACTATAGTTAACAATATCTTATTGTATACTTCAAAATAGCTAGAAAAGATACGCAATATTCCCAACACAAAGAAATGATAAATGTTGGAGGTCATGGTTATCTCAGTTTAGATTTCATCATTACACATTGTATGCTTGTATCAAAACGTCACAGGCGCCCCAGATATATGTAAAGCTGTTATATATCCATACAAATTTTTAAAGACTTTTTTCACTACTAAAATTCTTTTTTTTTTTGAGACGGAGTCTCGCTTTTTTGCTCAGGCTGGACTGCAGTGGCGCAATCTTGGCTCACTGCAACCTCCACCTCCCGGGTTCAAGCAATTCTCTGCCTCAGCCTCCTGAGTAGCTGGGATTACAGGCGCCCGCCACCACGCCCAGCTAATTTTTCTATTTTTAGCAGAGATGGGGTTTCGCCATCTTGGCCAGGCTTATCTTGAACTCCTGACCTCGTGATCTACCTGCCTCAGCCTCCCAAAGTGCTGGGATTACAGGAGTGAGCCACCGCCACCGGCTCACTACTAAAATTCTTAAAACATTGGTAAACTATGCAACGATTTATACCGTTCAAAATATATATGCTTCCATAATCTCATCCCCTCAGAAAAATCCTATACCAAAGTAACAATTTATACTGTTCAAAATATATATGCCTCCATAATCTCATCCCCTCAGAAAACTCCTACACCAAAGCAGTGTAAGCATTATCACCATTCCATAACGGAGCAAAGAGAATCTGAGGGGTAATTCATATGTCTAAATTCTCTAGCTATTTGCAATTAAAATTGAGGGTTTAAACCTGAATCTCCTAAAACAGAGGCCAGAGCCCCTTCTGCCTGCCTTAAAAATCTCCAGAGGTGGAAACCCAAAGTTTAGGAGTTATTAGAAGAGCTTTGTAAGCTGTTTCTCCTCTGTTAAAATACTGATTTCAACAAAGTATTGATTACCTAGTATGTGTGAAAGACCATGAATAAACACAACAGTGCTCACTGTTGCAATGGGAAATAAGGGGAAAGGAAAATAAAGCAAATCAATTAAGTATCATATGCAGTAGAATATTGATACATGCAGTAAAAGCAGCACAAAATATTTTTCCATTTCCAAAGAGGGCATGAACTCTTGAAAGAAGGGATGCCTTGAAGGCCAGACTACTTTGAGTGCTAGGCACAACTCCTGTAGGGGATAATGCAGGTGTCTAAGCAGGGAAGTAACCAAAACACAAGGCTGTAGGCTGCTTACACGGTTGTAGCAAAGTGTAAATGAATCCAATGGTGTCTGATCTCATTACTCTCCCAAGTAAGAGTTCTCTCCTCCCCTCCTTCCACCCAGAACAGAAAAAACTTGCTCTGGATTCTTAAAAAATTATCTAAGTTTTTCAAATTAGCACTGAAAAAAAGTAAGACAGGCTACAGGCTTCTCTGAAGCCAGTTTAACCATTATTTTGAATAGTTTAATCTTTTTTCGTTTTCACATAAAAGGAAATTTTTGTTTTTTTCGTTTTTACATTAAAAATGATGCCTACCAAAAATACTGATCAATTTTTAGGAGGATTGTTTGAAACCCTCCAAGAGTCTTTGAAAGAATATTTGTGGTTCTACTTACAAAATACCCTTTGGCAGTGTCCAAGTTGTCTATTTCCATAATAAGTCAGAATCTTAGGGATCTTGTCCTAGTATTTTCACCAGTTCTCTGCACTATTTTTCATTCGCTCAGATGAGTTTGTTCCCAGACCATTCTTCTGGACTGTCTCATTTTAAATTTCACTGGTGGTGGGATAGGAGCTGACTTTTTGTTCTTCAACTATATATTTTTCTGAATTAAAAAAATGATCTTTTTTTTTTTTTTTTTTTTTTTTTTTTGAGACGGAGTTTCACTCTTTCGCCCAGACTGGAGTGAAGTGGCAGGATCTCGGCTCACTGTGACCTCCGCCCTGCAGGTTCAAGGGATTCTCCTGCCTCAGCCTCCCGAGTAGCTGGGATTACAGGGATGCACCACCATGCCCAGCTACTTTTTGTATTTTTAGTAGAGACAGGGTTTCGCCATGTTGGCCAGGCTGGTCTCGAACTCCTGACCTCAGTGATCCATCCGCCTCAGCCTCCCAAAGTGCTAGGATTACAGGCGTGAGCCACTGCGCCAAGCTGTGTATTACTTTGTAATCTAATTCCCAATAAACATTCTAAACAGTTACTTTAAAACTTGTACAAGTGATTCCATTCACGTAAAGGTCAAAAACAAGCTAAACTTAGGATGCTAGCTCACCGGGTGGTGACCAGATGAGCTGATAATGCTCTCAACTCCTTATCTAGGAATAGGTTGCATGGGCATGTTTACTTTATGAAAATTCATCAAACTATACACTTAGGATTTATGCCCTTTTCTGTAATGTAGATTTCAATAAAAAGTTTAAGGGAAGGAGAAACACGTTGAAAAGGCTCAAATTAAGGAGAGGGCCCTTATAAAGTTTAGGGGGCCTCCTGAAGGTTGCAATAAGAGGAACATATGCAAGGGTCATTGTTTAGCAAGGAAGTAGGCTCTTTAGCTGCCTGGTTACTTTTACAAGAGCACATGGCATTCTTTTAGGCTATTAGAGAGACCTCAGAAATCTACATCGTGATCTCTACATCTGCCCAGGCACAGTTGTGATGGAGCAGGCAGCAAGGACAGTCTGTGGGAATCCCCTGGCTGGTAAGTGGGCTTAGCCATTACTGCCATCTCATCTCCCCTACTGAGACTGGAAACTTACTTTCATGAAGCAACTTATAAAAGGAAAGAAAAAAGAAAGTCAACTGTAATGGTGGTGAAGAAACCTAAGAGAGTAATTATTCTTAGCCAAAAACAGCTTTGGATAAAGAGTAAAATACTGCATTGTGCAATGCTCAGATCTAGGAACCAGTGGACTACATATTACAGGAACAAGAGACTCATGAATATGTTTCCCGAAATATTCCAAGCTAAATCTCCTGAATAGTTTTATACATGAATTTTATACTTTTTTTTTTTTTTTTTTTTTGAGATGGAGTCTCGCTCTGTCACCCAGGCTGGAGTGCAGTGGCACGATCTCGGCTCACTGCAAGCTCCGCCTCCCGGGTTCACGCCAATCTCCTGCCTCAGCCTCCCAAGTAGCTGGGACTACAGGCGCCCGCCACCACGCCCGGCTAATTTTTTGTGTTTTTACTAGAGACGGGGTTTCACCACGTTAGCCAGGATGGTCTCGATTTCCTGACCTCGTGATCCACCCGCCTTGGCCTACCAAAGTGCTAGGATTACAGGCGTGAGCCACCGCACCCGGCTGAATTTTATACCTATTTAATCATGAAGGTCTGAACTGGATTATTTCATTTCCATGACGCTTTGCAATATCTTATGGATAATATTAGATAATAAAGTGTTATTTGTAGATTTAGAGAATCTCAGATATCTTTGGATACTTTCAGAATACCAATGATCTAGCTTAAATGTTTAATCATCCTCGATACCACAGAAAACAAAGCAGTTGTTTGTAATCTCCTATGCTAATCAATAGGCATCATTCTCCCAACTTACAAATATTTACACTTCTTTCAGCTACACTTGAAAGATATGCTAAAATAAGTACCAGTTATAGTGTTTTATAAATGCTCTAACAGGAAACATCAATACAATTTATTAACTATTAGCAATAATCAGGCCTCGGATAAACCTCATAGACTACGATAATACAATTAAGACTATGTCTCTACACAAATACAAACAGTGATGATCGTTTAGGACTATTCTGAAATCTCCCACTGAGTTAAAAAACAAAGTCTACGAAACAAAGTAGGAAAGAGTTCCTTGACCACGTAAAACATTTGGCTAGTTTAATAGTTTTGTTTTTAGACTAGAGACACGGTCTCACTTTGTGGCCCAGTCTGGTCTCAAACCCTAGCCTCAAGCAATTCTTCCACTTCGGCCTCCCAAAGTGCTGGGATTATAGGCGTTAGCCACCATGCCTAGCCTAGTTTAATAGTTTTTAAATGCCTAGTTTCTCTGCATTTTAGGTTTCTGGCAAACTCTACAGTAGGTCTTTTTTTTTTTTTTTTGAGATGGAGTCTTGCTCTGTTGCCTAGGCTGGAGTGCAACTGCACAATCTCAGCTCACTGCAACCTTCACCTCCCGGGTTCAAGTGATTCTCCTGCCTCAGTGTCCCAAGTAGCTGGGATTATGGGTGCTTGCCATATTTTTTGTATTTTTAGTACAGACAAAGTTTCACCACATTGGCCAGACTGGTCTCGAACTCCTGACCTCAAGTGATCTGCCTGCCTCTGCCTCCCAAAGTGCTGGGATTACAGGCTTGAGCCATCGCGCCCGGCCTACAGTAGGTCATTAAATTCAATTTAGTGTAAAACATATTGTACGCTCTTTTGATGTAGAATATGCTAAAAATGGTACCTGGTGACTTCAATATCATTGCAAGCCATACTTTCCTAGAATTATAAAAGTGTATTTCAGAAATCCTGCTCAAGGGGAGGGTCTACTGTATACACCTTTTATGTTACTAGGTAAAATTAATGGATACTGAGATTGCACATTTGCCTTTGTTTTGATGATAGATTTGTATTCAAAAGTTTAAAACTGTATGATGTGATCACTTCTAAGGAAGGACTGTGTAATTCTCCGCTTGTTTGAATTCCCAGCACCTGGTTCAGGAAATAATCAAAGCTTTAGTAAGTACTCATTATGATGAACTGCTTCACTGTTCTAGAGTCTTTTACATTTTTCTGTGCACAGACACAAAAGTCCTGGGTCTACTGTACCAATTTAAGGGGGAGGAGCTTATAATTTAAGTACAGACCCTTTTTGGGGGAAGCATGGGTTGGGACATGGAGAAAGGTGTTCTGATGGGACACTGGTTAATATCCGTGATTATCTTTACAGTCAAGTGGCCTACACATAACTGAACTACTTGAAGGGGACTATTTATAAGATTAGCAGCATAGAGGGCCATTTTAATGCCCTAGTCTAGCATCTTTCATTTTAGTTTGTTAAGCTGGGCAAAAGGTATTATATTATTATTATTTTTTTATTGAGACAAGGTCTCGCTCCCATCACCTAACCTGGAGTACAGTGGCACGGTCTTGGCTCACTGTAGCCTTGACTTCCCAGGTTCAGGTGATTCTTCCACCTCTGTCTCCCAAGTAAGCTGGGACTACAGGCACACGCCACCACACCAGCCTAATTTTTGTATTTTTTTTTGTAGAGATGGGGTTTTACCACGTTGCCCAGGCTGGTCTCGAATTCCTGAGCTTGGGCAATCTGTCTCCCTCGGCATCCTAAAGTGCTGAGATTATAGGCATAAGCCACCACACTCAGCCAAAAATGTAGCATTTTAATAAAATATCCAGCAAAAATGTAAACAAATCAAGATCACAGCAGAGAGAAAGCAACATGTATTTTATGATTATTTGAATGGAGCAAAACATCTGAACACACTGTGAAATCAGGAACTATGATTTTTTTTTTTCAAATTTAGGATATGGTTTGGTAGTAGGTGGGAGGGATATGTCACCAAGGAGGAGGTATAAGTTCCCTCTCCGGTGGGAAGTTCAAGAGTGTGGGCAGTCTTCTTTTTTAAGCTAGGTGGTGGATATATGGGTATTCACTGTATTGTTCTCTTACCCCATTCTGTATATCTTAAATATTGCATGTTTTAGGCCGGGTGTGGTGGCCCATGCCTGTAATCCCAGCACTTTGGGAGGCCAAGGCAGGTGGATCATCTGAGGACAGGAGTTCGAGACCAGCCTGGCTAACACAGTGAAACCCCATCTCTACCAAAAATACAAAAATTAGCCAGGCGTGGTGGCAGGCGCCTGTAATCCCAGCTACTCGGGAGGCGGTTCTCATTCTCAAAAAAGTTTGTGTTAAAAAATAAAATGCTGCATCTAATTGCAAGTGCTTTTTTACCAGTATGTGATTGGCATAACAGCAACACATCGAAGTGTCAAAAGTGTAACTCTCCTGCCAAGTGAATTACCTCAATTTCCTGTAACTGCTCCTGATTGGTTGTATACATCTGCTGAACAGAGTCCTCCAACTCTGTGTTCCGATCCAGTAATGTCTTCCCAAGCTCAGCAGCAAGTTGAAGATCTAGCACAACAAATGAATCTTAGAATAATACAAATGATCTCACATCAACAATTTATATAACCCAGTCCTTCAAAAAAGAACATGTAGTTTAAGTCACATCCCAATGGAAGGTGGAGTGGCACAGAAGGAAACCCGAGTTCTACTTAAAATTCAGTTAAACTGACGCCTCCAGCAGGTAATGTATTCTCTTATGTACCCATACTTGTAAGAAGTGAAAAATGGTCATCTACTTTATGGAGATGCAGTTATTTGTTCAGGAATGATCATTCCGCAGTGTTACTTCTAAAATCCTATTTGCTAGTACAATGAATGTATTCATATCCTGACAGTCTACTTTTTTGAATGGACCCTTGAGCCAAGGTATAGGTGGAGCTTTCAAAAATCTTTAAAGTTCCCATGAATTTGCCTGCTGTGAATACAACTGTTAAAGTTTATTGTCATATATCCTGGACTCCTAAGGGGACTAAAATTTATTAAGTCAAGAAAAGGAAAAATACATCAGCATTAAGAACACTGCCCCAGGTCACTCTACTTCTCTTCGTGTCCTTCTGTAAGATGAGCAACTAGAAAAGCAAAACAGAAATGTGGTTTTTGAGGTAATTACATGTCAGTAGCTCATACTTCCATTTAGCACAGAACCATATTTTATTTTAAACCTCATTTTTCAACTCTCTCTATTCTTAGGTATAATGCCCATAAAACAGGATTTGTTTATATTATACTCAACTCCCAGAAATGAAAATTTAGTTAACAATATAAGAAAGGACACTAGTTGTAACATACGTCATTGAAATACTTCTTTGCATAGTAAATCTTATGGAGCAGTCCTTTGATACAGTGGGAAATGCACTGCACTCTGGGCAGGTAAGTCTCAGGCCCAGTTCTATCATTTACCAGAACACTTTCAATATGGTGACTTTAAGGCCCCTATAGTTAGTATTCTTGTTTAGAGAGATGACTGTCTTATCAATATAAGATTGTGAAAATCAAATGAAATAATACATAAAGGAGTACTTTACAAACTAAGTTGCAATACGCACGCAAAGTACTATTAATAGTCATTGATTCACAAATGAATGTTTTTGTTGCCAGGCACTATGCTAAGCATTAGCTATAGAACAGTGAATAAAATGAAGTCCTGCTTTGCTGACATTCCCAGATTAGTGGAGGAAGCCAGACAAATGAGTAACTAAACTCACATACTGTGATAAACAGTATTCATGCATGCATGCATATACTCAATAATATCAGACACTATTCTAGGCACTGGGATGGTGCCCAGGAGCCATAAGGAACTCACATTAAAAAAATATCCCTGCCCTCATGGAGCTTATATTCTACTGGGAGAAACAGCACAATAAAACTTGATAGCGATAAATGCTAAAGAGAAAAAAATAAAGCAAGGAAGAAGTACAGGAGGAGTGTGGATGTGGGAGGCTGAAATTTAAGAACATGTGACCAGGGCCACATTAGAATCAATGTGTGAAGGAACAGAATAAGTGACCCATGTGTATCCATCAGGGAAACAGCACTCCAGGCAGAGGCAAGGCAAGTGCAAAGCACCTGGGAGGAAGCATGACTGAGTCATTAAGGAGGCTGAGGAGGGTGGAGCAGAATGTATTGGGCAGGGAGGGGAGGGGGAAGACTCAAATCAGAGGGGCTCCAAGATGGCCAGTTTGCGGAGGGCCTAACTAAAGAGGTCAAGAGTTTGGCCTTTACTCCAAATGAAGGAATCCAATGGAGGTTTAACAGGATCACTCCGGCTGCTGTTATACAGGGTGAATGGGACAAAGGTGGGAGCAGAGTGACAGAAAGATACTGCAATCGTCTGGGTGAGAGATGATGGTGGCTTGGACCAGGGTGGCAGAGATGAAGATGGGAGAGGAGGGGCAGAATTCTGACATGTTTTGAAAGTAAAGCTAAAGGATTTGTTGACCAATTCAATATAAAGTCTAAAAGATAAAGCGGGGGAGAAAAACCTGGATTTGGTGATAATGAACAAAGGGCTTTCTTTTTCTGTCTCTTTATTAGGCACGGTCTCGCTCTGTTGCCATGCTGGAGTGCAGTGGTGCACTCATGGCTGACTGTAGCCTTGGATTCCTGGGCTCAAGTGATCTTCCTGCCTCAGCCTGCCAAACAGCTGGGACTACAGGCATGCACTACCAAACCCAGCTTACTTACTTACTGATTTATTGTAGAGACAGGGTCTTACAATGCTGCCCAGGATGATCTCAAACTTCTGGCCTCAACACATCCTCCCACATCAGCCTCCCAAAATGTTGGGATTACAGGCATGAGCCACTGTGCCCAGCCTAGGGCCCAATTTAGAAAGGGAGGTCATAAGGAAGGTCTGACAAGACCTTTTAGCTGAAGCTTGAAGGATGAAGAACTTGCCATGAATTTGGCATATTCTACAACCTGACAAGCAGCCAGTATGATAGAAGCATGAGGGATCAGATCATATAGGATTTTATAGCCCATGGTAGGTAAAGTTTAAATTTTATTCTAGGTATGATGGAAAGTAGCCTCAGTTATTGTCATAAAAGTATTATGAAAAAAATTTATCATAAAAACAAGGAAACTCACTACATAATGATTTTTAAACTTAATTTTTAGAGGTTGACAAATAAGGCTTAATGGCTATCCACCACTACTCATAGTAAAACTTAGCATTGAGTAAATGGTAACAACAGCATTAGTTGTTGTAATGTCCACTCAAGTGCATAATTAGTATTCTACTTGGTTAGTTTTCACTCTGGAAAAAGCAGCAAAACCTACCACACCCAACTCCAGATCATTTAAAAACATTTTACACCCATTTAAAATAAAACAGTATACTGTTGGTAGATAGGTGCTAAAATACATTCTCTTGTGATTTCAAAACTAACAATGTCTATTAGTCATTACATTCATTAAGACTTTAGAGGCCAGGTGCAGTGGGTCATGCCTATAATCCCAGCATTTTGGGAGGGTGAACCAGATGGACTGCTTGAGCTCAGAAGTTCGAGACCAGCCAGGGCAACATGGTGAAATTACATCTCTACCAAAAATACAGTGAGGCCCTGTCTCAAAAATAAAAAAATAAAAAATAAAGACTTCCATTAAATCTATGAAATAACTTGTATTTACAAAACACAGAACTTTTACAAATAGCTCAAAGCATTTAAGAGACATTAGTCTTTTTCTTGTCATTATTTATTTATTTTTTTTGAGATGGAGTCTCTCACTCTTGTCACCCAGGCTGGAGGGCAGTGGTGCGATCTCGGCTCACTGCAACCTCTGCCTCCTGGATTCAAGTGATTCTCCTGCCTCAGCCTCCTGAGTAGCTGGGATTACAGGCACCCACCACCACACCTGGCTAATTTTTGTATTGTTAGTAGAGATGGGGTTTCACTATGCTGGCCAGGCTGGTCTCGAAATCCTGACCTCAAGTGATCCGCCCACCGCGGCCTCCCCAAGTGCTGGGGATTATAGGCATGAGCCACTGCCCCCAGCCTACTTTTTGTTTTCTAGAGACATTAGTCTTTATATCTTTAAAGGTATTTAGTCCAGTTTCTCAGATGAGACAGCCTGAAGCACAAAACTGTTAATTGACCTAATCAAGCTCCAAGGTGAGTCACAGATCAAACAGAAACTCTTAGGTCAACAGGTTCTCACTCTCACTCTCATCACGATTCTTTGTTATCTTCATCTGCAGAGTTTTAAGGCAATTGAAAGAGAGGTCCGCAGGCTTCTTTAAGGTAGAGAATACAAATGTTCCCCTTGTTGAGGTACTTAATTTCTTCTACTTGTTTTCACAGATTGCAATGAGAAATTAGAGTTCAACTATTTGGGTTTTTATTGCCTGCTCTGCTAGTGAAAGCACATACAACCCCAGGCAAGTTAATACCCTGTTTTCACCAAATGAAAAAGGAACTATGTATGGCTCAACATGTTCCAGAAAAAATGATTTTGTACTCACAGAGTGTGTAATGTGTATACATAGACCCATATGGAAGCTACCACACTGTATTAAAGACAAAGTATAAAAACATTACCTAGGTATTACTTAAGTCTTTCCTTCTTAAATGTGTGAAGTGGTAATTCCTCACTGGGAAGGCTCAGATTCACCAAAGATGCTCTTAACCAGCAATCAAAGCCTGAGCCAAGGACCGGGTGTGGTGGCTCACACCTGTAATCTCAGCACTTTGGGACGCCAAGGCAGGAGGACTGTTTGAGGCCAAGAGTTCGAGACCAGCATGGGCAACATAGCAAGACCTTGTCTCTTAGCAGGAAAAAAAAAAAAAAGAAAAAAAACAAAACCCAACTGGGCTGAAACCTCTCCCAGAATCCAGACTGTCTTGAGACTATCACCACTTTCATTCAGTTATGGAACTACCTGTGCTACTTAAGAGTAGCCAGGAACCTCTTCCCTGCTCCTGCAGAAAGAGATACCAAGGACAGCACTCTTTAGTAGATAGCAAACAAAAAAGAATTTGAGACTTGTCCTTATCTCAAACCTTATTTCCAGTAAAACAAAGCACCAGCCTGGCTCAGAAACCTGAAGTCTCGATCTCCTAAATATTTATAGGCTGTTAAGGATAGAATTTTAACAAGTCCCAACTACAAGAAAGCTCCTGTGAAGTCACACTGTATAACAGGATATTACTTCATCTGTTAGCTTAAAGACACCGGACTTTGTCTTTAAAAAAAGTTCATTTCCTGTTGAGTAGCAGCTGGCTTCCATAACCAAAAGAGGCCAAAAGCTGGCAGTAAGCCCAAGAAAGTTTTCTAAATAATTAGTGGAGGGAATAGAATATTGAATGTCCCTTATAGTTTTAATTAAGGCACAAAAGAAAAGGAAATAATATAGTTTCGAAGCCTTATACACCTGTTCATCTCTACAGGATTACAAAATGAATTTTCATTAAGAGGGTCTTCTCTAAATCCTATTGAACTGGCCTGGTTTAGGCAACTACTAAAAATACTGTAGATTTATTGCAGGCTTGAGAATTTCAACATATCAATACCTTCATATGTTGAATATTCTTTCACTAATGAGTCTTTGCAGGTAATAATATATTTTTAATGGTGTAAACTGTTAGCTTTAAACAGATACTCAGCTCTATGCTTTAGGCAAAAAATTAGTACTGGCAGCTGTAGTCTGTAGGAGTAATTCACTAACAGTAAGGCTGAAAGTTTTTCCTATTACAAAGTCAAATGCGTCATTTAGTGATGCTTCTGTTTAACTCCTGTTGCCAATGTTACTATAATTGGGAAAGCAGAAAACCTGAATATAAATATCAAGAAAAATGATGTTGTCAGTTTTAATAACCCTCCAAACAGTGATTCAGCAAAATAGTTGTACACAAGGAGGATGTACTCATCCTGCAATTTTAGGATTCCTTTAAACTAAGAGTTCATTTACTGATCCACATAACAGAAACCTGAATCCTTATTCTAAGTTTGCACAGCTCACCAAATGACAATAGCAGCTGGTTTAAAAGAAAATCCAGTCTCTGAAGTCTTTCCACCTTGTTCTCAGGGGCATGTTTCAAAGCAAGCACCATCATTACCTGCACTGAAGGCTCCTGCTGTCCCAGAAAAGATCTTACCCACAGAGATTATTGTCAGTATTCCTACTGAGCCAACTCAGCTCTCTGACAAAAGACAGTCTCTTCATCAAAGAGTTTTGTAACAGCAAAGGGTTTTCTCCTCCTGCCTACACAAAAGCTTTACATGTTTCTAACAAGGTATGAATAGTAGACCAGAGTTTACTGAGGTTAGAAATTTCCAGCAATTTCAATTTAAAAACGGATACCCTAGGAAACTTTGATACAAAGATTCAATCTATTCAGAGCATGGCTTACTACTGCTAAAGGAAAACATTCTATAGTTGTAAGATACTGAGAACAGGATCATTAAAAGTTGTTTTCCAGCCAGGTGCGGTGGTTCACGCCTGTAATCCCAGCACTTTGGGAGGCCGAGGCGGGTAAATCACGAGGTCAGGAGATTGAGACCATCCTGGCTAACATGGGGAAACCCCGTCTCTACTAAAAATACAAAAATTAGCTGGGTGTGGTGGCACGTGTCTGTAATCCCAGCTACTTGGGAGGCTGAGGCAGGAAAATGGCTTGAACGCGGGAGGCGGAGATTGCAGTGAGCCAAGAGCGTGCCACTGCACTCCAGCCTGGGGACAGAGCGAGACTCCACCTCAAAAAAAAAAAAAAAGTTTTAAGCAGTTCTCTCCAAATAAGCCTTGCTCAGTAATAATAATGAGGATGTTAAAAAACGGACAGATGCCTGCACATAAAATCCCACTAGACTTGCTGAATAATCTGTTTAACAGGACAGACCTGCTCCCAAACTTAATTCAGCAGCAAGTGTCTACTGAGGGCCTACAATGTACGAGGCGCTGTAGTGGGCACATCCCATGAGGCGGCACCTCCAGGCTTCTCTAGTGAACAGATTCCTGGAACATTCACTCTATGGGAGTAGGAATCCTACCTATCCACTCATGTGGGGAGGTGCTGTGGCCCCAGGGCCCAGGCGAATACCTGGCAAAGAGCAGATAATACATTTTTGAGAAATGAACAAGTTTTAAAATCTGTTAAAAGTTTAGGAGTTAACATATAACTTAGCAAAACTGGGGAAAGGATACCCTTTTATTCACACTGTAGCCTTTATTCTTTGACAGGCCATATTCACAAGTTACAATTGTTGGAATTTCACATCTTCTACTCGTACTCCATATAGTTGGTTATGACACAGAGGGTTAAGTCAAAGTCCACTGTGATAACGTAACAGCCCTTTGAAAAACACAGAAATGCAACTGGCAGTAAAGAGGTTCAGATATGTGTGTGTGTGTGTGTGTGTGTGTGTGTGTTTTGAGAGGGAGTTTCGTTCTTGTCATCCAGGCTGGAGTGCAATAGCACGATCTCAGCTCACTGCAACTCCGCCTCCCAGTTTCAAGCAATTCTCCTGCCTCAGCCTCCCGAGTAGCTGGGATTACAGGGGCCTGCCACCACACCCACCTAATTTTGTATTTTTAGTGGAGATGGAGTTTCACCATGTTGGCCAGGCTGGTCTCGAATTCCTGGCCTCAGGTTATATGCCCGCCTCGGCCTCCCAAAGTGCTAGGATTACAGGCATGAGTCACTGCGCCCAGCCCAGACCTGTGTTTTTAAGGTTAAACTTGAAGAGCTGATGACTTTATTTTGATCAGAGGTTAAAGAGAATTCCTCGTGTAACCCTGACACGTTGCACTTGCTGCTCGGTAGATTGAAGTGTTACAGCTGTTGTTCCTAACAACCTCCCACAGCGGGAGAATGCAGCGTGGACTAAGGCACCTGATGGAAGAGAGCCATGAAAACAATTCTGTGCGAGTGCTTCAGTGCAGTTCAACAAATATTAAAATCGAGCTTCCAGTATGTGCCAAGTATTATGCTAGATGCTGGAAACACAAGAAAAAAGAACCTGCCCCCTCTATGCCCTTAAAGATTAATGCTTCTTAAATACAGGAAAGAGAAATATTTAGTTGTGATGATACAAATTAAATTATAGGGAAGTACTGCAGTGGTACAGTGGTTGCCTCACAAATCCTGGAGAAACTATCAAACTAGGCCATCAATCCTTACGGGGAAATCTGAAAACAGGTTTGTTAATATGTATAATAAATTTGTCTCTTGGACATAAAGAAGATGGTGCCAAACACTGCACTGCAACCACTAAGTAGCTTGGACTCTGTAAGTGTAATAAAGGTGAATTACTTTGGTTAAAGTGATTGCATGTTAATTTAAGAAATTATCTTCCTCCAAAAGAGGTGCTCATTTTATTTTCCTTTTCTGAGTTATTCAGGTCTACATTCTTTTCTTCTGCCATGTTCAGTGGTTAGCATGAACAAGCAACATGATCATTTAATATTCAACTAAATGAGATGTTAATTTTCATTGCAAGATTAGAGCTGAGAGCATTTACACAGAATTGCAGAAACTGAAGATGCCTGGAAAAATTCCTGAGGATTGTTCAGTACTCAGTATAGCGGTTAAGAACGTTTGCTCTGGAGTCTTAAGGAGAACCCTAGCACTCCCCAACATTACTACCTCTATTGTGTTACTGGGAGAATTAAATGAGCAACTGTGTTATGGGCCTATCAGTGTTAGGCACATAAAAAGTGTTCCCCAACTGCTAGCTCCTGCTATTAGTATAAGAAAAACAGGGGCCCCACTGGCCCCAAAGAGTGGGCTACTCTACGATTGTTCTCTGGAGACACCATCGGCAGGCCTGTTTCTAAGTGAAAGCTGGCGTGCAAACTGAAGAAAAGTGGCAGAGATAGATGCGCTCTTTCTTCTGTCGTTTCAATTGGCATCTGGTGAACTATGCCTAACAGCTTAACGCCCAACTGAAAAAAACTGTAAACTAGGATGGTAAGGAAGAGATGGGGTTTGAGCAGTGACTACAACTCTTCTTCTGAGTGTGTGGGTTCAAAAAACACTCCCTCCCACACTTAGCTTTAGGCAAGCCACTTTACCGTTTTAATCTCCGCTTTCCTCATATGGAAAATGGGATAACAAAAGTGTGTAATTGGATTGTTTGTACCTCAATGGATAAATGCTGGGATGGACGCCCCGTTCTCCATCACGTGCTTATTTCACACTGCGTGCCTGTATCCAAACATCTCATGTACCCCACAAATATATACACCTACCATGTACCCTCAAACATTAATTTTTAAAAAGTTACTGTCTCCTGGAGTTACGGTGCGGAGCGCACAGCTCCCGCTACGCCGCAAAACAACTACCACCTGCAGCAGCCGGCCCTCCACGCTGGCCATGAAAGGCGCTGGGCTAGACAGCCTGCGACGGGGCGGCTTCTCGGGCTATGCCACTTACTGCGGGACACACTGGCTCACCCGGGTCTGCCTCGGAGGAATGCAGTGAGGATTAAACTAGCTAATCCACGGAAAGCGCTTAAAACGGTGCCTGGCTCGTCCCTGGCCCCCACGCGCCTCGGGGCTGATATTCAACTGCGCATTAGCAAGGCCGTGGGCCCCGTGCCGAGGCTTCCTGCGGGCGGGATCCGCGGGCACGGCCGGCCCAGCCGCCAGGTGAGCCTGAGCCCTTCCCGGCACCTGCATCCTCCGCCGCCACAAAAAGCAACTTTTTAACAGTTTCGCAGCGGGGGCCTCCCGGGCCAGGCCGCCGCCCGCCCGCGGGGCGCCCCCGCCCTCACCTTGCTGGAGGTCCTGGTGGTCGTACCACGGCTCGTCCTCCTTCATCTCAAACTCCTCTACCAGGTTTTCCGCCAGCATCTCGGCTGGGTCTTCTAGGGGCAGCGGCCCCCGCCGCCGTCCCGCCTCAGCCGCTGCCCCGGGCTCTTCCCCGGCCCCTCCGCCCTCAGCCAGAGCCGCCCTCGGGCGGGACGCGCCGCCGCCCAGACTCCGCTGCGCCGCCTCAGCCCCGTTCCCGCCGGCGGCCGCCGACCGGCCGGCTGCCTCGACTCGCCTCGCGCCTACCGACGGCCCCAACGGCCGGGCATTACGGTGCGAACGCCTGGAGCCGGAGTCTCACGCAGCCGCCAGTCTTCACGCCGCCGCCGGGCCCAACGTGGCACTTTGGCAGAACCCTCCCCGGCCGGGGATGCGATTCAAACCCCCGGCGGCGCCTCAACCAATCGCGAGCGGGCTGCTGGCCGAGCGGCAGGGACTTCGTCCAATCGCCTCTCTCCAAAGACCGGCGGCTCGCCCGGTATCGAGGGCAAGCAGCCAATGGTGGGTCCGGAATAAACAAAGAAGGCGGGGAAAGAGTGAAGGGGTGCGGCCGAAAGCCCGTCCCCTGATCTGCGCTGTGAGGCTCCTAGGAGGGCGTTCTGGGTTTCGGGCTGGGGAGCTGGCAGAGGCGCGTCTTACCCCTGTGGTGGGTGTCCCGAGGCCGGCGCGTCTGTGGACAGGCAACGCAGGCCGGAGGGCCTAGGACTCCGGCCTCTGAGAGGCGGGCGGTTGTCCAGGGGAGTCCTTCGTGCCGGCGGGAAGCGCAAGGGTGCCGGAAGCCTGAGGTCCGCCGCCCGGCCACCCCTTCTCGCATCTTGACTCTGAGATTTGCTCCGGGTCCGGCGGGGAGACTCGAGGTCGATCGGGAGTTTGGGTTGAGAAAACGCCCACTGAGCGGTAGCTCTTGTCTCCTTGACATCTGAGCCCTGGGAATTAAACTCACGCTACATAAAACGGTGGGCACCAGACCCCCTTGAGAATCTGGGGCGGTGAGGGATGCCCGAAGCTGTCCACTTGGAGGGCGAAAATTGTAAGCAGTGTTGCAACGATTTTTAAAAGGTACCCCTAGACCACAAGTTAAGCATCTGGGGACGTGACATTGCACCTGGAGGGGACAGGCTGCAGCTCCAGCACTTAGTAGCCAGCGAGGCAGAGCACGCTGTCCTCCACCGACATAACCCAGCAAATACTGCTCCTAGGTAAAGCTTTAAGCACCATCTTGCAGACAAAGCACGGAAACTCTTAAGCAGGATGACAGACCTGAAGGTCAATGTTCTCAACCTTGACGTAAAGGTAAAGGTGCAGCTGATGGAAGACAACAGGGCCAATATCTAACTAACTTTGAGCAACGAAACAAAAAAAAATCGAGGTTTAAGTATACAATTGAAAGATTATCTCTAGAACATGAGGTAATAAACTGTTAGAAATTCAGAGAGAGGGAAGAGGTGGAGAGGAGTGTTAAATCCTGATCTATTTTAGAAGTGAGTCGACAGATAATACCTTACATTGATAATCCAATGAATAGTTTCCACAAATATGGAGAGAGCTGCCAGAACTAAAAATGGGAAGCAATTAAGAGTTTTCCGAGGCTGGACACGGTGGCTCACGCCTGTAATCCCAGCATTTTGGGAGGCCGAGGCGGGCGGATCACCTGAGGTCGAGAGTTCGAGGCCAGCCTGACCAACATGGAGAAACCCCATCTCTACTAAAAATACAAAATTAGCTGGGCGTGGTGGCGCATGCCTGTAATCCCAACTACTTGGAAGGCTGAGGCAGGAGAATTGCTTGAAACCCGGGAGGTGGAAGTTGCAGTGAGCCGAGATTGCGCCATTGCACTCCAGCCTGGGCAAAAACTGCGTCTCAAAAACCAAACAAAAAAAAAAAGTTTTCCTAAGAGGAGGAGTGATTTGAGGCTGGGGACTTTGGCTTTTTGTTATAAACCCTTCTGTGATCTTGCTTTTTTAGTTACTTGCACATTAAAAATAAGGGAAATTGTAGGGAAGGAATTATAGACTCAAGCTACTTTTTTTGTCTTTCTGTATAAAAAAAGACTTGGGTAATTTGGAAGGGGGGAAAAACTCATCCTGAATAATTCTTGTGGGTAATAAAATTCAGGGTGTCTCTCTGCCTCCCATCTTTGCTCAAACCAGCATAACCTAACCTCACGCTGATGCTGTATCAAACAGCACTTGACTCCAGGGTTACCTTACACATAGGCTGTAGGCTACTCTGGAGAAGTCTTGCCAAGGACAAGACCTCCCACTGTGGAGTTGTTACCTGAAGTTTTACCCTTCAGTCCTTAAAGGAGACTGCTGAATAGAGTGGAAAGCACAAGGGACCTAGAGTGAGAAAACCTAGAGTTCTCGCCATACTCAGTACCAGCAGAGAAGCCTTTTAGCAAACAGTTTACAGGAAAGATGATTGTTTGCCTTGCTCACAGAGCTATCTGAATCAGAGAGACCCTGAAAGCAAGTATTTTGTGCTCATTTTAAATGTAAGGCTGTGTTCTTGTGACCTATACTGTAGAAGTGCAGGTACCCTTGAGGACCAATTATGAGCATCACAATAAATAATCATAGTAATGGATTATAACCCATTGAATAAAAAGGAAAGAATCCATGAGTCCATACTGACATAAATAAATGGGAGAGAAAAGAAAACTTTCTTACAGTAGGATGCCAAGCAAAAAATGTAGAAGGAATAACACTGTTAGAAAGTAATAATAATAATAAAAGAGGAATGGTAAACTCACAAATCCCTTTCTTCAAAAAGGCAAAATGTTACTGGCACACCTGTAGTCCCAGCTACTTGGGGGGCTGAGGTGAGAGAATTGCTTGAGTCCAGGAGTTTGAGGTTACGATGAGCTATGATAGGTGACAGCAGAGCAAGACCCTGTCTCAAAAAAAAAAAAAAAAAAAAAAAAAAAAAAGGCTGTGTACAGTGGCTCATGCCGTAATCCCAGCTCTTTGGGAGGCTGAGGCAGGCAGATCACCTGAGGTTGGGAGTTCAAGACCAGCCTGGCCAATAAGGTGGCCCATCTCTACTAAAAATACAAAAATTAGCCGGGAGTGGTGGTGCAAGCCTGTAATCCCAGCTACATGGGAGGCCAAGACACAAGAATCCTTTGAACCTTGGAGGCAGAGGTTGCAGTGATCCGAGACCGTGACACTGTACTCCAGCCTGGGCAATAGAGTGAGACTCTGTCTCAAAAAAAAAAAAAAAAAAAGAAAGAAAGAAAAGAAAGTGAGGTCCTGTAAAGCCTCTTCTACTGCCCTAGTTGTCCATCGAGATATTCAGAGTTGAAATAAGATCACTTCAAACAAACTATCTTAATCACTAAAGATAGAACCCTTTGGAAAGATAGCAAGTTGGATTTAGGAATAATTGGCAATGGTGATTTGTGGAAGCTAAAGGGCTAGAATCATGCAGGGGCATTTTTTTTTTTTTTTTTTTTGAGAGAGTCTCACGCTTGTCACCCAGGCTGGAGTGCGATGGCGTGATCTTGGCTCACTGCAACCTCCGCCTCCTGGGTTCAAGTGATTCTCCTGCCTCAGCCTCCCAAGTAGCTGGGATTAAAGGCGCCCACCACCACGCCTGGCTAATTTTTGAATTTTTAATAGAGATGGGGTTTCAGCATGTTGGCCAGGCTGGACTTGAACTCCTGACCTCAGGCAATCCACCAGCCTCAGCCTCCCAAAGTGCTAGGATTACAGGTGTGAGCCACCGTGCACGGCCCCCTTCACGATTCTTATCACTGATTCGCAAGGTTCAAAGTGCCCGCTGTTTGCTCCATCGAAAACAGAAGCTCATTTTGACTTCAAATGCATATTGAAATGTTCTTTAACAATTCTCCATTTTTTTTTTCTTTTTCAGAGTCTCACCATGTGGCCCAGGCTGGAGTGCAGTGACACCATCTCTGCTCACTGTCACCTCCACCTCCCTGGTTCAAGTGATTCTCGTGCCTCAGCCTCCTGAGTAGCTGGAATTACAGGCATGTGCCACCATATTCGGCTAGTTTTTGTGTTTCAAGTAGAGTCAGGGTTTAGCCATGTTGGCCAGGCTGATCTCAAACTCCTGGCCTCAAGTGATCCGCCTGCCTCAGCCTCCCAAAGTGCTAGGATTACAGGTGTGAGCCACCGCGCCCAGTCAACAATTCTCCTTTAAAAAAGAAAAGAAAAGAAAAGAAAGATATGGAGAATTAAAGTTTTTGAGGGTCAGGCGTGGTGGCTCACGCCTGTAATCTCAGCACTTTGGGAGGCCTAGGTGGGCAGATCACGAGGTCAGGAGTTTGAGACCAGCCTGGCCAACATGGTGAAACCACGTCTCTACTAAAAATACAAAAATTAGCTGGGCATGGTGGCGCATGCCTGGAATCCCAGCTACTTGGGAGGCCAAGGCAGGAGAATCACTTGAACCCGGGAGGCAGAGGTTGCAGTGAGCCGAGATCATGCCACCGCACTCCAGCCTGGGCAACAGAGTGAGACTTCCTCTCAAAAAAAATAAATAAGTGAATAAATAAAGTTATTGATAGTTTAAAAAAGCAAAAAAACCCACAAACTTTATGTCTTTTGGTGTGTTATTGGGTTGTTTTTAAGGACACTATTTAAGGAAACTTCTTTTCCCCTGGAAAATCTTGAACAAAAATTGCATTGAAAAACTGGTGTCAGTTTTCTGTGCTAAATTTGGTGAAGTTTCCATTGTTCTTTTAGAGTCTACTCAGTCATGGTTTAGAAGCAATCATAAGTAACCTCTTCAGTGACGTTAATATTATTTGGTTTAGTAGGTTAGTAAATAACCACCCAAGTTGATTCCAAAAGGAGAATTTATGGTGTTCATAATAATTCACCATTATTTAATGAACTTGCCCAGCCTAACTAACCATGGCACCATTTTGCTACTATTTAATTCTTTTTGTTTGTTTGTTTCTTCGTTTATTTTTGAGACAAGATGTCACTCTGTCACCCAGGCTGGAGTACAGTGGCGCTATCACAGCTCACTGAAGCTTCAACCTCCCAGGGCTCAGGTGATCCTCCTACCTCAGCCTCCCTAGTAGCTGGGACTACAGGCATGTGCGACCACATCTGGCTAATTTTTGTATTCTCTGTTGAGACAGGTTTTCACCATGTTGCCCAGGTTGGTCTTGAACTCCTGGGCTCAAACAATCTGCCTGTCTTGGCCTCCCAAAATGCTGGGATTGCAGGCCTGAGTCACCATGCCTGGCCAACTTTATAAGTTTTCTTTATAAAATATGTTGTGATAAATAAGATCAGATTCAGAAATCCTTTGTCTTCGGTTGTAAAGATAAAATGCTCTTGTTCTCTTTTGTTTTATTGCTATAGTAAAGTCATGTAAGGAGAGTTTTTAGGTAGCAATGGGGGCTTTAAAAAAATTGTAAGTGGTGATTTTCAGTTTGATACTTACAGAAATAAGTATTTACTATGATAACAGTAATCTATTTTTAAGGAAAATTTGTATTATTTTAATTATTTTTATGTACAGAAAACTTAACAGTGTACATTTAACCCAGTTTAGTGGCAAGTTCTTTAGCCTTTGCCCTTTCGAGCTTGGCGATACGAGCCACAGACTTAGGACCCAGGACGTTGCCGCCCCAGTGACGGTGGATCTCATAGTATCTGCCATTGTAATTGGGATGACAGTAATCTAAAGGAAAATATTAATGGCTCCTTTTGCAGAAGGAAATAAAGATTTCTACTTCACGCAATATGTAAAAACAAAGAGAAGTTCAGAATGTAGACTTTTTTAAATTTTTAATGTTTTAAATTTTTTTTTTTTTTTTTGAAACAGTGTCTCTGTTGCCCAGGCTAGAGCGCAGTGGCATGATCTTGGCTCATTGCAACCTCCACCTCTCAGTTTCAAGCATTCTCCTGCCTCAGCCTCCTGAGTAGCTGGGATTACCGGCACCTGCCACCACACCCGGCTAATTTTTGTATTTTTAGTAGAGATGGGGTTCCACCATGTTGGCCAGGCTGGTCTCAAACTCTTGACCTCAAGTGATCTGCCCACCTCGGCCTCCCAAAGTGCTGGGATTACAGGCGTGAGCCACTGTGCCTGGCCACGAAGTTCAGACCGTAGAGTTTTTCATAATGCAATTGAAACCTTATATTCTTATGTTTCGGACAGGCTGGGTACTTAACTTAAATCTTTGAAAAAAAAATTGAATTCAACTCTCAGAAAGCTTATGGCCTTTTGCAGAATTATAAGTTTACAAATACCTGCCATGCAACTTAGTGATAGATCAGATTAGAAAGGTGCAGCATGCTTCTTGTTTTAGCACGCCTGAAATAAAACTAAAAGAAACAAGAGTCCCTAGGTTTTGGTAGGCTAAATTTGTGTCTTGGCTTTTGATTCTACTGTCTCCCTTGTTTTTGACTCTTTTAGTAACCAAGCAACCTCTAGCCTCAGTCTTCATTCTCAGGGATGAACTCCTTAGAGTGAAGTCTTCACTGGTAGTTCCCAGCATTTTGAAATCTGAGAATTGCTTTTAAAGTAAAAAATGTTGGCTGGCCTCCACACAATAGTAGTTTTGAAGTGTTTGGGAACTGCATCATGATGAAAACAATCAGATTTGTATTTTTAATCATTATAGCAGAAGCTACAAACATTTTAAGAATACAAGTACACATGTGGACAAAACATTCTTTATTCTATAGACAATGCTTGGTATGCATATGGGTTTGATAACCCATTTTTGATAATTCTAGGACCCTGCCACTCATAGAATTAGAGTCTTCTTTTTTTTTTTTTTTTAATTTGAGACAGGGTCTTGTTCTGTTGCCCAGGCTAAAGCGCAGTGGCGAGATCATAGCTCATTGCAGCCTCAAACTCCTGGGCTCAACCAATCCACCCGCCTCAGCCTCCTGAATAGCTAGGACTACTGATCTGCACCACCACACGTAGCTGAATTATAATCATTCTTGGGTCTACTTGGTGCAAAGTGAAGTGTAGAGACCTTAAATAATTTGGTCATTTGAGCCAAATGCCAACTTCCTCCTTCTGACTTGCCCTCTTTTTCCCTAAGAAATTTGGCAGTGTAGACCGAACTGTCTGCTTAATTCTGTTCCTGGATCTACAAAGTTAAAGCGAGGCCCAAGGATTACTCAAGCAAGTAACATCCTTTGAGTTATCTGAATCTGTGTCTGTTTTCTGACTGAATAAGATGCAGAGACCTGGCTAAATATTCAAGTAAGCCAAGAATAGAACAGAAAGATCATGGTATTCTCTTTAAACTATAGTCAAGATTGAAAGGAAGATGAATCTATGCCTTCCTCTTGCTTGGTTAGCCTTTTCCTGTTTTCTACTTATAAAAATCAAAGGGTAAGACAGACAATAGGCTAGATTTAAGATAGGCCCATACAAGGATCTCAGCAAGGATCAGAATGTGTTATTTCTGTACCCATTGTAGTGATGTCCTTGCTGTCAAAGCTACAGAAGATCAAGAATAAGTCTTCAAATGCAAGTCTGTACTACTGAATGAACAACTTTAAACTAAGATGAGGGACTTATTTTCTTTTTGACTTGAGCAAAAGGCTGTCACCTTGTTGTTCTGTTTCTGTTGTACCCTACCAAGTAAGGAGGATAATAATGGCATAAACATATCTCCTTGACACTAGTTAATCATGTCCAAGCTCTTGGATGAATCCCACTTTATTTTATATATTTTTTTGAGGTGGAGTCTTGCTCTGTCGCCCAGGCTGGACTGTAGTAGTGCCATCTCAGTTCACTGCAACCTCTGCTTCTGGCGTTCAAGCAATTCTCCTGCCTCAGCCTCCCAAGTAGCTGGGACTACAGGTGCATGCCACCACACCCAGGTAATTTTTGTATTTTTGTGGAGATGAGGTTTTGCCCTGTTGGCCAGGCTGAAATCCCACTTTATAAGTTCGAAGAGATAGACAAAAATATAAGTGGAGTCATACTCTATGCAAACTAGGTTTCCTGGCGAGCATCTCAAAAAATATTGAGTGAATAGATAAGGAAGTAAGGTGTTAAATCTGGTGACATACTCACAGCTCGTAGGTTTGAACTCTTATTTGGCTAAAATAAGTACTGGCCAGCCATGTTTTGCCCCCCCATCCACTACTGTGTGCAGTGAATTTTAACCTTTTTTTTTTTTTTTAAACAAAGGGAAGAAGAGTTCCTCTGCATGGAAAATGACACTTTTAAATATCAAACCCATTGCTTGGGCATACTCTATGATGACATTAGGGACTGAAATGCTGAATTCTGTCTTTGGTTTCTACTATGTGAAACTTTTTCTACATCTGTACAAGATTTCAGAAGTGGCCTTTTATCAAGCCCAGGTGAGATGGAATCTTTACTGTCCTTTCACATAGGACAGATCTCCTTCCTTTGAGGGAAAGAGAGATTTTTATTTTTTATTTTACTTTATTTTCTTTTATTTATTTTTTTTGAGACGGAGTCTCACTCTGTTGCCCAGGCTGGAGTGCAGTGGCACGATCTCGGCTCACTGCAAGCTCCGCCTCCTGGGTTCACGCCATCCTTCTGCCTCAGCCTCTCGAGTAGCTGGGACTACAGGCACCCGCCACCACACCCGGCTAATTTTTTGTATTTTTTAGTACAGACAGGGTTTCACTGTGTTAGCCAGGATAGTCTCAATCTCCTGACCTCGTGATCCACCCGCCTCGGCCTCCCAAAGTGCTGGGATTACAGGCGTGAGCCACCGCGCCTGGCCTTTTATTTTATTTTTTGAGACAGAGTTTTGCTCTGTCACCCAGGCTGGAGTGCAGTGCACAATCTCGGTTCACTGCAACCTCCACCTCCCCAATTCAAGTGATTCGCCTGCCTCGGCCTCCCCAATAGCTGCGATTACAGGCCCATGCCACTACGCCCGGCGAATTGTTGTATTTTTAATAGAGACAGGGTTTTGCCATGTTGGCCAGGCTGGTCTCAAACCCATGACTTCAGGTGATCTACCCACTTTGGCCTCCCAAAGTGCTGGGATTACAGGTGTGAGCCATCGCGCCCAGCCGGAAAGAGAGATTTTTAAAAGATTGCTAGTTAAAATGTAAAGGCATTAGAATTTAAAGAATAAGCTTAGGTTGTCTGGAAAATTAATTTATATGGAAAAATCAGTATTATTACTAAGATATCCAGTCTCTGTCCCTCTCTTTTTTTTTTTTTTTTTTCTGAGACTGCTCTGTTGCCCAGGCTGGTATGCAGTGGTGCAATCATAGCTCACTGCAGGCTTGACCTCCCTAGGATCAAGCAATCCTCCTGGCTCAGCTTCCTGAGTAGGATGACAGGTGTGAGCCACCACACCTGGCTATTTTTTTTTTTTTTTTTTTTTAGAAATAGGGGTCTCACTATGTTGTCCAGGCTGGTCTCGAACTCCTGGGCTCAAGCAATCCTCCTGCCTCAGCCTCCCAAACTGTTGGGATTACAGGCATGAGCCACTGTGCCCAGTCCTAAAATATTCTGTTTTGAAAAGGCCCACAGTATTCACAAATTGTGTTGTAACTCATTACCAATTAGGTGGCAGGCTGGAAGAGTTCATGGTTTTAAAACCCTTATATTTTATAATGTTACTCATTTATTACCAGTAATAACATACTAATTAGATTTAATTTGAAATGCCAAACATTGATATTTTAACCTTTCCTAATGAAATTATGTAAAACTATGCCTTGGTGTAAACAGGCCATCAACCTTTGCAGAGGCATGGCCCTGTGTGCTGTTGTTGGAAGGCAGTCTAGCACAAGATTGAAAGCACATGCTATGGGGTCGTCTACCTTGGGTTAGACCCTGGCTCTGTTGTTTATTAGCTAGGCAAGTTGCTTAACTTCTCTGGCTCTCAGTTTTCTCATTTGTAAAGTCAGAGTAATACTTGCCTCAAAGGATTGTTTTTTGTTTGTGTGTTTGTTTGTGATGGGAGTCTTGCTCTGTCACCCAGACTGCAGTGCAGCGGTATGATCACGGTTCACTGCACCTCGACCTCCTAGGCTCAAGCAGTCCTCTTACCTCAGTCTCCAAGTAGCTGGGACTACAGGTGCACACCACCATGCCCAGCTAATTAAATAAAAAAAATTTTTTGGCCGGGCGTGGTGGCTCACGCCTGTAATCCCAGAACTTTGGGAGGCTGAGGTGGGTGGATCACCTGAGGTCAGGATTTGGAGACCAGCCTGGCCAACATGGTGAAACCCCGTCTCTACTCTAATACAAAAATTAGCCAGGCGTGGTGGCATGCGCTTGTAATCCCAGCTACCCAGGAGGCTGAGGCAGGAGAATCACTGGAACTCTGGAGGCAGAGGCCGCAGTGAGCCAAGATTGCTCCACTGCACTCCAGCCTGGGCAACAGAGCAAGACTCTGTCTCAAAAAAAGAGAATTTTTTTTTTTTAATTTTAGAGATAGGGTCTCGCTATGTTGCCCAGCCTGGTCTTGAACTCCTGGGCTCAAGCAATTCTCCTGCCTTGGCCTCCCAAAGTGCTGGGATTACAGACATGAGCCACTGTGCTCGGCTAGGGTTTTTAAGGATTTGATAAAATAATGCACATAAACACTTATACAATGCCTGAATACAAAGTGAATGCAAGCCGGGCGCAGTGGCTTATGCCTGTAATCCCAGCACTTTGGGAGGCCGAAGCCGGCAGATCACGAGGTCAAGAGATCAAGATCATCCTGGCCAACATGGTGAAACCCCGTCTCTACTAAAAATACAAAAATTATTTGGGCGTGGTGGTGCGTGCCTGTAGTCCCAGCTACTTGGGAGGCTGAGGCAGGAGAATCACTTGAACCCGGGAGGTGGAGGTTGCAGTGAGCCGAGATCGTGCCGCTGCACTCTGGGCTGGCGACAGAGCAAGACTCCGTCTAAAAAAAAAAAAAAAAAAAAAACAAAGTGAATGCACATTGGCTTTTGAGTAGTATTTGCTGTTATTAAATTTTTAAGTAGTTCTGAAAACAATGAGCTTTTCTACTGATCACCTTCGGTTACTTCACGTAAGTAAAAAAAAAAAAATCAGGGGTCATTTTTGTCTTGTACTGAGGGCAGTAATTTGTTCTACTACACTGAAACATCCTGTGTGTTTTTTTCTTCCTAAATAATTTTAATGATATGGAATGTTCTTAATGACCTGACTGGATATTTTCCCAACAACTCTAAAGCCAAATGCTGTTCAAGTCATCATATTTCTGTCTTGTACTGTGTCCCTTTCTATGCAGCAGCCTTCCTGCTCCCGTGGTTCCCTTGGAAATACTATCAAGAAGGTGACTGGCTTAGTGGACTTCACCTGGTGGTATCATTATGTGCATTTGATAGCATGCCCACCTGTGTCCAACAAGCCCAATGTAAACTGTTTGCAGAGATTTTCACTAGACATGAAAGTCGGCTTCAGCTTATTAAAATTAACCAAGTGGCATCACTTGTGGGCTCTACCAGTATCCTTTTCTATGGCCTGATCTCTAATAACATGGAAATTTTGCCCCATTTCCAGGCTGTTGCCATCGTCATTGCTTTCCTTGCTGCTGCCAGCCTTTACGCTGGGATGTATCACGTGAGGCGTTTCAAACCTAAAAGAAGCCCCAAAGAGAACCTCCTCTTGGAATCTAAACAGAATCTCGCCTGGACTCCTGTCATTTTATCCGTGAGATAGATCTTGCCCCAGAAATACTTTTACCTTTTTCTGATCATGAATTTCTTTCAAGTCTTTAATTTAACCTTTTTCAGCAACTTCATGATGATCTTTGCAGATATTCTCATTCCCAGAGATGTACTATCTTCTTCTATAAGGAGCATTATGTACGGGGCAGGCTTTATTTGCCCACAGGTATGTAATAGTTCTTTATGTTATTTACTATTATTATAATTATTATACTTATGTTCTCTATGATTTATAATTTGTGATAATTTTTCCTGCAGGGATTAGAGATTTAACTCTTAGCTGGATGATGATATTAGAAACCTGATTTCATCAGTAGTTTGAAAAAGTGACACACAGTTTTTTTTTGTTTGTTTGTTTGAGACAGTCTTGCTCTGTCACCCAAGATGGAGTGCAGTGGTGTGATCTCGGCTCACTGCAACCCTCGCCCTCCCAGGTTCAAGCAATTCTCCTGCCTCAGCCTCCTGAGTAGCTGGGATTATAGGTGCATGACACCACACCTGGCTAACTTTTGTATTTTTGGTAGAGACGGGGTTTCACCATGTTGTTCAGGCTGGTCTCAAACTCCTGACCTCGTGATCAGCCTGCCTCGGCCTCCCAGAGTGCTGGGATTTCAGGCATGAGCCACCGCACCTGGCCGACACACAGTTATTAAAAGACCCATAGATTCAGAGCTCCACATATCATACAAGATTCAGTAGAAACATAATGGAAAAAAGAGACAAGGTCAAGCCCACTGGCCCATGCCTATAATCCCAGCACTTTGGGAGGCCGAGGCGGGTGGATCACTAGAGGTCAGGAGTTCGAGACCAGCCTGGCCAACATGGTGAAACCTTGTCTCTACTAAAAATACAAAAATTAGCCGGGCTTGGTTGCGGGCACCTGTAATCCCAGCTACTCAGGAGGCTGAGGCAGGATAATCGCTTGAACCCAGGAGGCGGAGGTTGCAGTGAGCTGAGATCGCACCACCGTACTCCAGCCTGGGTGACAGAGTAAGACTCCATCTCAAAAAAAAAAAAAAAAAAAAGAGACAAAAGGAAAAAAGGAAAGAGTCCCCAATGAGAACCGAATAATGTGATATTTTAAACATTTTTGCTGTGGAATTTTGTTCCTCTCAGCTTTCTCCTTTAAGCCTCAGCAGAACTATGGAAGAAAACAGCTTCCTGTGAGCGTGTCGTTTTGCTTTATTTGGGTGTTTAAGACTTCTGTGACCATCACATGGAAGAACAGTTAGTTGATCAAGTTTCAAAACACTTGGCTAAAAGCCTGAGTCCTGGAATTTCAGAGCACTATTAAAATTCCATGGTCATGATCATTATTGTAGAGGTCATGTCCTCTTAAAAAAATATACTGGTCTGCTGCTTATACCATTTGGAGAGCTGATATGTTGTTCCCCTTAACCTAAATATGTCCTCTAAAAATATGACTTTATCTTGCCTATGATAAAGGTTTTTCCTGTTTTCACAAATGATAAGCAAAACATCTTAGCAATACTCTTCAGGGAAGAGGTTATTCTAGATAGACTAGTTTTTACTGTTTACCAGCTTTCAAAAATCGTTAAGCCATTTGGGATAGAAATAGTTCTAAAATGTTTTAAGTGTTGCCACAATTTCTTTATTTCTATTTATTTATTTATTTATTTATTTAGAGATGAAGTCTCGCTCTGTCGCCCAGGCTGGAGTGCAGTGGCGCAATCTCGGCTCACTGCAAGTTCCGCCCCCCGGGTTCATGCCATTCTCCTGCCTCAGCCTCCCGAGTAGCTGGGACTACAGGCGCCCGCCACCACGCCCAGCTAATTTCTTTGTATTTTTAGTAGAGATGGGGTTTCACTGTGTTTGCCAGGATGGTCTCAACCTCCTGACCTCGTGATCTGCCCAGCTTGGCCTCCCAAAGTGCTACGATTACAGGTGTGAGCCACCACGCCCGGCCTATCTCTTTATTTTTTTAGAGACAGTGTCATGCCCTGTCACCCAGGCTGGCGTGCAGTGGCACAATCATGGCTCACTGCAGCCTTGATCTCCTGGGCTCAAGCTTTCCTCCTACCTCTGCCTCCTGAGTAGCTGGGATCACAGGCGTGCACCACCATGCCCAGCTAAGTTTTTTATTTTTTGTAGAGACAGTGTTTTTCAAGACCAGCCATGTTGCCCAGGTTGGTCTTGAACTCCTGGTGTCAAGCAGTCCTCCCACCTTGGCTTCCCAAAGTGTTGGGATTGCAGGCATGAGCCACAGTGTCCGGCCCACCACAATTTCTTAAGCAAAGTATATAGAATAGAATTTGCCTGTCTGCTATTATCCCAATGTCTTTATAATTACTGTATGTGCCATAATAATGGTAATCCACAGTTTTGAGTGTTTACCCTGTGCCATGGACCATTGCCAAGTGCATTGTGTACATTACCTGACGTGATCCTCATAACAATCTTGGAGGAAGAGATTCTTATTCTTACAGACGAGAAAAGGGAGATGGTACCTTTAGAGCTGTGTACTTTAAGATTCTGTCTCTAAAATGTACTGTGCTTGCATCATTTATTTAGCAGAGTATATCAAATGGAATTTCATGTCTGGCTTATCAGTATAGTCCATGTACTGTGTATGCATGATAAAATGATGCTCTCCTTTCAAAGCAATTTGAAGTTTGTTTGCTCCTCTGTTTAACCACCCAGAATGGGAAGCTGTTTGAGTTCCTGTCTCTGCTTATTATTTGCTATCATATTCTAGGCTATATATGCTTTCTTACTTTAAATCATGTATAATACTTGCCTATAGTTTATCCTCTTCACCAGGTTAAAAAAAAAATTGTTAAACTCTTATGTAAGCCTGGGTGTGGTGGCTCATGCCTGTAATCCTGGCTTTTTGGGAGGACGAGGCAGGCAGATTGCTTAAGCCCAGGAGTTCAAGACTGGTCTGGGCAACATGGCGAAACCCTGTCTCTACAAAATATACAAAAATTAGCCAGACATACTGGTGTGCTCCTGTAGTCCCAGCTATTCAGGAGGCTGAGGTAGGAGGATCACCTGAGCCTGGGGAGGACAAGGCTGCAGTGAGCCGAAATCACACTTATACACTCCAGCACGGGCAACAGAGTGAGACCCTGTTTGTCTCAAAACCAACAAACAAAAACTCTCGTGTAAAGACAAAGAGTAGGCTGGGCGCAGTGGCTCACGCCTTTAATCCCAGCACTTTGGGAGGCCGAGGCGGGCGGATCACGAGGTCAGGAGATTGAGACCATCCTGGCTAACACGGTGAAACCCCGTCTCTACTAAAAATACAAAAAATTAGCCGAGCATGGTGGCGGGCGCCTGTAGTCCCAGCTACTCTGGAGGCTGAGGCAGGAGAATGGCATGAACCTGGGAGGCGGAGCTTGCAGTGAGCCGAGATCGTACCACTGCACTCCAGCCTGGGCGGCAGACCAGCCTGGGTGGCAGAGTGAGATCTCTGTCTCAAAAAAAAAAAAAAAAAAAAGTAGATTTTTTTTCTCTTAACTCAGCTCAAGAACAACCAGCAAAGGTAGATTTTTTAAAAACAGTTTTGTTGAAATGATTCACATACCATACCTCATTTAAAACATACAATTCAACAAATTTTAATATATTCATGGAGTTGAGCAACCAGCACTACAATCATTTTTAGAACATTTTTATCATTTTGAAAAGAACTAGTCAATTTTTGAGGAGTTGAAATTCTTGAAAGTACAATCTCATTGCACTTTCCCCTCATCCCTTGGTTACCATCAGTCTACATTTTGTCTCTATGGATTTGCTTGTTCTAGACTTTCATATAAATTGAATCATATAATATGTGGTCTTTTGTGACCAGCTTCCTTCACTTAGCATTTTTTTTACACTAGATGTAATTTGATGTACACTTAGCATGTTTTTAAGATTGTAGTATGAGTACTTCATTCCTTTTAATAACTTAATAAGTCATCATATGGCTATAACACATTTTGTTTATCCACTCCTCAGTTGATGAGCATTTGGGTTGTTTCTGCTTTTTGACTATTAACAAGTAATGCTGCCATGAACATTAATGTACAGGATTTTTGCACAGATATATATTTTCATTTCTTTTGGGCATATATCCAGGAGCGGAATAGTTGTGTCTCACATAGTAACTCTATGTTTCACATTTTGCGATACTGACAGACCATTTTCCACAATTGGTGCACTATTTTACATTCCTACCAATAATGTACAACGGGTCCAGTTTTTCCAAATCCTCACCAATACTTGTTATTATCTGTGTTTTTGATTATAGCCATCCTAGTGTGTGTGAATGACATCTCATTGTAGTTTTGATTTGCATTTGCCTGATAGTTAATGATGTTGTGCATCTTTTTATATGCTGTTGGTCATTTGTATATGTTCTTTAGAGAAATGTCTATTCAGGCCAGGCGCGGTGGCTCAAGCCTGTAATCCCAGCACTTTAGGAGACTGAGGCGGGTGGATCACTGGAGGTCAGGAGTTCAAGACCAGCCTGGCCAACATGGCGAAACCCCATCTCTACTAAAAAATACAAAAATTAGCTGGGCGTGGTGGTGGGCTCCTGTAATCCCAGCTACTCGGGTGGCTGAGGCAGGGAGAATTCCTTGAACCCTGGAGGTGGAAGTTGCAGTGAGCCGAGATCATGCCACTGCACTCCAGCCTGGGTGACAGAGTAAGACTGTCTCAAAAGAAAGAAAGAAATAAAGTAAAAGAGAGAAATGTCTATTCAGCCCATTTGCCCAGTTTTTAATAATTAGGTTGTCTTTTTATTTAGTTTACTAATACTCGAGTTGTAATAGTTCTTCATATTAATATATGTTTGATGCAATCTGTTATCAGATATTGTTTGCAAAATTTTTCTCCTGTGGGTTGTCTTTTCACTTTCTTTCTTGATGAGATTGAGAAGTATGAGTCTTCCTACTTTATTCTTCTTTTTCTTTTTTATTTAATTTAATTTTTTTTGAAACAAGAGTTTCAGTCTGTTGCCCAGGATGGAGTTCAGTGTCGCCTTGACCTACACTGCTCACTGTAGCCTCGACATCCTCAGCTGAACCAATCCTCCCACCTCAGCCTCCTGAGTAGCTGGGACTACAGGCATGCGCCACCACTCCCAGCTAATTTTTAAAAATTATTTTTTGTAGAGATGGGGCATCACTATGTTGCCCAGGTTGACCTCAAACTCCTGGTCTCAAGTGATCCTCCTGTCTTGGCCTCCCAAAGTGGTAGGATTATAGTCGTGAACCACTGCACCCAGCCTCGTTCTTCTTTTTCAAGATTGACTTGGCTATTCTGAGTCTCTTGCAAATCTATATACATTTTAGAATCAGTTTGTCAATTTCTACAAATAAGTCAGCTGGAATACTGATAGGGATTGCACTGAATTTGTAGATCAGCTTGAGTAGTATTGCCATATTAATGATGTTAAATCTTCTGATCCATGAACATGGGATGTTTTTCCATCTATTTAGATGTTTAGAAATTTCTTTCAATATTTTATAATTTTCCCCTTCTTTTGTTAAATTTATTCACAAGTATTTATTTGTTTATTTATTATTGATTTATTGAGATGGAGTCTCACTCTGTCTCCCAGGCTGGAGTGCAGTGGCGTGATCTCGGCTCACAGCAACCTCCGCCTCCCAGGTTCAAGCGATTCTCCTACCTCAGCCTCCCGAGTAGCTGGGACTACAGGCATGCACCACCAAGCCCAGCTAATTTTTGTATTTTTAGTAGATATGGGGTTTCACCATGTTGGCCAGGCTGGTCTTGAACTCTTGACCTCAAGTGATCCACCCGCCTCGGCCTCCCTAAGTGCTGAGATTACAGGTGTGAGCCACCATGCCTGGCCTTTTTTTTTTTTTTTTAATCTTTTAGAGACAAGGTCTCACTCTGTCCCCCAGGCTAGAGTGTAGTGGCATGATCATAGCTCACTGCAGCCTCAAACTCCTGGGCTCAAGGAATCCTCCCACCTCAGGTTACTGAGTAGCTAGGATTACAGGCATACACCACCATGCCTGGCTGACTTAATTTCTTGGTAAAGATGGAGTCTCGCTATATTGCTCAGGCTGGTTTTGAACTCCTGGTCTCAAGCAATCTTCCTGCCTCAGCCTCCCAAAGTGCTGGGATTACAGGTATGAGCCACTGTGCCTGGTCATTAACAGGTTTTAATATAAGCTTCTGTTTTTGTTTTTCATGCTTTATTTAATATTTGGAAAAATTTAAGAGTTGAAAGAAAGGCAGGATTTTTCTTGTAGCTTTATTGCAGTATGATTGACCTACAAAAAAAACTGCATGTATTTAAACTGTATAGTTTGATACATTCCAGCATATGTACACACCATGAAACCATCACCACAATTAAGATGGTTAACGTATCTATTATTCCCCAAAGTGCCTTTCTGCTTCTTTGTTAATCCCTTCCTTCCACCCTTCCCTAACCTCCCTAATTCTCAGGCAACTGTCGAGCTACTTTCTATCAGTATAGATTTGTTTACATTTTATAGGTTTTTATATAAGTGGAATCATACAGTAATGTACTATTTTTTGGTCTGGATTCTTTTGGTCATGTTGTGAGTATCCATATTTAATTCCTTTTTATTGCCAAGTAGTATTCTATTATGTGGGTATACCACAATTTGCTTTTTTTTTTTTTTTTAAATAATTCCTCCCCCTCCGCCCACGTTTTTTATCATTTCAACTTTTATTTTAGATTCAGGGAATATATGTGCAGGTTTGTTATGTGGGCGCATTGTGTGATGTTGAGGTTTGGGGTATGATTGATCCTGTCACTCAGGTAGTGAACATAGCACCCAATAGTTAGTTTTTTAACCCTTGCCCCCTGCCTTTCTAGTATTCCCCAGTGTCTATTGTTGCCATCTTTTTGCCATGAGTACCCAATGCTTATCTCCCACTTATAAGAGAGAACATGTGGTATTAGCTTGTCTGTTCCTGTGTTAATTTGCTTTGGATAATGGCCTCCAGCTGCATCCATGTTGCTGCAAAGGACATGATTTCATTCTTTTTATGGCTATGTGATAGTCCATGGTGTATATGTGCCACATTTTGTTTACCCAGTCCACCGTTGGTGGGCACCTAGGCTGATTCCATGTCTTCACTATTGTAAATAGTGCTACAATGAACAGGAGAGTGTATGTGTCTTTTTGGTAGAGCAATTTATTTCCTTTTGGATATAAACCCAGTAATGGGATTGCTGGGTCAAGTGGTAGTTCTGTGTTAGGTAGTTTGAGAAATCTCCAAACTGCTTTCCACAGTGGTTGAACTAATTTACATTGCCATCAACAGCGTATAAGTGTTCCCTTTTCTCTGCAGTCTATCTGTCTGTTGGTTTTTTTTTTTTTACTTTTAGCAATAGCCATTCTGATTAGTATGAGATGGTATCTCATTGTGGTTTTGATTTGCAGTTCTCTGATGATTAGTGATGTTGAGCATTTTTTCATGATTGGCTGCTTATGTCTTTTTTTGAGATGTATCTGTTCATGTCTTTTGCCCACTTTTTAATGCAGTTGTTTGTTTATTGCTTGGTCAATTGCTTAGGTTCCTTATAGATTCTGGATATTAGACCTTTGTCAGGTGCATAGTTTGCAAGTATTTTCTCCCATTCTATAGGTTGTCTGCCTACTCTGTTGATAATTTCTTTTGCTGTGCATAAGCTCTTTGGTTTAATTAGGTCCCACTTGTCAATTTTTGTTTTTGTTGCAATTGCTTCTAAGGATTTAGCAATAAATTATTTCCCAAGGTTGATGTCCAGAATGGTGTTTCCTAGGTTTTCTTTTAGGATTCTTATAGTTTGAAGTCTTACATTCAAATCTTTAATCCATCTTGAGTTAATTTTTATATGTGGTGAAAGGTGCAGTTTCAGTCTTCTGCATATGGCTAGCCAGCTATCCCAGCACCATTTATTGAATAAGGAATCCTTTCCCCATTGCTTATTTTTGTTGATTTTATTGAAGATCAGATGGCTGCAAGAGTACAGCTTTATTTCTCAGTTCTCTGTTCTGTTCCATTGGTCTATGTGGCTGTTTTTGTACCAGTACCATGCTGTTTTGGTTACTGTAGCCTTATAGTACGATTTGAAGTCAGGTAATGTCACTGGCTTTGTTCTCTTTGCTTAGGCTTGCTTTGCTATTTGGGCTCTTTTTGGTTCCATATGAAATTGCAAATAGTTTATTCTAACTCTGTGAAAAATGATGTTGGTAGTTTGATAGGAATAGCATTGAATCTGTAGATTGCTGTGGGCAGTATGGACATTGTAACAATATTGATTCTTCCAATCCATGAGCATGGAATGTTTTTCCATTTGTGTCATATATGATTTTTTTCAGCAGTGTTTTATAGTTCTCCTTGTAGAGATCTTTCACCTCCTTGGTGAGATGAATTCCTAGGTATGTTAATTTTTTCTGTGGCTACTGTAAATAGGATCGCATTCTTGATTTGGTTCTCAGCTTGAACATTATTCATGTAAAGAAATGCCACAGATTTTTGTACATTGATTTTGTATCCTGAAACTTTACTGAAGTCATTTATCAGTTCCAGGAGTCCTTTGGTGGAGTCTTTAGGGTTTTCTATGTATAGAATCATATTGTCACCAAAGACAGATAGTTTGACTTCTTCTCTTCCTATTTGGATGTAATTTCTTTCTTTCTTTTGCTTGATTGCTCTGGCCAGGACTTCCTTCTTTCATCTCTTGATGGACATTTGGGTTGGATCTGGTTTTTGGCTGTTACAAATAAAGCTATGAGCATTTTGTGTCTTTGTATGGATATATGCTTTCCTTGCTCTTGAGTAAATACCTAGGAGTAGAATGGCTGGGTTGTATGGAAGGTAGATGTTTACCTTTCTCTTTACTTTTTTTTTCCTTTTTTTGTTTGAGACAGAGTCTCATTCTGTCGCCCAGGCTGGAGTGCAATGGCGCAATCTCGGCTCACTGCAAGCTCCGCCTCCTGGGTTCATGCCATTCTCCTGCCTCAGCCTCTCGAGTAGCTGAGACTACAGGCTCCCGCCACCACGCCTGGCTAATTTTTTGTATTTTTATTAGAGATGGGGTTTCACCATGTTAGCCAGGATGGTCTCGATCTCCTGACCTCGTGATCCGCCTGCCTCGGCCTCCCAAAGTGCTGGGATTACAGGCGTGAGCCACCACGCCTGGCCGGTATGTAGTATCTTACTGTGTTTTTGATTTACATTTTCCTAATGACTACTAATGATGTTGAGCATCTTTTCATATGCTTACTTGCCATCCATGTATCTTTTTGGTTATTTATTAAAATAATTTGTGTCTTTTTAAATTGAGTAATTAGTCTTCATATTATTGAGTTGTAGGAGTTATTTGTATATTCTAGGCACATGTCTTTTGTCAGATATATGATCAGTAAATACTTTCTCTTAGTCTCTCTTGGTTACTAGTTGTTAAGAGAAGTATAGCCAAAAGATTTTAACAGTCATTTTTCTTAAGCCCTCACAAAAACATAGGACTTTCTATTGATCTCAATAAAAAATTATTATAAAATGGAAATCCAGGTCTGGCCCAATGGCTAACACCTGTAATTCCAGCACTTTGGGAGGCTGAGGCAGGAGGATTGCTTGAAGCCAGGAGTTTGGGACCAGCCTGGGCAACACAGCGAAACCCTGTCTCTACAAAAAATAAAAGAAAATCCAAAGTTGCTTGAAATTTATTCTTAATTTCTAGAGAATTAACACGTGTAAATTATTGTGGTAAAAAATGACAGCTTGGCCAGGCGTGGTGGCTCACGCCTGTAATCCCAGCACTTTGGGAGGCTGAGGTGGGTGGATCATGAGGTCAGGAGTTCAAGACCAGCCTGCCAAGATGGTGAAACACTGTCTCTACTAAAAATACAAAAAATTAGCCGGGCGTGGTGGTGGGTGTCAGTAATCCCAGCTAGTTGGGAGGCTGAGGCAGAGAATTACTTGAACCTGGGAGGTGGAGGTTGCAGTTAGCCGAGACGGTGCCACTGCACTCCAGCCTGGGTGACAGACTCTGCCTCAGACAAAAAAAAAAAATAATGACAGCTCATTGGAATCTGTTGTTCTTGTTATTCATTTGGCTAAGTCTCTTTAACACTTTATTGGATAAAATAATGAAGGGTGAGCACTATGTTTTCATTTTCTCTTTCTCTCTCCGTCCTCCCTCCCTCCCTTTCTCCCTTCCTCTTTCTTTCTTTCTTTCTTCTTTCTTTCTTTCTTTCTTCTTTCTTTCTTTCCTTTTCTTTCTTTCTTACCTTTTCTTTCCTTTTCTTTCTTTCTTTTCTTTCTCTCTCTCTCTTTTTCTTGAGACAGTCTCTCTCTCTCTCTCTCTCTCTCTTTTTCTTGAGACAGTCTCGCTCTGCCACCCAGGCTGGAGTGTGATGGCATGGTCTCAGCTCACTGCAATCTCCGCCTCCCAGATTCAAGCAATTCTCCTGCCTCAACCTCCCAAGTAGCTGGGATTACGGGCATGTGCCACCATGCCTGGCTAATTTTTGTATTTTTAGTAGAAATGGGGTTTCACCATGTTGGCCAGGCTCGTCTCCCAACTACTGACCTCAAGTGATCCACCTGCCTCAGCCTTCCAAAGTGCTGGGATTACAGGCGTGAGCCACCGCACCCAGCCCTCAGGCTGGTTTTCTTTTTGAGGAGTTGAATAAATAAAGGAGAAAAGGATGAATAAATACTCTGTCTCCCTAATAACTGTTGGTATAGGTCTGTCACTCTTCCATATTACACTCCCCAGAGAGGCAGAGGAGTAACTGGGTTAAGAGCATGGATCTGCAGTCTGCCCAGGAGGAGCCTGGCTCTCCACTTACTAGCTGTGCAATCCTAGGTAAGTTACTCAACCTCTCTGTGCCTTAGTTTCCTCATCTGTAAAATGAGGATCAAAATAGTACCTACTGGTCTGGGCACAATGGCTCCCAGTACTTTGGGAGGCTAAGGTGGGAGGGTCACTTGAGCCCAGGAGTTTAAGACCACCCTGGGCAACATAGCGAGACCCTGTCTCTATAAAAAATTTAAAAAAATAGCCAGACATAGTGGCACACACCTGGAGTCCCAGCTACTTGGGAGGCTGAGGTGGGAAAATCGCTTGAGCCCAGGAGGTCAAAGCTGCAGGGAGCCGTGATTGTGCCACTGCACTCCAGCCTGGGTGACAGAGCAAGACCCTGTCTTAAAAAACAACAAAAAAATAGTGCCTACCTAAGGAAATTATTATGAGGGTTAAATGAATTAAAACATCCAAAGTACTTAAAACGGTTCCTGGCACAAAATAAACCCTCTAGAAATGTTAGCTCTTATTATGTACAGCCAACTCAGTGCAGCAGGTATCTATTAGACTTTCACTGTGAGCACAGCACTGCCTTTATCCCTCTGTCTTGATGTAGGCTCCTTTGCCACAGGTTTGCCAACACTTATGTTGGAACACACTGTTGAATGGGGAGCCAAAATCTTTCATCTGTAGAAGGCTTTATTTTAGTTAAAAAAAAAAAAAAAGGCGGTCTTTCTCTTTTCTTTCATGATTTTTGTGATACTACTCATCATTGGCTTATATCTTTTTATATATTGGACACAAGAAAAATAGCTACCAATTATTAAGTGCCTTATATGTTGAGTATGGTGCTAGGTAAGAGAAGAGAAATGGAAGAGAGCAAGAGTGAGAGAGAGAGAGAGAGAGAGAGAGAGAAAGTTTGTCTTGGTGGGGGAAATGCCTCTTAGGTAAAGTAACTTGTCTGTGAAGAAATAGCTGGTAAAAGTGGCAAAGCTGGAATTTAAACCTAGGGACATCTGATTTCAAAATCTTTCACTTTTTAGCCAGACGTGGTGGTGCATGCCTGTGGTCAGCTACTTGGGATGATTGCTTGAGCCCAGAAATTTGAGACCAGGCTGGGCAGCATAGTAAGACCTTGTCTGTAAAAAAAATCTTGCACATTCCACTCTACCACATATTTCTTACATTATTAACTTCTTGTATTTTGTATGTTTATGTACTAGAGATGGAGAAACAGCAGCTGCATTTCAATATGTGGAAATGTGTTCCTTTATAATATTATAATAATATTTAAGAATATAATTGGACTTGTTGGGGTATTTTATATACTTCCTCTTACAGAACTCTAAGAAATGCCTTGGACCACATCAATCACTGATCCATTGTTTTTTAGTATCCAGAAAATGAACTCTTGTTCCTTGAAAGTAGAAAAGTCAGTCAAAAAATCAGTCAGGGTAAAAAAAACCCTTATGTTTATTAAAGAACATCTGTATTCTACTTACATCATTCAAAATTCTCTTCTAACTATAATGCACATACTTTTGGTTAGTGAAAACTTATCAGGGATAAACAATGTGTGCTTTTTTATTGAAAACAAAGAGTATCTTCTGATCTTTGTTAATGTACATATGTATATTTAGCATAAACTTTTCAGTCTAGAACAATGAACTTTTTCACTGATAGCAAGAAATGCAAAAAACCTAAGTCTGAGCTCTTAAAATGAATCTGTTATAATGATAAAAACATATAAAGTTAGGCAGGGCACAGTTAGCAAGGAATGCTAACTCTTGTTTACCCTGATGCTTGATTTTAGGGTAAAAAGTACATTTCAGGCAAGATGTGGTGGCTCACGCCTGTAATCCTAACATTTTGGGAGGCCGAGGCAGACAGATCACTTGAGCCCGAGTTTGAGACCAGCCTGGCCAACATGGTGAAACACTGTCTCTACTAAAAATACAAAAGTTAGCCAGGCACAGTGGTGCTTGCCTGTCATCCCAGCTATTCAGGATGCTGAGGCATGAGAATTGCTTGAACCTGGGAGGCAAAGTTTGCAGTAAGCTAAGATCATGCCACTGCACTTCAACCTGGATGACAGATTTGAGACTCTGTCTCAAAAAAAAAAAAAAGTTACCATTCATAATCAATTTTTGGTATATATGGATAATAATGGCATATCTAAGCAAGATAGTTTTAATTGTGTGTTTCAATTGACACTATAATTCAGAAGCAAATTTATTTATTTATTACATATTTTTTGAGACAGGGTCTTGCTCTGTCACTCAGGTTGGGGTGCAGTGGGTGTGATCATAGATCATTATAGCCTCAACCTCCTGGGCTGAAGCAGTACTCCAACCTGAGCCTCCCTAGTAGCTGGGACTACAGCTGTACATCACCACACCTAGCTAATTTTTGTATTATTTGTAGAGATAGAATTTCACCATGTTGCCCAGGCTGGTCATGAACTCCTGGGCTCAAGTGATCCTTCTACCTTGGCCTTCCAAAGTGTTGGGATTATAGGCATCAGCCACCACACCTGGCCAGCAATTTATTTTGCAATAAGAATGTTTATTTTGTCATCAGCAAGAGTAAGTAAGCTTAATAATGCGTGGAGTTCCATCTTAACACAATGCCATTCTGTTTCCATTTCAGTGCCTTGTACTTATCAGTCAGTCCTGGCTGAAAAAGTTTGATTACCATAAGATCATCTTAATTTCTTTCTATGTAGAAGGAACAGCCTCCATTGTAATGTTACTCCTGGGAAAGCAATACTATTACTGTTTGGCTCTTTATCTCACTATTATCATGTAAGTAAATGCTGGTTCCAGTCTCAAAATTACACTAAATTTTACTATTTGCCCTTTCAAGCAGTGACACATTTTTGATCCGGACTGAGTTTAATATTCATTTCTAGGCAAGGTCATTGTACCTTTTTGACAAATTGTCTGAATGTTAATGGCTTGTTTTATGAAGGAATTTCATACATTAAATTTTGTAGTAAACTTACTTTTTTTTAACCTATTAAAAAATTTACTTGGAAGGCTAAGGTTGGAGGATTGCTTAAGGCCAAGAGTTTGAGACTAGCCTGGGCAACAGAGTAAGACCGCATCTCTATAAAAAATTAAAAAATTTTTTGGTGGCACATGCCTGTAGTCCCAGCTACTCTAGTGGCTGAGGCAGGAGGATCATACTTGAGCCCACGAATTCAAGTCATAGTGAGCTACGACTGCACCACTGCACTCCATCCAGCCTAGGTGACAAGAGTGAGACCCTGTCTCAAAAATATATTTAGTAAATACTGCTGCCACGTATAAAAGACACTGAGCTTCTATTTCTCCTTCAACTCTTCCTCCTATTTCTGCAACCTCTCCTCCTCCCCCAAGCACCCACTTTGCCTCCATCACAGGCATGTCAAATTCTGCAGGTCCAAATCAAAGATCTTGCTGCCAAATCTGCTCTTTTGCCATTATTTGCCATCTCGGGAAATGGCTTTGCCATCTATCTGGTTGCCCAAGTCAGAGACCGAGAAGTTGTCTTTGCCTTTTCTCTCTTCTTTGACACCTAGGTCCAACACACTGTTAATTGTTAGCAGTTTTATCTCCCTAATGTGCCCTGAATCCATCTCTTCTCAGTTCCACTGACATTCCTATAGCTCATTTCTTACATGGAATAGGATACAGTCTTCCCATATGATCCCCTAGTTTATAGTCTCCAGTCTCTCCAACTCCCTCTCTCATATTGCTTCTAGAATAACATGCTCTTCCTTTGCTTAATAATCTTTTTTTTTTTTTTGAGATGGAATCTCACTGTGTCGCCCAGGCTGGAGTGCAGTGGCACGATCTTGGCTCACTGCAAGCTCCGCCTCCCGGGTTCACACGATTCTCCTACCTCAGCCTCCCAAGTACCTTTAATAATCTTAAGTGGCTTCTTATTGCTTTCAGGGTATTTCGAAATGATGACATTATGATGTCTTGTTATATAGTCCCTCTTTATCTTTTCGTCTTCATTTCTTTTTTTTTTTTTTTCTGAGACAGGGTCTTGCTCTGTTGCCCAGGCTAGAGTACAGTGGCACAAATATGGCCCACTCTAACCTCCACCTCCCAGGCTCAGGTGATCCTCCCACCTCATCCTCCTAAATAGCTGGGACTACAGATGTGTACTACCATGCCCAGCTTAATTTTTATTTTTTGTAGAGATGGGTTTTTGCCATGTTGCCCAGGCTGGTGTTGAACTCCTGGGCTCAAGCGATCTGCTCACCTTGGCATCCCAAAGTGCTGGGATTACAGGTGTGAGCCACTGTGCCCAGCCTTCATCTTCATTTCTTGTTACTCCTCAACTTACACTGTACTCTCTGCCATACAGAAATACTTTGCAGTTCCTGGTTCAGACACCTCTGTGTCTAGAAGATGCAGTTTCCTGTGCCTGGAAAGCTCTTCCCCATTTCTTGCTTGGCCCTGTCCTCACGTGTCTTAGGCCACAGTTCGGGCATGTGCTTCTCTGGGAAGCCTTCCCTGATTTCCTCATCTGGATTAGGTGGCCCTCCTATATGACTCCAGTGCCCTATGCTTACTTCTGCTGTGGTGCTTTTCCTCTACCTGCGACTATCTGTAGTCCCCACTGGATTGAGTTTATTGTGAATAGGGTCTAGTCTCTTACCACTGCGGCCCATTACCTACTGCAGTTCCTGCAAATAGTTGGTCCTTAGAAAATGTGTTTTGGGCCAGGCACAGTGGCTCATGCCTATACTTCCAGCACTTTGGGAGGCTGAGGTGGGAGGATCACTTGAGCCCAGGAGTTCAAGACCAGCCTGGGAAACATGGCAAAACCCTGTCTCTACACAAAATAAAAATTTAGCCAGGTGTGGTGGTGCACTCCTGTAGTCTCAGATATTCAGGAGGCTGAAGTGGGAGGATCACCTGAGCCCAAGAGGTGGAGGCTGCAGTGAGCTGAAATCATGCTACTGCACTCCAGCCTGGACAACAGAGTGAGTCCCTGTCTCAAAAAAGAAAAGAAAAGAAAAGATAATGTTTTTGTTTTTGTTTTTTGTTTTATTTGAGATGGAGTCTCACTCTGTTGTCCAGGAGTGCAGTGGCGTGATCTCGGCTCACTGCAACCTCCACCTCCCAGGTTCAAGCAATTCTCCTGCCTCAGCCTCCCGAGTAGCTGGGACTACAGGCACCAGCCACCATGCCTGGCTAATTTTTGTATTTTTAGTAGAGACGGGGTTTCACCATGTTGGCCAGGCTGGTCTTAAACTCCTGACTTCAAGTGATCCACCCACCTCGTCCTCCCAAAGTGTAGGATTACAGGCATGAGTCACTCATTTTGAGTGAATGAATTAATACATTCTATTCCAGGTCCCTGCTGGAACAACTTGAGAAAATTTTCATGAAGACATATTTGCATTTTGAACAAACTGGTAGTGGAGACTGTAATAATTGACTCAAATGATTGAATCCCTATGAAACTTCAAGACATTAGAACCCCATGCAGATAACTATTCTATAAGTCTGTAAGGGTGGCCCTGGCTGTATAATATGTAAAATGATAGTTTATAGTAATTTTTAGAATGAATATTTTTGCTTTTTCTTCACTTAAACCATCCCCCTCATTTTTATTCTTCTATCATAATTAAAATGCTATATGCCCTTTCTCAGTTCTTAATGTATCCTATTTCTGATATCAAGAGAAAGATGTCTGTGTGATTAATTTCCCTGGCACTTCCTGTCCTTTAGAATCTATTAATAATTTAAGCAGATTAAATGAGTTTAGTCATTTGGAATGAGGAAGAAGCATAAAAATCATTTTTAAAATTCCCAAGTGAAAGTAGTTATTTCACTTTTAAAAGAGAATTATATATTCATAGATATATAATATTTGGGAGGATAGAAGGGTATGCCTAATATAGCTTTACTTTTATAGTATATCATTTCCTTTTATCTTCTTGCAAATCAAATGTCAACTTTCATTTTATTCTTTTTTAACAAAAGCTGTGCCTCCTAGTTGTAAAATTTTCATATGTGTTTTAACATTTTTTCTAGGGTTATCGTGTGAGCTTCGGTTTCCTTGTTTACCCTGCCACTAGCTGACATGGTTGATGCAGATTTACTAAAGTTTAATCAGCAGTAAGTATACTTTTTCAAATGTTAGCTACAAAAATATCACATGTAGGCAGGACCTATCAGAGTCTCCATATCTCAGTTATATTGCCACTACAAATCACATATCTGAAAGACAATCATAAGAGGCATTGCTAGGAACCAGGGGACAGAATATAATCAGATATATTCATGCTTGTTTGCCCTGGGCAACTTTTCCCCATTTCTAAAACGACATCACAGTTTTTCATTTCTCAGGTTCACACAGCCAATATTACAACAGGGTTAAATATCAGAAAGCAAAGTGAAATCTCAGTTAGCTGTATGTTCTACATATGGCAATATGCTTTATTACATGGGACGATTAGGTAAAATGACCTTTACTCTGTGACATTGCAAGAATTAAAATTAAAAATCAAGGTCCATCTTATCCTTTCTTAGCTGAAAAAGCCTAAGCTGATGATGAGAGGTTCTGTTCTTTGGTATGATTGTAAGCACTTTAGATCAGCTATAAAGTGTATTTGATTGGCAAATATTTTCTCATACGTGTCCTATTTTGCAGATTAGAGAGAAATGTATTATTTTAAGACAGAGGCACATTGTTTTTTTTTTTTTTTTTAGATGGAGTCTTGCTCTGTCGCCCAGGCTGGAGTACAGTGGTGCAATCTTGGCTCACTGCCACCTCTGCCTCCCAGGTTCAAGCGATTGAGTAGCTGGGATTACAGGCACGTGCTACCACGCCTGGCTAATTTTTTTGTATTTTTAGTAGAGACGGGGTTTCATCATGTTGGTCAGGCTGGTCTCAAACTCCTGACCTGATGATCCACCCACCTTGGCCTCCCAAAGTGCTGGGATTACAGGCATGAGCTACTGCGCCCGGCCAGACAGAGGCACATTCTTTATTAGTTCTGTCAAAACATTTATGCTGCAAAACCTCTTTTGTTTGTTTGTTTGTTTTCAAGACAGGGTCTTGCTCTGTTGCTCAGGCTGAAGTGTGGTGGTGTGATCATAGCTCATTTCAGCCTCAAACTCCTGGGCTCAGGAGATCCTGCTGCCTCAGTCTCCTGAGTAGCTAGGACTATATAGGTGCACACTACCAGGCCCAGCTAATTTTTAAATATATATATGTTGTAGAGATGAGGATCTCGCTATGTTGCCAAAGCTAGTCCTGAACTCCTGGTCTCAATCGATCCTTCTGCTTGGCCTCCCAAAAGTGCTGGGATTATGGATGTGAACCACTTTTATTTTTAATGCAAATAATAAAATAGGGCGCCCAGCCCCCTCTTTTATTTTTAATGCAAATTAAATTGAGGAAAGATTTGCCAGCTACCTGGATTTCTCTAATTCCTTTCCTGTTGCAGAGTTTTGTTGCTAAGTTCATATTTGGGGTGATAGGCAAGGTGGTGAGCTCCTTACAGTCCAGGGCGCTATCTTCACTTTTGTCTCCTTTGTACCTGGAAAACTGACTGGCTCAAAACTCCTTCTGTTGAATGAATACATAAACAAGCAACAACTTCAGTAAACATTTTTCACCTTTCAAATTCCTTTTGAATTAGATAGGTTACAAATAAATAAAATGTCTTGAACAGTGAGAAAGGGAAAGGCATTAACATTTACCAAATGCCAATGTCCAAATGAGCTTGTATGACTGTTTGCTCATTCAGGTCTTGCAGCAGCCTTGAGTGGTAGACATTATGGACTTGACAAATATTTATCGATTTATTCTTTTGTGTCAGGCAATGTGGTAAATGCTGAGGATTCAATACAGTGGGTCTTGTAATGAACTCTCCAAGTTATCTGATGCTCTTCCTTCTCTCTAAAACAGGGGTCTCCAACCCCTAGGCTACAGGCCAGTACCGGTCTGTAATAATATTAGAAATAAAGTGCATAATAAATGTAATGCACTTGAATCATCTCAAAACCAACCCCCCTGGTCCGTGGAAAAATTGTCTTCCATGAAACTGGTCCCTGGTGCCAAAATGGTTGGAGACCATGGCTCTAAAATGTACTTATTCACATGTGCGCAGTAGGTTTGTGACCAAATGGCTACTCTTGAGGACACCTGTACTTTTCTACTCCCATGATTCAGTGTATCATTACCAAGGGTCAGTGTTTTTTAATTCAAATCTCTTAATGTCAGACGTACTTGTTACTGCAATTGCAAAATTTAATTGTACTTATATTTTATAAACAGGAAATATATACGTGAAATGAAAGTTACTTTTATGAAAATTAAGTTGAATGCTTTAGGAAGACTCGATATTGAGTTGTAGGGTCAAGCATTGTGGCTCACGCCTGTAATCCCAGCACTTTGAGAGGCTGAGACAGGAGGATTGCTCAAGGCCAGAAGTTTGAGACCAGCCTAGGCAACATACAAAAGAAGAAGGAGAAGGAGAAGAGAAAAAAATTGAGTTGTAAACAATTACTATCACGTTTGATACAGTGGAAACTAAATGTTTTGAGGGGAAAGTCAAAGAAGTCTAAAGATATTTTGTACTGAGTTTGCTTCATAAGTGACTTGAGGTTCTCTTTATAATTGACAGTAGAAACTGTCTATCATGTAATATGGATCCTGTTTATACAAGAAAGATGGCACAGCACTTTCTTTTTTTTTTCTTTTTTTTTTTTTTTTTTGAGATGGAGTCTTGCTCTGTGGCCCAGGCTGGAGTGCAGTGGCACGATCTCTGCTCACCGCAAGCTCCGCCTCCTGGGTTCACACCATTCTCCTGCCTCAGCCTCCCAAGTAGCTGGGACTACAGGTGCCCGCCACCATGCCCGGCTAATTTTTTGTATTTTTAGTAGAGACGGGGTTTCACCATGTTAGCCAGGATGTTCTCGATCTCCTGACCTCGTGATCCACCCGCCTCAGCCTCCCAAAGTGCTGGGATTACAGGCGTGAGCCACCGCGCCCAGCCGGCCCAGCACTTTCATCAGTGGACATATACTCAGCGAAAAACCCAAAGAAAAGATTTATGAATGAGTATAGTTAAGTTAAAATGGAATGGTTACTGTCTCTTCTTTTAAAAATGATTTTTTTGCTTGAGCCAACTGTCTCACTAATCATGTCAGAGAAGACAAAAACCAGTGAGCAAAACCGGACATAGCCTCTGTCCTTGTGGTACTTATAGTCTAGTTGGGGAGATAGACAGCAATTGTATTGTCAGACAATCAAAGTTATCCCCATTTTCAAGAAACTAAGACCTTGCAGAAATTAATGTTCCCAATGTTCTGGTTAATGTAACCAGCAGACTGAAGAACAGACAATCAAACCCAAGCTCTTACCATCAAATTAAATTTCCTCTAATTCTCAGACCTTGCCTCTCTTTTATTTTTTTCCCTCCCTTTCTTCTTTTTTCTCCTTCCTGTTTTCTTTTTTCTCTTCCTGAGTTGCAAGGTTTCCATCATTAGTTGATATGTGACAAGATTTCAGTTTATTCAGTCAATGCACTTGATTTATTTTATGTGACCTGATTATTTAAAAAAGTTATATGGAGGATTCTTATCAGGAATACATTAAAGTAGTCCTTAATAAAACTTGGTCAAAAAAACTTAGGCATGAATCCCAGTTTTACCATTTACTAGCTGTGTGACTGTGGATGAGTTAATCTGCTTTCCCATCTCTAAAACAGAGCTGGTAATATCTCACTCATGGGATTGTCATGGGATTTAGATGAAGTAATAAGAGCCCATAACAGAGTACAGGGCACAAATAGCGTTCACTGCATAGGCCTGTAAGAGGTGAGCTGTGTCTTCCCTTTGGATCTTAGTTTCTTCATCTAAGAGTTAGGTTCTGCTAGGTATGGTGTCTCACACCTATAATCCCAACACTTTGGGAGGCCAGGGTGGGAGGATCGTTTGAGTCCAGGAGATCGAGACCAGCCTGGGAAACGTAGAGAGACCCCATCCCGCCCAAAAATACAAAAATTAGCCAGGCATGGTGGTGCATGCCAGCAGTCCCAGCTGAGGCTGAGGTGGGAGGATCGCTTGGGCCTGGAAGTTCAAGGCTGCAGCAAGCTGAGATTGTGCTACTGCACTCCAGCCTGGGAGACAGAGTGAGACCCTGTCTTAAAAAAAAAAAAAAAAGTTAGGTTCTGGCTGGGCGCCATGGCTCATGACTATAATAATCCCAGTACTTTTGGGAGGCCAAGTTGGGAGGATGGCTTGAGGCCAAGAGTTCAAGACCAACCTGGGCAACATGGCAAGACCCTGTCTCTAAAAAAAAAAAAAAAAAAAAAGAGTTAAGTTTTTCCCACCATGGCACATGTATACCTGCGTAACAAACCTGCATGTTCAGCACATGTATCCCAGAACTTAAAGTAAAATAAAAAAAAATTTAAAAACAGTTAGGTTTTTCTAGTTTTATAATCCTTTATAACTAAAAGGTTAATATTTTATAATACTATACTATTTTTATTGTTGTCTACTTAGGATTAAGGAAGACTTCATACACAAAGAGATTCCTGATTCAAATTGTATATATGGATATATATATATATATACACACACACACGTAGTTCGTATGTGATATAGACCCATGCTATTTTTGTCTGTTCCAGGTCACCCCTTCCTTCAGTGGTTTTTGGCATTAATGCTTTGTTTACCAAATCTGCCCAGTCTTTAGCGCCCATGGTGATACTCTCTAGGCTAAACCAGTATGAATATGGAAACACAAATAGCAGGTAAAGTAAAAAAAAAAAAAAAAAAAAAAAGCTCTTGAAATAATGTAAAAGAAACATGAAAGCAAACACAGCCTTTTACGTTAATTACTAAGCAATTATCTTGACCTTTGTATATTATTAGTCACTAACTTGTATCTTGAGTAAGGTATAATAAAAAGTATTAGTATCAAATGGACTTTCATAGGAGTATCTTTAAGTATCTTCTTTAAATTATGTACATACTAAATGTCTTCACACTAAGCTACATATTAATTACTTTATCTGAGTTATTCATTCATTTACTATTTCATTTCACAAATGCTTTTGAGTACCTGCGATTATAGTCCAGGTACAAAAGTCCTTTGAATACAGGATGAATACAAACCTTCTAAGGGGCCATACAGATTACACAAAACTGTGATAAGGGACCACCAGAAGTATAATTGGACTGCAGTAATTCAGAGAAGAGATTCCTACCTGGTCTGCCTACGGTCAGAGTGTACTTCACAGAAGAGGGTTTCTTCAGCTGAGTTTTGGAGGCTGAGTGGGATTTTTCTCCTGAACATGGAGGAATGTCATTCCAAGTAAAGAAAACAGCACAGCAAATATCTGGAAGCATGTGTGAACTTGCCATAAGCTATTCATTTATTCATCCAATAAATATTGAGATCCTACCAAGTGCTGAGCTCTGTGATATGGCAGTGAGGCGTAGCAGTAAACAAAACAGCAAAAATCTCTGCCCTCACAGAGCTTACATTCTAATGGGAGGGAGGCAGACCAAGAAATGAAATAAGTAAAATATATAGTATGTTAGATGGTTATGAACTCTCTGGTAAGAAACAAAGCAAGAAAGAAAATAGGAAGGGTTGGGGGAAGCTGCATTTTTTTTTTTTTTTTTTAATTTAGAGACAGGGTCTCACTCTGTCGCCCAGGCTGGTGTGTAGTAGTGTGATCATAGCTCACTGCAGCCTTGAACTTCCAGGCTGAAGTGATCTCCTGCCTCAGCCTCCTAAGCAGCTGGGACTACAGGCACGTGCCTCCATGCCCTGCTAATTTTTAAAAGTTTTTAGGAGAGGCGTGGTCTCGCTGTGTTGCCCAGGCTTGTCTTGAACTCCTGGACTCAAGCGATCCTCCTGCCTTGGCCTCCCAAAGCACTAGGATTACAGGTGTGAGCCACTGTGCACAGCTAAAGCTGCATTTTTAATTAGAGTGATGGGGAAGACCTCACGAAGAAGGTGACATTTGAATAAAGACCTGAAGGAAGATGGCAGGGAACCAGGGAGGCTCTCTCAGGGAAGAATGTTCCTGGGAGAGAGCACAGCAAGTGCAAAGGCCCAGAGGTGCAGTGTGCCTGGCATTCTGGCTGGCAAGGAGGCCAGCATGGCTGGAGCAAAGTAAGCAGGAGGGAGGGAGGCAGGAATGGGGAAGGAGGCCAGATTGCATAGGGCCTTGCAGCCCTGTTTGTTACTTTGATTTCACCGTAAGGTGAAGGAGATGGTGAAATAGTGAAGGATTAACTGACTGACTTAATAGACTTTGTTTTTCAAAGCAGTTTTAGATTCACAATGAAATTGAGCAGAAAGTATACAGTTTCCATATACCCCTGTCCCCGCACATGCACAGCCTCCCCCATTGTCAACATCCCCCACCAGAGTGTTACCTTTGTTACAATCGAAGAACCTACACTGACACATTATTAGAACCCAAATTCCATAGTTCACATTATGGTTCATTCTTTGTGTTGTGCATTCTGTGGGTTTGGGCAAATGTATAATGACATGCATCTATGATTGTAGTATCATAAGGAATAGTTTCACTGCCCAAAATATCCCCTGTGCTCTACCTATTCATCCTTCCCTCCACACTGACCCCTGGCAACCAGTGATCTTTTTACTGTCTCCATAGTTTTGCCTTTTCTAAAATGTTATCTAGTTGAAATCATATAGTATGTTATCTTTTCATATAGGCTTCTTGCACTTAATAATATGCAATTTAAGTTTCTGGTAGGTCTTTTTATGCCTTGATAGCTCATTTCTTTTTAGTGATGAATAATATCCATTGTCTGGATGACCCACAGTTTATCCATTCACCTACTGAAGAGCATCTTGGTTGCTTCCAAATTTTGGCAGTTATGAATAAATCTGCTGTAAATATCTATGTACAGGTTTTTGTGTAGACATAAGATTTCATTTCATTTACGTAAATGCCAAGGAGCATGATGGCTGGATCACATGGTAAAAGTATGTTTGCTTTGGTAGGAAACTGCCAAACTGTCTTCCAAAGTGGCTATACTATTTTGCATTCCCACCATCAATGAATGAGAGTTCCTGTTGCTCCATATTTATGCCAGTATTTAATGTTGTCAATCTTTTGGGTTTGGGCCCATCTAATAGGTGTGTAGTGGTATGTCATTGTTTTAAATTTGTAATTCCCTGATGACATATGAGCATCTTTTCATATACTTATTTGCTATCTGTATATCTTCTTTGGTAAGGTGTCTATTCAGGTCTTTTGCCCTTTTTTAAACCAAGTTGTTTGTTTTCTTATTGTTGAACTTTAAGAATTTTTAGTATATTTTGGATAATAGTCCTTTTTCAGATCCTGCTTTTGCTAATAGTTTTTCCCATCTGTGGCTTGTCTTCTCGTTCTCTTGACAGTATCTTTCACAGAGCAGCAGTTTTTTTAAGTTTCGCTTATCAGTTCTTTCTTTCATTGACCATGCCTTTTGTGCTGCTGTATCTAAAAAGCCATCAACATCCCCAAGGTCACCTAGATTTTCTCCTGTGTTATTTTCTAGGAGTTTTCTAGTTTTGCATTTTATGTTTAGGTCTGTAATCCATTTTGACTTAATTTTTGTGAAGGGTATATGGTTTGGGTCTAGATTCATTTTTTTGGCATGTGGATATTCATTATTCCTGCACTCTTTGTTGGAGACTATCTTTCCTAATTGTATTGCCTCTGCTCCTTTGTCGAAGATCAGTTGACTATATTTTTATGGGTCTATTTTGAACAATAGAACTAAATAGTCCTATTGTTCTATTCTTTCATCAACACCACACTTCTTGATTACTGTAGCTTTATAGTAAGTGTTGAAGTTGGGTGTGTCAGTCTTCTGACTTTGTTCTTTTCTTTCCATATTGTCTTGGCTATTCTGGGTCTTTTGCCTCTCCATATAAACTGTAGAACAAATTTGTCAGTATCCAAAAAATAACTTATGGGGATTTTGACAGGGATTGCATTGAATATATAGATCAAAGAAGAGCTGATACATTAGAATATTGAGTCTTCTTATCTACGAACATGGACTATCTTTCCATTTATTTTGATCTTCTTTTATTTCTTTGATTTTTTTTTTTTTTTTTTTTTTTTAGACGGAGTTTCGCTCTTGTCACCCAGGCCGGAGTGCAATGGCATGATCTCAGCTCACCGCAACCTCTGCCTCCCGGGTTCAAGCAATTCTCCTGCCTCAGCCTCCCAAGTAGCTGGGACTACAGGCATGCGCCACCACACCTGGCTAATTTTTGTATTTTTAGTAGAGATGGGGTTTCACCATCTTGGCCAGGCTGGTTTCGAACTCCTGACCTCATGATCCACCCGCCTTGGCCTCCCAAAGTGCTGGGATTACAGGCGTGAGCCATTGCGCCTGGCCTGATTTCTTTGATTGATTGATTGATTTTTAGAGATAGGGCCTCATTCTATTGCCCACACTGGAGTGCACTGGTATGATCATAGCTTACTGCAACCTCAAGCTCCTGGGCTCAAGTGATCCTCCCATCTCAGCCTCCCAAGTAGCTGGGACCACAGGTGTGCACCACCATGCCCAGCTAAACTTTTTTTAGAGATGGGGTCTTGCTATGTTGCCGAGGCTGGTCTCAGACTCCTGGCCTCAAGTGTTCCTCCCACCTGAGCCTCCCAAAGCACTGGGATTACAAGCTTGAGCCATGCCCAGGCTGATTTCTTTAATTAGAATTTGTAGCTTTCCTTATATGGATCTTGTACTTATTTTGTTAGACTTATACTGAACTATTTCATTGGAGGGTGCTAATGTAAATGGTATTGTGTTTTTACTTTAAAATCTACTTGTTTATGGCTTGCATATAAGAAATAGATTGACCTTTGTATGTTAATCTTGTATTTTGCAACCTTGTTATAATTGCTTATTAGTTCCAGGAGAAAGTTTTTTTTTGTTTATTATTTTGGGTTTTCTACATAGAAAAGGATATTGTTTGTTTTTGAGACAGAGTCTTGCACTGTCACCCAGGTTGGAGTGCAGTGGTGTGATCTCAGCTCTGTACAACCTCTGCCTCCCGGGTTCAAGAGATTCTCTTGCCTCAGCCTCCCAAATAGCTGGAATTACAGGTGCCTGCCACCACACCCAGCTAATTTTTGTATTTTTAGTAGAGATGGGGTTTCACCATGTTGGCCAGGCTGATCTCAAACTCGTGACCTCAGATGAGGTAATCTGCCCACCTCAGCCTCCCAAAGTGCTGGGATTACAGGTGTGAGCCACTGCACCAAGCCAGATTTTTTTTTTAAGTTTTTCTTACAACTTTTCCTCCATTCTTTTATTTATGAACATTTTCTTTTCTTTTCTTTTCTTTTCTTTTTTTTTTTTTGAGACCGAGTTTCGCTTTTGTTGCCCAGGCTGGAGTGCAATGGCGCGATCTCGGCTCACCGCAACCTCTGCCTCCCAGGTTCAAGCAATTCTCCTGCCTCAGCCTCCTGAGTAGGTGGGATTACAGGCATGCGCCACCACATCTGGCTAATTTTGTATTTTTAATAGAGACGGGGTTTCTCCATGTTGGTCCGGCTGGTCTCGAACTCATGACCTCAGGTGATCCACCCACCTTGGCCTCCCAAAGTGCTGGGACTACAGGCGTGAGCCACCATGCTGGGCCAAACATTTTCAAATATACAAAAAAGTTTTAAAAGTTACACAGTAATCTACATTCAACTATTTATAACCTACTGTATTAATTTTATCATGTATTAATTAATGTATCCATCCTTCTGTCAATTAAACCATCTTATTTTCCTCACAACTTTTTATTATAAAATTTTCCAAATATAAAAAAAGTTTAAAGAAAATTACAGAGAAAATACATGCATATACCCACTTCTTAGATTCATCAATTGCTGACATTTTACCATATTTGGTTTATCTGTATCTCTGTGTGTATGCATATTCTGTTCTCTGGACTATTTATTTTTATTTTCTATTTTTATTTTTAGAGATGGGATTCTGCTTTGTCACCCAGGCTGAGAGTGAAGTGGTACAATCATAGCTCATTGCAGCCTCAAACTTATTTATTTACTTTTTTAGAGATGGGGTCTTGCTGTGTTGTTCAGGCTGATCTCCAACTTCTGGCCTCAAGTGATCCTCCCACCTCAGTCTCCCTAGTTGCTGGGATTACAGGTGTGAGCCACTGTGCCCGGCCACTTTATATGTTGAAGTTTGTGTCATGTCATGACATAAGGTGCTTTCTCATTCTTCCTTTTTTTTGAGACAGAGTCTTGCTCTGTCGCCCAGGCTGGAGTGCAGTGGCATGATCTCATCACACTGCAAACTCCACCTCCTGGGTTCAAGCGATTCTCATGTCTCAGCCTCCTGAGTAGCTAATTTTTATATTTTTAGTAAAGACAGGGTTTCACCACATTGGCCAGGCTGGTCTCAAACTCCTGACCTCAAATGATCCACTTGCCTTGGCCTCCCAAAGTGCTGGGATTACAGGTGTGAGCCATCACACCTAGCCTATATATCTTTTTTTTTTTTTTTTTTGGAGACAGGGTCTTGCTCTGTCTCCCAGGCTGAGTACGGTGGCTCAATAACAGCTCATTGCAGCTTTGAACTCTTGTGCTCAAGGGATCCTTCTGACTCAGCCTCCCTAGTAGCTGGGACTGCAGGTGCACGACACTGTGCCTGGCTAATTTTTAAAAATTTTTGTAGAGACAGGGTCTCACTAGATTGCCCAGGCTAGTTTGAAACTCCTGGGCGCAAGTGATCCTTCCTCCTTAGCCTCCCAAAGTGCTGGGATTACAGGCGTGAACCACCGCATCCAGCCTTCTCTGAACCATTTTAAGTTAAATTGCAGATCTAGTGGCATGTCACCCCTGATAGTTAACCATGCATCTCCTAGAAATTAAAAAAAAAAACAAAAAAACAGAAAAAATGGCGACTGGACAGTTTTTAGTTTTGAGCGGGGGTAATTACCTGATTTGACTTACCTTTTTTTTTTTTTTTTTTTTTTTTTTGAGACAGAGTCTCATTCTGTTCACCCAGGCTGGAGTACAGTGGTGCAGTCTCGGCTCACTGCAACCTCTGCCTCCTGGGTTCAAGTGATTCTCCTGCTTCAGCTTCCTGAGTAGCTAGGATTACAGGTGTGTGCCACCACATCCAGCTAATTTTTGTATTTTAGTAGAGACGAGGTTTCACCATGTTGGCGAGGATGGTCTCGAACTCCTGACCTCAGGTGATCCGCCTGCCTTGGCCTCCCAAAATGCTGAGATTAAGGTGTGAGCCACCACGCCCAGCCTTGACTTACTTTTTAACAGCCTCCCTTGGGGTGCCAGCCTCCCTTGGGGTGCTGTGTAACGAATAGACTGAAAGGAGTTAGGAGAAGTCACATGGAAGAACCTGTTGATTAGTGACATGAGTTACAGCACAATTGATGGCAGCTAGAGGGGGTGAAGTCGAAAAGTCAATCAGGGCTGATGATGTGAAGGATCTGTACACTGGATTTAGAAGATGTATGTGCTTTTAATCCTATACATTAGGGTTTCACAAATATGATGAATTTTTGACATTTGTTATATGAGTACTCTATGTACTAATATTTACTCAGTATTTTTCTTTAAATTTATTTTAAATCACTAACTTAAAACAAATCTTAACTGCCATAAGAAAAAGCAACCATAAAATCATTCATTTGGTAGGTTTCAATTTTTCTAACGCCAGTAAAATAAAAAGAAATGGCTGGTGGCTCACTCCTGCAATTCTAGCACTTTGGGAGGCCAAGGCATGATCACCTGAGGTCAGGAGTTCGAGACCAGCCTAACCAACATGGTGAACCCCCATCTCTACTAAAAATACAAAAGTTAGCCAGGTGTGGTGGTGGGCGCCTGTAGTCCCAGCTACTCGGGAGGCTTAGGTATGAGAATCGCTTGAACCCAGGAGGTGGAGGTTGCAGTGAGCCAAGATTGTGCCACTGCACTCCAGCCTGGGCTACAAGAGTGAAATTCCATCTCAAAAAATAAAAAATAAAAATAAAAAGAACTATTATGTATCATGTAAAAATTATCATGTGTGCCAGCAGGGGTCCAGATGCTGTACTTTGGGAAAGACCACTCTAGGTAAAGGGAAATCACTGAAGATTTGAATGCATGAGACAAACATCATCTGAGCCAGGCATAGTGGCTCACACCTGTAACCCAGCACTTTGAGAGGCCGAGGCAGGTGGATTGCTTGAGGCCAGGAGTTCAAGACCAGCCTAGCCAACATGGCAAAACTCCATCTCTACTAAAAATACAAAAATTAGCTGGGCGTGGTGGCATGCGCCTGTAGTCCCAGGTACTCGGGAGGCTGAGGCACAAGAATCGATTGAACCAGAGAGGCAGAGGTTGCAGTGAGCTGAGATGGTGCCACTGTACTCCAGCCTGGGCAACAAAGCAAGACTCTGTCTCAAAAAAAAAAAAAAAAAAAAGAAAGAAAGAAAAACATGATCTGAATTTTGTTTTAGAACAATCTGTTTATAGTGTAAAAGAAGCACTGAAGGCTTAATTACTAAATGGAAAAATGAAGGCTTAACTACTAGTTGCCTACTATATCATAAGTGCTCAGAATATGAAGATAAATAAAATAGGTTGCTGCAACTAGCTGTTTACAATCTAGTAAAGGAGACAGACATGAGGAGAGATTTTTGCAGCACGAAATAGTAGATACTATGATTAGAAGTATATATAAGATATAATGGTGGCTAAAAGGTGGGCATGATCATCACTGTCTTGGGAACCAAGTCCAGGAAGGCTTCACAGAAAAAAAAATGCTTCAGCCAGGTTTCAGTGGAGGCATAAATACTGTGCATGGGGCCAGGTGCCATTGCTGATGCCTGTAATCCCAGTGCTTTGGGAAGCTGAGGCAGGAGGATCCCTTGAGGCCAGGAGTTTGAGACCAGCCTGGGGAACATAGCAAGATCCCCTCTCTACAAAAAATTGAAAAATTTGCCGAGTATGGTGGTGCACAGCTGTAATCCTAGCTACTTGCTAGGCTGAGGTGGGAGGATTGTTTGGGCCTGGGAGTTGGAGGCTGTAGTGAGCTATGATTGTGCCACTGCACTCCAGCCTGTGTGACAGAGCAGGATCCTGTCTCAATAATAATTATAATAATAATACTGTGCATGGAGATTGGATGTATCCAGTGAAGAGAAACAGTATAGACATATGTGCAACGCATAGATGTGTAAAATGATACAGCATTCATTCAACAAATATTAACACCTACTACGTACCAGGTCCTGTGCTAAACCCAAAGGAAAAAGAGGAAAAGATGCAGCCCCCACTCTGAATAAGCTCACAGTCAATTATAGTGAGAATCTTAATGTTGGATGCTAGGTGCTATTACAGATGTAAGTGTGGGCTGTTGAGGGAGTGCCCACTGGCTTAGCATACAATTCAGACTGAGGAGAAAATAAATGATCTCTCTAATGAATTTTGAAAATTCATAGTAGCAGGGAGTCTGTGCAAGCACAGAGAGGCATGAGGTTGTAGGACATGATTGGAGGAATGGCTGATGGTTTAGTAGTAGAGCTTGAGAAGTGTAGACCTGATCCTAAAAGGAAAGGAGCATTATAATTATTAAACCAAGAAGTAATAATATCAGATTTGCCTTTTAAAAGATAACCCTGGGCTGGGCGTGATGGCTCACGCCTGTAATCTCAGCACGTTGGGAGGCCGAGGTGGGTAGATCTCTTGATCTCAGGAGTTCGAGACTAGCCTGGGCAACATGGTAAAAACCCATCTCCACAAAAAATGCAAACACTAGCCGGGCATGGTGGCATGCACCTGAAGTCCCAGCCACTTGGGAGGCTGAGGCAGAATAATTGCTTGAACTCGGGAGGTGGAGGTTGTAGTGAGCCAAGATTGCGCCACTGCACTCCAGCCTGGACGACAGAGCCAGACCCTGTCTCAAAAAATAAATAAGTAAAAATAAAACATTAGGCCGGGCGCGGTGGCTCACGCCTGTAATCCCAGCACTCTGGGAGGCTGAGGTGGGCGGATCACGAGGTCAGGAGATCGAGACCATCCTGGCTAACATGGTGAAACCCCGCTTCTACTAAAAATACAAAAAGTTAGCCGGGCATGGTGGTGGGCGCCTGTAGTCCCAGCAGCTCGGGAGGCTGAGGCAGGAGAATGGCGTGAACCCGGGAGGCAGAGCTTGCAGTGAGCTGAGATTGTGCCACTGCACTCCAGCCTGGGTGACAGAGCAAGACTCCGTCTCAAAAAAAAAAAATAAATAAATAAATAAAATAAATAAATAAAATAAAAGATTACCCTGAAGTGTGTTTTGAAGGGATGTTAGCTGGATTGCAAAGAACAGTTAGAAGGCTAACAAAGTGATTTTATATGAGGAATGCTGGTTCCACTGGTTAATATTGTGCATGGGGCCAGTGTGGTGGCTCACGCATGTAATCCAAGCCCTAAAGCAGTGGAAGACAGAAGGCAAGAGGAGACTGACATGAGAGATTAAGGAGTTAGAACCGCAGAACTCAGTGGTATCTCATTATAGAAGCATGGCTCAAAATTGGGTAATTGTGGCTAAGAAATGAGTATCTGAATGAAGGAAGTGAATGTGGACTGTCCTGGACCGCATTTCTTCTGTAGAATGTAATTCTTCCTCAGACTCATCTTCTCCATTTTCGAGGTGACTGTTTTCCACCTGAACTGGGGACATTGCTTGAAATCCAAGTAGCAGTAAAAGCCTCAAGCAATATTGTAGTAGAAAACCCTGGTGATGGTCAAGTGTGGTGGCTCTCATCTGTAGCTCTCATCTTCCAGCACTTTGGAAGGCCAGAGCAGGAGGATCACTTGAGGCCAGGAGTTTGAGACCAGTCTGGGTAACATAGCAAGACCCCATTCCTACAAAAAAAATTTTTTTTAATTACCTGGGACTGGCCGGGTGCAGTGGCTCATGCCTGCAATCCCAGCACTTTGGGAGGCCGAGGCAGGCAGATCACAAGGTCAGGAGATCGAGACCATCCTGGTTAACACAGTGAAACCCCATCTCTACTAAAAATACAAAAAAAATTAGCCAGGCATGGCGGCAGGTGCCTGTAGTCCCAGCTACTCGGGAGGCTGAGTCAGGAGAATGGCGTGAACCCGGGAGGCAGAGCTTGCAGTGAGCCAAGATTGCGCCACTGCACTCCAGCCTGGGTGACAGAGCCAGACTCTGTCTCAAAAAAAAAAAAAAAAATTAGCCGGGAGTGGTGGCACATGCCCATAGTCCCAGCTACTTGGGAGGCTGAGGTAGGAGTATCACTTGAGCCCAGGAATTCGAGGCTGTTGTGAGCTATGATCTCACTACTGTACTCCAGCCTGGGCAACAGAGTGAGAGCCTGTGTCACAATCAATCAATCAGTCATTAGGCTGGGCTCTGTGACTCATGTCTGTAATCCCAGAACTTTGGGAGGCTGAGGCAGGCAGATCACCTGAGGTCAGGAGTTTGAGACCACCCTGGCCAACATGGTGGAACCCTGTCTCTACTAAAAATACAAAAATTAGCCGGGCGAGGTGGTGCGTGCCTATAATCCCAGCTACTCAGCAGGCTGAGGCAAGAGAATCATTGGAACCCGGGAGGCAGAAGTCACAGTGAGCCAAGATCACGCCACTGCACTCCAGCCTGGGCAATAGAGCGAGACTCTGTCTCAAATAAATAAATAAATAAATAAATAAATAAATAAATAAAATTAAAACCCTGGTGGCTAAAAGAGGACAGGAACAGAATCTGGAATAGAAAAGACCCAAAGCCCTGTATTTCCTGTTATAGCTTATTTGCTGATAGATGTCAGAGCAATGGAGGAATGGCAAGTGTGTTTTTAACCTATCTCTCTGAATTTTCTTTGTATTCTCAAAGAACACGAAGGCCCTAAAGCAATAGTTCTCAACCTTGTTGCACATTAGAATCACTTGGAGCCTGAAAAAGTCCTGATGCCCAGACCATACCCTAGACCAGTTAAATCAGAATGTCTGGGGCGTGAGATCCAGGCATATGTGTTTTTTTAAAATATAAAACAATACTTCATTTCCTTTATTACCTAGTTGTATCGTTAAAATAAGAACAAATACAGTGGAATGGAATACTTCATATGACTTCATGTGAAAAATACTTCATTATACAATAAACAACCCTCATGCATTTCAACATTGCCACCAGTAACACTAAAGACTCCCAGTTCTATTCATATGTGATCATCACTGCCCTACACCCCAACCCCAGCTCCTCCAAGCTTCAACAGGCATCAGTATTTTTCGTAGCCCCTGGCTTATTCCATCATGCAGCCAATGTGGGAATCTAGAGATTGACTTCCTTGGAAACAGAGGCTCTAGAGACTAATTCTTATTGGCTCAGCTATAGACACGTTGGCAGCCAGACACGTTGGCACACTAGTCTCATGGTACTATAAGCATTTTTTAGAGGTATAAACTCAAACAGCACACTCAAGTGTCATTTATCTTTGAGTGATAATTTAACAGTTGGCATTTGGTGGCCCCACATAGCTAATGCTAATCTGAAAGTGTCCAACTGAAGTCCACAGGTTAATTGCACACTTAGCAGGATATGGTGTGATGATCAGAGAATTCTTTGAGATTCACCAGTGTAAAGAATTTAGCAAAAATGTGGCTGGGCATGGTGGCTCTCGCCTGTCATTGGATCCCTTGAGTCCAGGAGTTCAAGGCCAGACTGGGCAACATGGTAAGACCCTGTCTCTACAAAAAATACACAAATTAGCCACATGTGGTGGTGCACACCTGTAGTTCCAGCTACTCAGGAGGCTGAGGCAAGAGAATTTCTTGAGAATTTCTTGAGCCCATCAACAGGTTTTGAATGTTCCAGTCTTTTTTTTTTTTTTTTTTTTTTTTTTTTTTGAGTCAGGGGTCTCATTCTGTCACCCAGGCTGGAGTGCAGTGGTGCGATCATGGCTCACTGCAGCCTCAACCTCCTGGGCGCAAGCCATCCTCCCCTCTCTGCCTCCTGAGTAGCTGGGACAACCATGCCCGGCTAATTTTTTTTACAAGACCACTGTTAAAAGCCCGGAAGAATCCTGCAGCTCGCTGTGGTGGGCTGTTTTGCGTGTGCTAGAGTCTATTCAGCATTTCAGACAGAAAAGCCTCAGCATTCCTCTTCTGTGGGTCTCCACCGTAGCTCCTTTGAAATCTCTGCTTTCTCACACTTTCCCATCTGAGTCTTTGTGCCATGGCCGTCCCCTCCTCTCCAATACGAAGAGCCCACACTCAGTTTCCCTCCCTCCTCCTCCATCCCACACTGCCCGAGCACCTCACCTCCCAATGACTGACTCGTCCCCGGTCTTGCACACACCTGGGGAGTGTAGCTGGCCTGTCCTGCACACCAGCCTTGCAGGCTCAGTGAGTAGACCATCCTTGTCTGCTCTTGCCGGGTGCAGCTGTGTGTAGTGGCCCAAGGGGGGGTCATCTGGGAGGGCACCAGGAAGCATAAGTGACATGCACCATGAGGAAGCGTAAGTGATGTCCACCACAAGAGGTGTGGGGAGCGGCAGCAGCGCGTTCATCCACTGTGCTTGACTTTGTTTATTTCCCCGATGACCTTTTCCCGGACTTCCTAGCTGGATCTCCGTGAGTGCCAGGGCTGGGTCTGGGAAGGGTTTGGGACCCAGCACATCACCTGGCACAGTCAGTGTTTGCTCAATATTTGCTGAGAGAAAACCCCAGCCATGTCACCGACTTACAATAGGAGCTTCTCGTACGGAGCAGAAATGTGTTGTTGCCTGTGGCTTTGCAGGAGCTCCGAGCAGTGGCGAGAGGAAGTCATGGGTGACCATGGTAGGCATTACCGCCTGATGGGGTTGCTGGCTGGTCCTGAGCTCATCACCGTCCATCTCCTGCATCCACAGTGATTTCTATTAAGTGCAGCTTTTCGTCAGGCAACCACCAACGGCACTGAGGGGTGGGATGATGGCAAATTGACCAAAACGCTCAGGGGGTGCTAGCCACGCGGCGGGTGCAGATGTGGACTCCCCAGCCCCACGAGCTTGGAGTGCCATTCAGCCCCGCTGCACCCCCGTCTGTCTCCAAGGCGGAGGAACTGGGGTGGGAGGAGGAGGCACAGAGCTGTCTGAACACAGCTAGAGCCACTCACTGGCCCCTGCAGGGGAGCAACGCAGTGGGGAAGCCTGGAGGGAGGGAAGGTGCAGTTGCAGTGGGTGGGCACGGGGGCTCAGCTACTGGCACAGAGAAACACAAGGGAACTACGAAAGAGCAGGAGGGAGGACGCGGGGGTGGGCGCAGGGCTGGAGGACCGGGTGGTCCACAAGGTGGTCAGGACCTCAGCTGGTGGCTGGGCTTGGGAGGGGCTGGCATGGAGTCACGGGCCACCATCCCCTAAGTGTTTCCATAGGCAAGGTTCTCATTCCCCTAGTCAGGGGAGGGGACGGGTACAGAGAAGCGCAGCAATGAGCCAGGAACAGAGCTGAGATGAAACCTCAGCCTCCCGTCTTCAGAATGAGAATTAATCCACAGAGGAGCTAAGGAAAATGCCGGGCACCGAGTTGACGGGTGAGGGGTGTGAGCCATGTGGCCGGCATGGCCGCCCCACCACCAGCTCCATCCTGAGCACTTCACAGACATGGCCCTCTTCATCCACACAACTGCCCCAGGAGCCACTGAATGAGGCTCGATGAAACCTCAACTCGCGTTGCAGCGCACGTCTGATCACACTCGCCTTTGATCACTTTTATCACTGGGGATCCTGCAGTCAGGGCTTTGTGTCTGCAGCGGTCCCTGGGAAACAATCTACAACTCGAAGCTCCACCAAACTCACTCAGAGTCACAAAATTTCTATCACTGACTGCTTTCCTCCAAGGCCCAAACTGGATTTATAAACTTCCAAAGAAAACTTCATATTGAAAAAGCGATGTACCCACAGCATTGTAGAACGATGTTCACAAAGGAAAAACAAGGCCGGGCGTGGTGGAGTGAGGCTCTAGTCCCAGCTACTTGGGAGGCTAAGGTGAGAGGGTGGTTTGAGCTCAGGAGAAGCTTGCAGTGAGCCCAGATGCACTTCAGCCTGGGCAACAGTGCTAGATCCTGTGTCAAAAATAATTTTTTTTTTTTTTTTGGTGGCTCACATCTGTAGATGCAGCTACTCAGGAGGCTGAGGTGGGAGGATCAATTGAGCTCCGGAGGTCGAGGCTGCAGTGGGCTGTGATTGCACCACTGCACTGTAGCCTGGGCGACAGAGCAAGATCCTGTCTCCAAAAAAAAAAAAAGGAAAAACTATTGTTTTTGCCATCGCCACCCAGTAAACATAGTTACTGATATTTTTACTTGCAGTGTAACTTTCTGGCCCCTTCCCATAATCACATGTATTTGGTAAGCTTTTGTTTTCAAAATAAGCCAATAACATTTAATAAGAAACAACAGTATATTTGTCTGTTTTCATGCTGCTGATAAAGCCATACCCGAGACTGGGTAATTTACAAAGAAAAAGAAGTTGAATGGACTCACAGTTCCATGTGGCTGGGGAGGCCTCCCAATCATGGCAGAAGGCGAAAGGCAGGTCTTGCATGGTGGCAGCCAAGAGAGAGAATGAGAACCAAGCAAAAGGGGTTACTCAGGAGCCTGTGGCAGGAGAATGGCGTGAACCCGGGAGGTGGAGCTTGCAGTGAGCGGAGATCGCGCCACTGCACTCCAGCCTGGGTGACAGAGCAAGACTCCGTCTCAAAAAAAAAAAAAACCCATCAGATTGGCTGGGTGCAGTGGCTCACGCCTATAATCCCAGCACTTTGGGAGGCTGAGGTGGGTGGATAGCTTGAGGTTGGGAGCTCGAGACCAGCCTGGCCCACATGGTGAAACCCCATTTTTACACTACACTACATTTTTAGTGTAGATCCCAAATATTTAGCGTAAGTATGGTTTGTGTAATATTTAGGATGCTCATATTTTAAAACGGTGATACTGGAATGCTTCTCCCCACCGTCATGAAGCTGGCACTTTCTTACCAGCTGGGACTTGGGTCCAACGGGGTCTTTTCTGACCATGTTGTGTAACGCTCACAACCTCCCTCAGTGGAGTCATCGCTGGCTTATCACCTGGTTTCATTTTCATCCAGCACTTATCGCTATCCAAAACCATCTTCTTTCTTATGTACATATTTGTTTATTTTTCTGTAAACTTGCATAGAGAAGTACCTATTTATTAATTAATGTTTACTAATTTTCTTATTCCACCAGAAGGCAAGCTCCATGGGAGCAGGGGTTTCCCTTTCTTGATTGATCCTTTCTCCCTACAAAAGACCACACAGCACACAGGGGTCACGGTGCACCTGGGAAGCATCTGGGAAGGTGGACGATTAGAAATGGGCTTTTGGGCTGGGCACGGTGGCTCACGCCTGTAATCCCAGCACTTTGGGAGGCCAAGGTGGGAGGATCACAAGGTCAGGAGATTGAGACCATCCTGGCTAACATGGTGAAACCCTGTCTTTACTAAAAATACAAAAAAAAAATTAGCCGTGCATGGTGGCAGGCGCCTGTAGTCCCAGCTACTCCGGAGGCTGAGGCAGGAGAATGGTGTGAACCCGGAAGGCGGAGCTTGCAATGAGCCAAGATCGCGCCACTGCACTCCAGCCTGGGCGACAGAGCAAGACTCTGTTTCAAAAAAAAAAGAAAAGAAAAGAAAAGAAAAAAGAAATGGGCTTTTGGATCCAAATGATAACAACAGTGACTCCACCGCCTGACATTTTGTCTAACATGATCCCACCCCTGGTCACAATTGATTGGACAGGGATGGGCACTCAAACCATGCTGGACCAATCAGAGCCCCTTCCTCAGTCCCGCTCCTAATTAGTGCAGGGCTGGGCCAATCAGAGTCACTGCTCTGGGAATTTAGAATCTGAAGTGAGCAAGAACAGGAACAGTGGCTCCCCAGTGGCTGAATCTCTAACAGGTAAACTTTGAAAGCTGTTTGGTACATTTTCATTTTTCAGTCTTGAGGACCAGAAAGCAGAGAAAACATCTGTAGAGAGCGAGGCGACACTGACTTCTACCTAACTTCCCCAAAAATATTCACACCCAGGCCTGAGGGAAGAAACAGGAGCTACATACAGAATGGAGATGGAAACACACATGTGTTCACACACGCACACACAACACACGTGCACACACATGTGCACAATGCACATGAGCACACATGCACATACGTATACACACATGCTCATGCAGTGCACACACGCATACCCGCACACGAACACACACGAACACATGCACACACGGGCACACACACATGAACACACATGCACAATGTATACACAGTGCATATGTGCACACATGCACATGAACACACACATGCACACACACGCACATGAACACACACACATGCACACACACGTGCACACACATGTAGTCGTTTTAGGAACTAGACTGCCAGTTTATGAATTTGCAATGATAAATCACTTTCCCGGGATATAAGCGTGATGGTCACATCCTTTCCTCTCAGTCCAGGGGTCGTCCTTGAACTGCACAGCCACAGTGCCAGTCCCAACAGTGCCAAGATTCCCCTCCAAGGAATTCACTCTTCCCGTCTCTCATCTTGAAGCTGCCGATTTGTGCCCCACTAGAGGAGCCAAGACGTCCCTAGAACCTCCTCCTCTCATGCGGACAGCCTGGCAGGCACCCCCCAACTCCGGGCTCTCAGGCCTCGTTTGGATTTATTTTGAAGGAAGCTATTGTTTACTAAATGCTTAATTCTCCCGGAATGGTGCCAAGCGCTTCATACAGCCCTGCCCAATGAGCTGGGCCCTCCCGCACCTTTAGGGAATGAGCTGAGCTATCTGCGGGGGTACTCGAGGTGGGACAGGCACAGTGTGGCAGCGCGTGGATCTGGCTGCTGTTTTCCTTTGTGACTGGCACCTCTCCTCTCCCCCTTCCCTCCTCCCCACCGCTTTGCTCCCCCAGCCTTTCTTCCTTGGCCTTCAAGGCCATACACACTCCCTGGAAAGAGCCCTTGCTGCCACCTCTGTTACTCATCGTCCTTGGCCCGTGCTTGCTCCAAGTGCTGGCACCCCCAGCTCCTAGGAAAACTGCTGGCAGTGTCCCCACCAACGGAAATTTCCTTGGCCTCTCTGTTTGTTTCGCTTTGTTTCTGGCCCTGCCACGGTGTGGCCCAGGCCTCGGGAGCCTGTCTGTGTGCAGTTCTCTGCACCTTGTCCGCTCCCTTCCCTTCGTCTTATGGGCACTGCCCCTCCTTCCATCCAGGGTTTGCTGTGTTTTCATCTCATTCTCTGTTTCTCTCTGAAAACCTTTCTCTAGCCCTACCTGTCCTTCATCTGAGGTTCTCATTCCCTCCATCCCCAGCAGCTCCAGATTCCCAATCTGGGTGAACAAAGAGGACAGAAAATCTGTGAAGGAGAGGACCGAGAACCTGGAAAAATCAGCTGCAGAGACGGGGAGGGGACCGGGAGCAAGTGAAGCTGAGTAGGAGAGAAATAAAAAGGAAACTGGGTTTTGGAGAAAATGACAAATAAAGTGAAACCAGATTGGCCCACGTGGATGGGAGCCAAGGGAGGGATGACCCAGCTCATTTCCATGGCCCGGGAGAGACACCGGATCCTTCTTTCGGTCTGTGGCAGGGAGGGCCTAGATCCTTTGAGCAGATGTGAAGCCGGTGGGGAAGCCAAAAGTGGGGTTGGGACAAGGTCAGAGGCTGACACTGGGAGACAGAGACAGCAGCAGTGGCCTTGGACCTGAGAGCAACCGAGTCAGGGAGGGGCCGAGGTCAGCTCGGGGTCCATGGCCAGGACGCACGTCCAGTGAGGAGGGCGCCCCATCCTCACTCTGGGAACAGCGTCCTCGGCTGTCCTGCGGGAGTGCTGCCTCCCACTCTCCAAGCACACCTTGCTCCAGGCGGGGTCACCCTCGGGCTGGCCAGATGAGCAGCCAAAGCCGGGCCCCTGAGAATCAGCCCTGGGATGGTGGCTGGAACTGCCGGGAAAGAGGTGACGTCGCTCCACTGGAGGCCAAGCCACAGCCTCGGGTGGCCACCATTGCCCCATCAGGGAACCCCCATGAGTGTCCCCTGGGGAAAGCAGAGCCTGGGGGAGCACTCAGAGCCCTGGCAGTCGACAACCCCTGCACCCGGTTGCAGCCCTGACTCTTTAGGATCGGAGCTGGCAAATCTCCCTCTTCTTTGCTTAAGCCAGTTTGAGGTGGGGTTCTGCCAGGTAAACCAAAAAGAAGTCTTAAGAAGCCTTACTGGAATTCCTCACTTGGAGAGCAGCAGTGAGATCCCAGGCTGCAGGGACAAGAGGGAGGAAGGCAGGGGGCAGTGACGGGTGGGAGATGGTGCATGCTGGCTCTGGAGCTGACTGTGCAAATCTCTTCCCAACTCCACTATTGGTGACTGCACCTTCAAAACTTGAACTCGGCCATGCAGGGGTAATTGCACCATGGAAAGTGGCGAACACCACACATCACCGCTCTTGTACCTCCACCCAGCCCCGGAAAGCCAGCTGCTAGGCCTGTACCAGCATTCCCCACCCATGGACTCAGGAGGGCCAGGCTTACCTGGGACCACTTCTGAAAGTTGCACCAGCCCCAGCTTCCCTGAGGACAAGGCTGAGTCACGAAGCATGGACGAGGCTGAGCTGCAGTCTGCACAGGTGGAGTTAAACAGGCCATAGCCAACTCGCCCCTCACCCAGGGTCTGCACAGACCTCACCTGCAGCCAAATTACATTTGAGCACACAGTAAAAGGATGGAAACTGATGATCCTCCTGCTCCCTCCCTTCCATTTCTTTGCTCTCAGTTTAGTCACTGTTTTTTGTTTGTTTGTTTGATTGTTTGTTTGTTTTTGAGACAATGTCTTCTTGCTCTGTCACCCAGGCTGGAGGGCAGTGGTGCAATCTCAGCTCACTGCAACCTCCGCCTCCTGGGTTCAAGCAATTCTCCTGCCTCAGCCTCCTGAGTAGCTGGGACTACAGGCACGCACCACCACACTTGGCTAATTTTTCTATTTTTAGTAGAGACGGGGTTTCACCATGTTGGCCAGGCTGGTCTGGAACTCCTGACCTCAGGTGATCCACCTGCCTCTGCCTCCCAAAGCACTGGGATTACAGGCATGAGCTACTGCACCTGGCCAATTTAGTCACTTATTTTATTTTATTTTATTTTATTTTTTTTGAAACTAAGTCTCACTTTGTTGCCCAGGCTGGAGTGCAGTGGCGTGATCTCGACTCACAACTTCTGCCTCCCAGGTTCAAGCAATTCTTCTGCCTCAGCCTCCCCAGTAGCTGGGATTACAGGTGCTTGCCACCACGCCCAGCTAATTTTTGTATTTTTACTTTTTTTTTTAGACCAGGTTTCACTCTTGTCACCCAGGCTGGAGTGCAATGGCACGATCTCGGCTCACCGCAACCTCCACCTACCAGGTTCAAGCGATTTTCCTGCCTCAGCCTTCCAAGTAGTTAGGATTACAGGCATGCACCACCACGCCTGGCTACTTTTGTATTTTTTGTAGAGATGGGGTTTCTCCATGTTGGTCAGGCTGGTCTCGAAATCCTGACCTCAGGTGATCTGCCCGCCTCAGCCTCCCAAAGTGCTGGGACTACAGGCGTGAGCCACTGCACCCGGCCAATTTTTGTATTTTTTAGTAGAGATGGGCTTTCACCATATTGGCCAGTCTGGTCTTGAACTCCTGACCTCAAGCAATCCACCTGCCTCGGCCTCCCAAAGTGTTGGGATTACAGGCATGAGCCACTGCACCTGGCCACTTTTATTTGCTTGTATCAGGACTCTTGGAAGCAAGTGATAGGAACTTAAATCAAACTGATTTTAAAAAGAGGCTTATTAGTACAGGGGTTGACTTGGCTTCAGGTACAGCTACATTCAGAGGCCCCGAAATTGGCTTGGGCCTTGATATCCCCCACCTTGGCTTTGCCCTCCTGTGTGGACACTTTCTCAGGAGGGCCCTCACCTGCTGCGGGGCACAGCTATGGAAATAATCTCTTTAAATACGTCCCAGAAAAAAACTCCTTGGCTCTCATTGGCTGGTCTTGAGTCACGTGCCCATGCCTGTACCAATTGCTGCAGCCAGTGACAGGGCTGTTCTGAGTGGCCATGCCCAGGTCCCCACCCACTCCTGTCTCTGGACCCCGTGAATGGGAGTCGGGGATGGGCTCCCAAGGAAAACAGGAATGTTGGACCCAGGACGCAGGAGGATGGAAGCCGAGCCAGCAACACAGCAGATACCCTTACAAAGCCACGGACTGGCGGGATCAGCGGCACCTGGGAGCCTGCTGGCATGAGATTCTTGGATCTGCCTTGCACCTGCCAAGTCAGAATGTCTAGAGGGAGCACAGGTTGTGTTGTGTGTATGTTATTGTTATTATTATTATTTTTTTTGAGAGACAGGATCTCACTGTGTTGCCCAGGCTGGAGTTAAGTGGCACAATCCCAGGTTACTGCAGCCTCAATCTCTTGGGCTTAAGCAAGCCTCCTGCCTCAGCCTCCCGAGTAGCTGGGACCACAGGCATGCACCACCACGTCCAGCTAACTTTTTTATTTTTATTTTTGTAGAGATGCATTCTCGTTACCCTCCCGCCTTGGCCTATCACAGTGCTGGGGTTACAGGTGTGAGCCGCCGGGCCGACAGGAGTCTGTGCTCCAACACACTCTCCAGGGGATGTTGGTGCACACTGGTGTGTGAGAACTGTTTGTCAGCCCCCCACTAAAATTAGCATTTTATTCACTGATGTGAATAATATCCTCGCCAGGACCAGGTGTAGTGGGGAAGGGGAGGTTCCAGGGAAAGTTGCGAGGCTGTTCCTGAGGAGGGTGTGCCACACAGACAGGCACGCAGGTTGAGATTCTTGACCAAAAGCAGCCTTTGACTAGTGATCCTGGGGGATAATTACCATCTGCAGTTGTCTTGTTTTCTAGCCTAAAACCTGAGCCTGGGTTCCCTTGGGGATACAAAAAACATCTAGATTCCAAGGCACACCTGCTGCCACGAGCTGAACAAAAAATAACAAGTGTGCCCTTAAAGCACTGCAGGGATGTTCCTGCTCCACCGCCAACAGGGCTGAGGCGTGGGCTTGTTCTTGCCCTGGGGGGTGAGGGACGGGCCTCCCGTGCAGACCTCAAGGCCCAGTGGACACAGCCTCTGCTGGGCTTGAGCCAGAGGCCCATCTGGGCCCTGGGCCGGCTGCCGGCTCTCCTGGGGACTGACTGTGACCTTGGCCTCACTCACCCAGAGTGCTGGTGCTTCCTCTCTGCATGGGGGTCAGCTCCTGGTGGCCTCCTGCTGGATTTTGTGGATGTTCGATGCAGATTATTTCTCTAAAGGGTGCCTACTCCCCAGATTCCCTTCTTTGCAGAGCACAGAGTCCCACTGGGAGGCCTCTGTGGCCTCTGGCCAAGGAGTTCCCCAAGCCTCCTTTTTCCCCATCTGTAAAATGGGGACTGGTCTGTGTCTCCCACGACTGTTGAAAGGAAGACTGCAGTGGTGCAAGTGAAGCCCTTGGTGAGGAGAAGTGAGTTGGTGAAGGGCTAGAATCTGCAGTCGAACGGAAGCCGGCTCCTTGCACTGGGTCACTCACCCTTGGAAGTCGCCCCTTCTCTGAGCCTCCATTTCTTGCTACATAAAACGAGGGTCCCGCAATACTCTCTCTAGTGGCTTCTGTTTTGTGCCATGCTGCTATTCATAGATGGCAGTGCTTTTTTTTGTTTGTTTGTTTTCCATGATGGAGTCTCGCTCTGTCACCCAAGCTGGAGTGCAGTGGCTCAATCTCTGCTCACTGCAAACTCCACCTCCCAAGTTCAAGCGATTCTCCTGCCTCAGACCCCCGAGGAACTGGAACCACAGGTGTGGGCCACCAACCCAGCTAATTTTTGTATTTTTAGTAGAGACGGGATTTCACCATGTTGGCCAGGCTGGTCTTGAACTTCTGACCTCAGGTGATCCACCCACCTTGGCTTCCCAAAGTGCTGGGATTATAAGCATGAGCCAGCTCATGCCAGGGTGGGCGAGCTGGCTTGAGGTGAGCCGAGATCACACCACCGCACTCCAGCCTGGGCGACAGAGCGAGACTCCGTCTCAAAAAGAAAAAAAAATCCACCTCCTCCAGCATCAATGTTTAAAAGTACCTACCTCTTCAGCACACAGGGATCAAAGGGGACGAAGGTGTCCAGTGGGTTTGTGCAGGTCTGCACTGAGTCTCCTCCAGTGGTACTCCTAATGACTGGCAGCATCTGGCGATTGTTCCTCTCGATGATGGTGTAGCAGAAGACGAGCTGGTACTTACTGTGGAACAAAAAAACAACACAGACAGAGGCATTAACATGCTGGAGTGACTCTGCGGATGTGAGCTGCATGTGACAACTGTACCTACCACAGAGAAATTGCTGAATATAACAAGTGCTGGTAAAAATAACAATATAAAGCAGAAAGTAACACTTTTAGGGTACCGTTCTATGGGTCTTCTATCTGCAAGTTTGCTAAGGAGAAAGAAAACGTGGCTATCACTCAGAATGTGAAACTGGGCTTATATTTTAATGAGTAATAGATATTATTCATTAAAAATAAATGTTTGCAAGGCAAAACTCTTAGATTACATAACTACAGGTGTCTTTATTTTTACTGTTTGCAAAAGAATTAGAAGGTTGGTGGAAAAGGGATTCAGGAGTTACTCAGGAGGAAATAGTGGTTGGTGAAGAGACTTGCTGAAGAAGCACTGAAGAAGAAATAAGCCTTTACTGAAGGAGGGACATGGGGTTGACTAAGTCATGACCTCAAAAACAGGCACAGAAAGGACTAGGCATGCCGAGTGAGAACAGTTAAATGCATAGAAGAAAACATAAAATAAAGACAATTATGTTTTTAATTTTTCCAGTAGTTGTCTCTAAATGATTGAGCAACTTGAAAAATTATTTATTGGACAGCTTCTCCAAGATGAGGACTTAGATCTCACTTCTGTCACTCTCCATCTCAGGTTCTCCGGTCACCATGGCAACTTCAAGCCACATACTTTGATTTCTGTCCTGTTAGCCAAGGCTCACGGCACTTGACCCCTCCTCCTGGTGGAGGACACATCAGCAAAACCACACTGGAGGGTGGTTTGCACTATCAGGTAAAGTTGAAGATCTACATCTCCTACAACCCCGCAGCTGACCGCACTTCCGGGTGTGTGACAAGGAAGCGTGTGCCCACACACAAGAATGTTCCTGAGCACTAAAACACTAACACAGCCGGCTGGGCACGGTGGCTCACACCTGTAATCCCAGCACTTTGGGAGGTTGAGGCAGGTGGTTCACTTGAGCTCAGGAGTTTGAGACCAGCCTGGTCAACATGATGAAACCCCGTCTCTACTAAAAATACAAAAATTAGCTGGGTGTGGTGGCAGGCGCCTGTAGTCCCAGCTATTCGGGAGGCTGAGGCAGGAGAACTGCATGAGCCTGGGAGGTGGTGGTTGTAGTGAGCTAAGATCACGCCACTGCCCTCCAGCCTGGGTGACAGAGCAAGACCTTGTCTCAAAAAAAAAAAAAAAAAAAGACAAAAACTAACAGATGAAATCCCAACAAAGACTCAATAAAAAAGATTCCCAGAACATAACACAGCAGTTAAAATCAATATAAAGCTTTGTGTCAATATGGTTCAATCTCAAAAGCATCAAGCAGGCAAAAGCAACAGCTACAGAATGGTACACGCCTTTATTTACCATATCTGTACCTAGGCAGAGACTTTTATTTCAATCCCCTGCTCTTAGCCTCACATCGCATCACACTCTGTCCCTCCAATGCGCATGCCAACCCCAAATCGAGAGCCCCTGGACCAGATGGTTCACAAATGCAGTCCTCTGTCCCCACCCTGAGAACATACCAGGGGCAGCGGCCTCTGCTTTGCTTCATCCATCCTCACTCTTTGAGCTGCTCACCATCTTAACCAACGTGCTGAAGCCTCCACCCACTCACCGCCGTTGCTTATTGGTCTCTTTATGCCTTTTCCTAATCCTTTACTATCACTGAGACTCAGAAGAGAGGACACCTTGAACCAGACGCCTAGCAAAGGAGAACTAAAGAGGCTGACAGAGCTCAGCAAGCTGCTGGCTCTTATCTGTTGAAGATTTTAAGCTATGATCTGGCCTAAATATCCTCATTGAATATTCAATTCTCCAATTCGCTTTCTCCATAAAGCAGAATAACTTAGTGAAAGCTTACAAAGGAGCCAGACTACATTTAAATCTGTGCTGCCAGTCTAGCTCTATGACTTTAGGCAAGTGATTTCACCTCTCTGTACCTCCACCTCCCTGTTGATAAACAGGGTTTCATCCTAGAGGGTTGTTTGAGGATCAAATGAGTTCTATGTAAAGTGCTTAGAACTGCCTGGCACAGAGGAAAGGCTATGGATTAGCCATAGCTACCAGACCTGAGAGAACAGAACTCTCTAAACCAATCTCTTACAGGTCAACATTTGCCTCATGTCCAGTTTATTTCTATTACTATTACAGGAGTCACTCTAATAAGCATCTATGGCTTTGCCCCTCTCAGCTTACTGGTTGCCATACTTATTTCAAAGTGCTGCCCTTTGGATAAGAAGTAGTAGTAATTTCCAATGCCATCAAAGTATAAAAACAATAGCTGTATCACAGTATTTCCTGTAAGGACTGGGTTGTTTTTGTTTGTCTAAGAGACAGGGTCTCATTCTGGAGCCCAGACTGGAATGCAGTGGTACAATCAGGGCTCACTGCATCCTTGACCTCCTGGGCTCAAGTGATCCTCCTACCTCAGCCTCCTGAGTAGTTGGGACTACAGGCACAGGCAACCACACCCAGCTAATTTTTAAAATTTTTTTATAGAGATAGGGTCTCACTATGTTGCTCAAGCTGGTCTTTTAACTCCTGGCCTCAAGCAATCCTCCCACCTCAGCCTCCCAAAATGTTGAGATTACAGGTGTCAGCCACCACGCCTGGCCTTTTATAATGTTACTAATTTCATAGAAATTTAACAGACTCTTACAATACTAGATAAACATAAATAAAAATATTTTAAATAACTCCCATCAAGAAAGCGTAAATAACTTACTTTGTGATTGCAGCAAAAAAGTTAACCACTGAGGGCAGGCAAATCTTCAGGGGATTTAGCTGGCTCATCACTATCCGCTCAAAATTCAGACTCTGAAGATACTGCAAACCTTTGGTTTAAAAAAAAAAAAGATTTTTTAAAGGTACAAATAAGTGAAAAGTGTAAGATATCTTTAAAAGCACAAATTATCACACATTTAAAAAAAACTTAAAAAAATTATTTGCAGAAATGCTTTCAATAAAGGTCCATGCAGATAGTCACACAGTATATGGCCCAGAAGAGTATCACTAGGCTAACCACATTCATTGGTCACCAAGGCAGCTTCTCTAAAGGAAACTTAGGAAGTAGCAGGCTGTAAGATTCCACGACAACGTGAAGTTCATACGTTTGTAAGCTCAGTGTATGCTGAGCTAATACAGAGGGAGAAAAAGACCTTGTGATTTGGTTTCAGCTAACAATCACGACAGGCAACAAAACAAAACAGCAATTTGATTCTAGCTTGCATGTCTCGTTAGTGAAGCTGAGTGCTGTTTTCAGGTGCACAGTAGTCATCTGTAGTTTTTTTTCTAAACAAGAAAACTCCAAATTTGCCTTCTACCTCAACGGACGGCAAATTTAGACAGAAGCCACTTTCTTAGACTTAATAAATACAATTCTTTCCTACATGAGTAAAATAAAGACATCACATTTATTTTAAGAGGCAAGCTGACCAACTTGTACTTAAGTATATTTTCTTAGGAGTTTCTTTGATGCATATTTCAATAAAAATTACCTAAATGGGATGTCACTGCTTACAAAAACAAGATATTTAATTCAGATTCCTGGCATTAATTTATACAAAGAAAAGCAGAGCTTGTATTTACTTACCTTGTGATAAAACCTCATCCTACTAGTTCATACAACATCTTTTAGAAGCATGTAGGATGTAGGTAAACATATATAATGCAACACGTACAACTGTCAGTTTAGAGCTGTGGCTGTTAACCTAAGGAGACTGCAACCCCCACAGAGGACACCTGGCAGTGTCTGGAGACACTTTTAGTTGTCACAGCTGGGGGTGGTCAGGGACTGCTGTTGGCAGCTAGTAGGTGGAGGCTGTTAAACATCCTACAGTGCAGAGGACAGCCCCCGACGATGAAGGATGATGCAGCCCAAATGGCAATCATGCAGGGTTGACAGACCCTGGTTTAGAGGAAGTGACCCACAAAACCATATGAATTATTCATAAACATAAACAGAACAATTTACAATGACTTATAAACACTGTTCTTGGAGACTCTCTTCAACTAAAATACGCTAATCTAGTAAGTTTCAACTGATAGATTTGAATTATAAGTAACTCTTAGAAATTAGCAAAACAATACTGGTCAATTAAGTCTCAAGGCTTCAGGCAGAGTGTAATCTATATAAACTCAAACTTTAGGGTCAGCTGAACCTGGCTTCAGTTTTCTAATCCTGCCAGTAACCATGTGATCTTGGGAAAATGACTTCCCCGTGCTTTGGTGCTGTCTGTAAAGGGAGAATACCTGCCATTTACTGGGCTGTTACAAGGACAACAAAGAGAAGGTGCATCCAACTGAAGCTTTGTACAGGGCGCTGGCACAGCCCAGGGCTCAGCCTCACCTCTGGAGACATCTTCACATTTCAAACCTTCAAAGGCAGAAACCTCTTTCTTAACCTCAAATCCATCTTAAGGGGTTTGTAGGGTTCTCAAGCTCAAATCTATCTTAAGGGGTTTGTAGGGGCCTATGAGCTGCTTGAAATTATTATTAGAAGTTTGAGTGTACATGCAGTTTTCTGAATCCAGTTTTTATAAAAATCTCAAAAAAGTAATGAATCACCATTCTGAAGGGTGACAAGAACACAAGGAAAATCCAGTCCAGCACTCCCACAACACTGACCTTCTTTCAGGTTTCCGCTCAAAAGCTGCTTGTGTCTAAAAACAAAGGTGTAGAACACAGCTTGGCAGGCTGAGTAAAATGGTCCATGGAGAGCAACATTGCAGAATGCCTTTGTTCCCGAATCCTGGTTATTAAGGTATATGTGCAGCCAGTTAACCAAAAGATCTAGGCATGGTTTTACAGTACTAGAGAAAAGAAAAATTCAAGTCAACTTTACACTTCATAAAAAAACCAGAATAACATAAAAACACACAACTGCCTTTCATTACAAACCATGCTAAGTAAGTTCATAGGTTTCTTTAAATAATACCCATGGGTACAGAGGAAAAGCAAAGAAAGGAAGGATAAGGATGGGTGCGTAGGAAGACAACCTTCCAATTACAAGGCAGAGTAGCTCTGACCTTCTAGGAACAGGTGAGCCCCTAAGAACGTCCCAAGGGATGGAAAGCAGGTTCTCCTAACCATCTCAAAGGCACCCCTCTTAGGGTGATTGGCCAAATAGGACATGTTCACCAACACGTCTCAAGAGAAAGACAGTCTGGTGGACTTCAGTATTCCCTGATGCATCCAGTCAAGTCCTATGGTGAATAATTTTGTTCTTGGGGAAGGGATTCAACAGCATCCTTGTCCAAAGATATCTTCATGGGCCACTGAAAGAAACTGGCCTCCTAGATAGGTCTATTACCTTTAAAAGGGTTTTTCTTCAGCTTTAACAGATACAATAGATTTGGAATGCAAATGAAAAAATGACAAACCTACAAAAAGAATCAAAACAGTATACAACACTGTCCTCTATCCACAAAACAAATGGATCTTTAAGTGCAACCACACAAAAGAGATGACAAAAGCCTTACATACAGGGTTTTATATATAAAAAAGGAGACACTTTATTCTAAAATCACCACTTAGAAATATAAACATCTTACACAGAGTAGGAATTTTATTCACTTTAAAAACATGCCAAAAACATATGGGAGATATTTCTGACTTGAGACAATGCTATACTCTTTTTAAAGCATGATATTAAAAAGTACTCGGAAAATTAGGCTACTTACATAAGAGGAATAAATTTAGCTCTTGCCAAAAAGCTTCCAATATAATTTCCAGCAGCCTGCCTGATGATGGCAGGATTACTTGGATCCTGCAATTTTTTCCAAAGATGTTCCAAAAATGCCTCTGCGAATCCCTATAAAAAGAGAGGGCGTCGGTGTGATATTTTTTAATGCCTAAGATAATCTGACTATCAAAATCCCAAGATTTTTACTTCACCAATGTAGGGAAAAGTTCTACTATCTCATAACTATCTCATGCGCTTCATTTTTAAAACACGTTGAGAGAATATCATTAGAAACAAAAGGCACCTCGGGTGTTAAATAATCCAATGGATCCCAAACCTAGCTAAGCATCAAAATCAACCCAGGGCCAGGCACAGTGGCTCACGCCTGTAAATGTAATCCCAGCACTTTGGGAGGCCGAGGCGGGTGGATCACCCAAGGTCAGGAGCTCGAGACCAGACTGGCCAACATGGAGAAACCCTCTCTCTACTAAAAATACAAAAATTAGCCAGGCGTGGTGGCAGGTGCCTGTAATCCCAGCTACTTGGGAGGTTGAGGCAGGAGAATCGCTTGAACCCAGGAGGCAGAGGTTGCAGTGAGCTGAGATCATGCCACTACACTCCAGCCTGGGTGACAGAGTGAGACTCCATCTCAAAAAACAAACAAACAAAAAACAACAAAAAATTCAACCTGGGAGGTACAAATTCAATAGGTTTGTGACAGGGCTTTGGAATCCACATATTATAAAAACTCTTCAAGTGATTCCAATGTCAGCCAGAACTGGTGACCAACAATAATTCACATCCCATGGAGCTCCACATGGGCACTCCTGTGAGTGCAAAGCACCTTCCGGTCTCTGGACACACTGAACTCAACCATGAACAGAAATACGGACTAACGTACAGCTGGTATTTGAGTTAATTATGCCAATCATGGAAAAAAACAGACACAGCTTCTCACCAAAGGGTGTAACTTCCAACTTCTCCTAAATAGCGCTGTTCTAAAGCTAGGCACGCCCATGTGGGCAGACTGAATTCAACCTTCTTTCCCATGACCAACACTCTCCTGACCTCTAGGAAGCCACAAAATCGTTGCAGAGAAGGAAAAGCCTTCTATATTGTTTCCCCCACCAAAAAAAAAAAAAAAAAAGAAGAAGAAGAAGAAGAAGAAAAGACAAAGCCTAAAGTTTTTAAAATCCCGGTGCTTTCCGGGAAGCGTTCGGGAGAAAAGTGTGTGGCCGCACTAGTGGAGATCCCCGCCGACAGGACCCGCCTCTCTCCCCAGGCCCGGCGGGGCCGACCCCGCTTCTCGCTCCCAGCATACCGTGCGATAGCGGCGGCGCGGCCAGCGGAGCCGGGAGGCGGGTTAGCAGTGGCCTTGTGAGCGTGAGGAGCTGCCGCCACCGCCTGCTCCTCGTCGTCCTCGTCCTCCGCGGCCCCGGCGACGTGGGCCGCGCACGGCCCTGGAAGAGACGTCGCCTCCCCTTCATCCACCTCTCTCTCACCGCGCCGCTCCCGCCTCCTCGTCCTGTGCTGCGGGCTCAGGCGGAACCCGGAACGGTCGTCCTCTTCCCCCGCCCGCCGCCGCCTCCTCCTTCTCCTCCTTCTCGGCTTCCTCCTCAGCCCCGGGCCGGAGCGGGGTGTTGGCGGCGGCCGGTTCGGGCGGCGACTCGCGCTTCTCTGGGCGGCGGCGCTTGGCCATGTCGTGTCGGGGAAGGTAATGAGCCGCAGAGCCCCGGGGTCTCGGCTGAGCGGCGGCGGCGGCACCAACGGCACCAACTATTCGCGGAGCTGGAATGACTGGCAACCCAGGTGGGTGACCGGCCCGGGACCCCGCCCCGACCTCCCGGGCTCCGCCTCGGGCGGGCCGAGGCCTAGGCCCTCCACCCCCGGGAGCCGGGCGCAGCTTCCTGGGTCTCCTCCGCCCCGGCTGGGGGAGGAAGGCCGCGGGGAGGCGAGGCCTAAGTGCCTCTCCCCTCCCTGCTTGTTCAGCCCGGGGCTGAAGCCGAGACCCGGGGCTCCCGGCGGTGGCACTGGCCTAGGGTCGGGACCAGGAGGTGAGAAAGAGGCGGGGGTGGGGGGGCGGGGGGCATTCCACTTACCGCTTCCCCCTGACCCCGAGTTGGGAGATCCTGAGAGTCCAGGACCCTCCCTGTTACTCATTCACTTTCTCGGTTCCCCAGTCTTTCAGCCGCCACGTGAGAGCTCTTCTAACCTCTGTTCCTTTCTGTGACCCCCACGTGGTAATATTGAAAAAACCAAAACAAAACTCCAGCTAAGGCATTGCTCTGACTTTAGGCAGAACATTCATTAGTGGAGCGTGAGATGAGATTGTGTGACTGTTGATGGGATCGACCTACTCTGGTCTTGGGCGATGGAAGTTTTCCCTAAGTGCAAGGCCGGTTACTCTGGTGAATCGTAATTCATACCTGGACACTTGAGTGAACTCTGGGCACCCACTTAGAAGTCTAGAGAATTTCCTCTTTTATGGAGGATTTGATGTCAGACCGTTTTGGGGCTTAGTTAGATTTGAATATATTAGGAACATTAACTTTTTAAATAAATGTAATTTCCTGTCTTTTTGATCAATGGGGGGAGGGCAGCTGTGCCTAATTTAGGATTGATTTATTCTAACCTCTCTTACTAAATAAATGCTTGTATTCAGAGTCTGTTTGGAATTTAACCCAATGCTTAGAACTCCTTAAATATACAGAAATATATTTTAGGGGTAATTGATTCATGGAACTCTCCTACTTTGGAGCACAATTGTATTATAATTGTCCGGAAACTGGCCAGATAATGTAGAACGCACAAGTTGTTGAGAAGCCCTTTTGTTTCCTGATAGTTACATGTAATTCCAGCAGTATTTGGAAATAATTTGCTAAGATGTTAGAATGTAACATTTGAAGACTTGTTAGAAAAATCAATAAAATTATCTTTGGCTAATGGGTAGTACACATCTTAGTCTGTTTAATATGCCTTTCCAAAAAAAACTGTGTCTGTTGAGAATTGGTGTATATAACTACATGACTTTAATAATTAGTGCCTGAGTCTAGAATTGAGATGTTTAGTCGTAAAAAAAAATATTGTTCGATAAACAGCGTTGACTTGTCTTGTACCACTTAAGAGTTTGTGAGTGCTTTAAATAAAATTAGTTGATTAAGTATTTTTTTCCTATGATTGACATGCTTAGTTTTGCCTTTTTATTGAAATGTGTAAAATTTGGTTTTCTGGCATCTTAACAAATTAGGTGGTAAATGAATGACAATGGATTTTCTATTATTTTTCAGTATTGTGATCAGTATAAGTATATAAGAGAATTTAGTAACCTTTTAGAAGAATAAAGTGCCCTTCCCAAATAGTCCTACAGCTTTTGGAAAAGTGTAAATTGTAGTTTGTAGTTCTAAATAAATAGAGAAGAGTCGCAGCCACGTGCTAGGGCCAGCTGACTTCATTGCTGACAGGTATGAAGCCAAATGGCTTATGTAGTTATGGAATATGTACATGAGCTATTAATAAATATTATCCATGTTGTTTCTTTCAAGTGCTTTATTTCTTGGCTCTGGGGAGGGGCGATGGGGGAAGGGAGGAGCTTACAAGAAAGCTTGCAAGGTTTCTTTGAAGCTGTGCTTTTTGTAGGAAAGTTTCAGGATGTAACGCCTTGGTAGACGATACTGTGATACATTTGGTTACAGGCAGTACAGTTTGTTAGGATGTTGGAAAAATTTGATTTTCTCCTGTTGTAGAGGGAACAGGGAAGTGTGGACATACCCCATAGCATAACTTGATTTGTTGCTAAGATTGTCATAGCTGATTTGTTAGTCAATAAAAATACCTGGGGTGTTTGCCAAGTCATAAATTTTTATTAGTTAAATTTGAGGTGATTCTGTCCCCTATTCAGAAAGATGACAGACTCCAGGTAACTGACGGAACAGATCTTGATCTTGCTTCTTGCTTAAATGAAGGTTTAGAACATCTTCAGATGCAGGCACATTTATTATTGTTCATCTGAATAATTTTGGTGAAAATTTTTTTGCCTCTTATGTACCATTTTGTCCCTGGTGTTTTGGTTCTGTTTTCCTTGATGTAGGCTTTTTTTTTTTTTTTTTTTTTGTCTTCCTGAGATGGAGTCTTGCTCTGTCTCCCAGGCTGGAGTGCAGTGGTGTAATCTCAACTCACTGCAGCCCCTGCCTCCCGGTTACAGGGAAAAATTCTCCTGCCTCAGCCTCCTGAGTAGCTGGGATTACAGGCGTCCAGCTAATTTTTGTATTTTTAGTAGAGACGAGATTCCACCATGTTGGCCGGCCTGTTCTTGGACTCCTGACTCAGGTGATCCGCCTGCTTTGGCCTCCCAAAGTGCTGGGATTACAGGTGTAAGTCATCGCACTCAGCCGATTTAGGCTTTTGAAAAAGCAATACTTGTTGATTTCTTTTAGTGTTAGTTTGCCAGTTGGTGTGGAAAATGACTGTTGAGACAATTTTGACCACACATGATACTTCACACATACTGACAGGAAGTGTTCCAGGTGGCTGAATATGTGAATGTCATATGGCAAGAGAGCAAACCCGTGTTCCATAGAAGCATACCTCCAACAGTAAGCATTTATATGGCACTGGCTTATAGTCTTCCTTTTCATTCACTGTGCTCTCAGTCAACTCTTCTGTCAATTTTTTTGAGACGGTCTTGCTGTGTCACCCAGGCTGGAGTGCAGCGGCACAGATACTTGGCTTACTGCAGTCTCGACCTCCCAGGCTCAAGCCTCCTGCCTCAGCATCCACAAGTAGCTGGGGCTACAGGCGCTTGCCAACAGCCCGGCTCATTTTTGTATTTTTTGTAGAGATGGGGTTTTCACCACGTTGCCCAGGCTGGTCTTGAACCCCTGAACGCAAGCAATCTGCCCACCTTCAGCCTCCCAAAGTGTTGAGATTACAGGTGTGAGCCACTGCACCCGACATTTAAGAATGGTTAAGCAGGCCGGGGGCAGTGGCTCACGCCTGTAATCCCAGCACTTTGGGAGGCTGAGGTGGGTGGATCACCTGAGGTCAGGAGTTCGAGACCAGCCTGGCCAACCGACATGGTGAAACCCCCGTCTCTACTAAAAAAAAATAAATAAATAAATTAGCGGGATGTGGTGGTGCATGCCTGTAATCCCAGTTACTCGGGAGGCTGAGGCAGGAGAATCACTTGAACCTGAGAGGCAGAGGTTGTAGTGAGCGACATCACACCACTGCACTCCAGCCTGGGCAGCAGAGCAAGACTCCTTCTCAAAAAAAATAAAAAGTTAAAAAAAGAATGGTTAAACAAATGAGTGTCTTAGGTCAGTTGTATTATTTGAAATCTGTGGGTTCCTCAAGCGTAAAGTTGAGAAGGTTTTGGGAACCACTGGATGCCTCTGGTTTTTTTCATATGAAGAAACAGGGGTGGTGGCTTCTTAGAACAAAGGGATATCTGACCTATGGAGGTGGCCCTCTTTACTCCTCTTCCCTAAAAAAATGACCTATCATTGCCAATAGCTAAAGTCTGTCATTTTTTCCACCTTAGTTTGGAAGATAATCTTCTAGTATCAATCAAGACAGAGATCAGAATGATGTGTTTTAAAATTAAATGTGTAATTCATAATTGTACATTTTAATATTCTAAAGTGACATTGATTAATTTGACATTGGAGTCAAATAGATTGATTAATTCAACAAAGAAGAGAAGGCATTCAAGTCAACAGAAAACAAGTAGATTTTACTTCTCCACTCGGGGTATTAGGACATTAATTGTGTAATTGGTCTTACTTGTTTAGTAGTAGATCTATATTGAGTGTCTTACTGTGCCCAAACTTAGGATCTTTCTATATTTCTAAAAGGATGAAACTGTATAATAAAAACACCTTCCAATTTTGGTAGATTGTAGACAGATCAGAGTATTCAAAAGTACACACATCTTCTCTATTGTGAAAGACCAAAAAATGGAAATGTGTTGTGAAATTAGAAAAGCTGTATACTAGTATGTCTGATGTTGTGAGAAGCTGGATTTTTGAAACCAGAGTTGTCTATTCAGCCTTTTATCAGTCTGTACTAAGTTTGATGTCCATAGGTACATAATATAGGGAGATACATAAAGGATAAAATTAAGTGAAGTTACATATTTTATACCTATTAGGTAGGTGCAAAAGTAATTGCGGTTTTGGCAAAAACCGCAGTTACTTCCACACCAGTCTAATATTAAATGGAACTAGAGTCAAATAGAATTTAGCGATTGCCAGTTCTGTTCCACAGATTTCAAAGTACACTAAGGAAAATTTCAGCAAATTGTGTATGGCTGTTTTACTTGGGGGAGAGTAAAACAGCCATAATAAACTAAAAAATAAAAATTAAAACTAAAGGAACATTTGTTTTTATGTTTTTCTTTTCTTTTCTTTCCTCTTTTTTGAGATATGCTCTTGCTCTGTTGCCCAGGCTGGAGTGCAGTGGTGCAATCACTGCTCACTGCAGCCTTGACTTCCTGGGCTCTGGGAATCCTCCCGCCTTAGCCTCCTGAGTAGCTGGGACCACAGGTGCATACCACCACACCTGGCTAATTTATTTTTCCTCTCTCTCTCTCTTTTTTTTTTGAGACAGAGCTTTACTTTGTCGCCCAGGCTGGAGTATAGTGGCACAATCTCAGCTCACTTGCAACCTCCGCCTCCTGGTTCAAGTGATTCTCCTGTCTCAGCCTCCCAAGTAGCTGGGAATACAGGTGCATGCCACTATGCCCGGCTAATTTTTGTGTTTTTAGTGGAGATGGGATTTCACCATGTTGGCCAGGCTGGTCTTGAACTGCTGACCTCAGGTGATCCACCCGCTTCGGCCTCCCAAAGTGCTGGGATTACAGGCGTGAGCCACCACGCCTGGCTTCCTCTCTCTTTTTCTGAAACAGAGTCTCGCTCCATTGCCCAGGTTGGAGTGCAGTGGAACCATCTCAGCTCACTGCAGCCTCCACCTCCCAGGCTCAATAAGTCCTCCTACCTCACCCTCCCAATAGCTGGGACCACAGGTGCATGTTACCACCCCCAGCTACTTTATTTTTTTTTTGTTTTCTGTAGAGACGGGGTTTTGCCATGCTGCCTGGGCTGGTCTTGAATACCTAGGCTCAAGTGATCCTTCCTCCTTGGCCTCCCAAAGTGCCAGGATTACAGGTGTGACCCACCATGCTTGGCACGCTAATTTTTTATTTTTACTTTTTTGTAGAGATGGGGCCTCCCCATGTTGCCCATGCTGGTGTCAAACTCCTACTCCATTATGAAATAAGTCATTCCTTATGAAACACTTAGTAATTGTATCTTTAAGTTGAACCTTCCCCTCACCCCAACTTTTTTTTTTTTTTTTTTTTTTTTTTTTTTTGAGACAGAGTTTTGCTCTTGTTGTCCAGGCTGGAGCGCAATGGTGCAATCTCGGCTCACTGCATCCTCCGCCTCCCAGGTACAAGCTGTTTTCCTGTCTCAGCCTCCCAAGTAGATCAGATTACAGGCATGTGCCACCACACCCGGCTAATTTTTTTATATTTAGTAGAGATGGGGTTTCACCATGTTAGGCTGGTCGTGAACTCCTGACCTCAGGTGATCCACCTGCCTCGGCCTCCCAAAGTGCTGGGATTACAGGTGTGTGCCACTGCACCCCGCCTTTTTTTTTAAAGACATAGTTTCACTCTGTCTCCCAGGGTGGAGTGCAGTGGCACAATCTTGGCTCAGTACAACCTCCACCTCCTGGGTTCAAGTGATTCATGTGCCTCTGCCTCCCGAGTAGCTGGGACTACAGGCGCATGTCACCAGGCCCGTCTAATTTTTGTATTAGAGACAGGGTTTCGCCATGTTGGCCAGGCTGGTCTCGAACTCCTGACCTCGAGTTCCCACCTTGGCTTCTCAAAGTGCTGGGATTACAGAAGTGAGACACCGTGCCTGGACCCGCCAACCCATTTTGTTTTGATTCCTTTATAAATTAGTATAATGGAAGGTTTTTTTGTTTGTTTTTTATAACAGGTAATGAAATACTCTAATTCAGTAAATATTGATGCTTCTGGGGAGATGTGTGTGTGTGTGTGTGTGTATGTGTGTGTGTGTGTGTGTGTGTATGTATATAATAAATTTTTTTTTTTTTTTTTAGGATGGAGTGTCACTCTGTCGCCCAGGCTAGAGTGCAGTGGTGCAATCTCGGCTCACTGCCAGCTCCACCTCCTGGGTTCACGCCATTCTCCTGCCTCAGCCTCCCGAGTAGCTGGGATTGCAGGTGCCCGCCACCACGCCTGGCTAATTTTTTGTATTTTTAGTAGAGATAGGGTTTCACCGTGTTAGCCAGGATGGTCTCGATCTCCTGACCTCGTGATCCGCCCGCCTCGGCCTCCCAAAGTGCTGGGATTACAGGTGAGAGCCACTGTGCCCGGCGAAGCAGCGTCTCTTTTTAAGGTTGTAAGGTAGCTTGGGTTAGAAATAAAGGCAGAGAGCCACTCCATACCTGTAGTTCTAGCTACTGGGGAGGCTAAGACCAGAGGAATCTCTTGAGCCCAGGAGTTCAAGGCTGCAGTGAGCTGTAATCACACACTGCACTACAACGTGGGCAACATAGAGTGAGACCTAATAAATAAATAAATAAATAAATAAACAAATAAATGCAAGGAGAAAGTCAGGAACTTGGTGCATTTAGGTGTACAATTAGTTGGCATAAACAATTTTTTTTTTTGAGATGGAGTTTCTCTCTTGTTGCCCAGGCTGGAGTGCAGTGGGGCAGTCTCGGCTCACTGAAACCTCTGCCTCCTGGGTTCAAGTGATTCTCCTGCCTCAGCCTCCCGAGTAGCTGGGATTACAGGTGCCCGCCACCACGGCCAGCTAATTTTTGTATTTTTAACAGATGGGGTTTTGCCATATTGGCCAGGCTGACCTTGAACTCCTGACCTCAAGTGATCCGTCCGCCTCAGCCTCCCAAAGTGCTGGGATTACAGGCGTGAGCCACTATGCCAGCCAAGAATTTTTAAAAAAGGAGTTTCATTCAGCCCACCTCATTCCTCTGCAGGGCACCTGTGTGCAGGGCAAAACTGCCCAACCCTACTCAGAAGCCCTGTGAAAGCTGCTGAAAGGATGAGCAGATTGAGGCCTGAACTGTATCTTGGATTTAGCAGCCTGGAGGTCATAATGGATTTTGCCAAGAGTGATGGGGCAGAAATTGGACCAGTGTGTGTTAAGGAGCTAGAAGAAGTGAAGAAATGGGAGAGGGGAATCTAGACAACTTTAGTTTGGCTGCAGCAAGTAAAGGCAGATTGTTTGATGGAGGGACGTGTGGGATTGATGGAGTTTTTCCTTTTTATATGTTTTTGTATTTTTCAATGGAATACATTAGAAAGTGTTGCATGTTTATGGGGGGGATTTAGTTCAGTGGGAAAAGTATTTGAAAAGTTACAGTAAGGTGGAAGTAGATGGAATCCTCAGTAAGGTCTAGAATCGGGTACAGGTATTTTATGGTATCTTCCTCACCCCACCCCGAGACGGAGTTTCGCTCTTATTATTGCCCAGGCTCTGGAGTGCAGTGGTGCAGTCTTGGCTCACTGCAACCTCCACCTCCTGGGTTCAAGCGATTCTCCTGCCTCAGTCTCCCATGTAGCTGAGATTACAGGTGCGCACCACCACACCCAGCTAATTTTTGTATTTTTAGTAGAGATGAGGTTTCACCATTTTGGCCAGGCTGGTGTCCAACTCCTGACATCAAGTGATCCACCCGCCTTGGCCTCCCAAAGTGCGGGGATTACAGGCGTGAGCCACTGTGCCCAGCTGGTACCTTTTTTCTTGTTGGTGAAGTAGAATGTGTGTATGGGGAGGGGAGGTGATAGGATATTTTGGAATTTGAAGAGAATGGGAATGTCTGGATAGTGCATGTATAGAATGGGAAGTAAACACTGGAGGACCTGGGAGTGTGGTGCTTATTGATGGATCGTTGGGTTTATCCAGGATTGGGGTTTTGCCAGATGGGTGTGATGAGAATCTTAAGAGTTAAGGGTATAGGCAAGAGTGTTGTTGAAATGATACACAATGAAATCTAAGCTGGTTAAAGAAGTGAAGAAGGGGCCGGGCACGTTGGCTCACGCCTGTAATTCCAACACTTTGGGAGGCCGAGGCGGGTGGATCCCTTGAGGTCAGGAGTTCGAGACCAGCCTGGCCAACATGGTGAAACCCCGTCTCTACTAAAAATACAAAAATTAGCCGGGTGTGGTAGCAGGGGCCTGTAATCTCAGCTACTTGGGAGGCTGAGGCAGGAGAATCGCTTGAACCTGGAGGTGGAGGTTGCAGTGAGCCAGTATTGCACCACTATACTCCAGCCTGGGCAACAAAGTCAGAGTCTGTCTCAAAAAAAAAAAAAAAAAATGAAGTGAAGAAGGAGGAGAATACTTGGATTGGGATAAAGTAGAAAGAGTCACTGGATTAAAGTTAACTAAAAAACTCATAAACTTTAGAGTGGTATTGAGAAATTGTAGGGTGAACTGAAAAAGGCTCATGGGATTTTAGAGCCAAGAAGGCCTTGAGTGGCAGTTCCTACCTTAGTAGGAATAGCTTCAGTGGTGTGTTGCAGGTGGAACCCAGATTAAAGTGGGTTAAAAAGTAAATGAAGGCAAGGAAGATAAATTTTTCAACAGGTTTGTCTGTGAAGAGTCCAGGCTATTAGATTGATAGAGGGAGAAAGGCAGTTAAAGGGTTTTTTTGTTTTTTGTTTTTTTTGAGTCAGAGTCTCACACTGTTGCCCGGTCTGGAGTGCAATGGCGTGACCTCGGCTCACTGCAACCTCCGCCTCCGGGGTTCAAGTAGTTCTCCTGCCTCAGCCTCCCAACTAGCTGGGAATACAGGCGCCCACCACCACACCCGGCTAATTTTTTGTATTTTTAGTAGAGACGGGGTTTCACTATGTTGCCCAGGCTGGTCTCAAACTCCTGACCTCATGATCTGCCTGCCTCGCCCTCCCAAAGTGCTGGGATTACAGGCGTGAGCCACCGTGCCCGGCCTTATTTTCTTAATTTTTAAATTTATTTTATTATTATTATGATTATTTTTGAGATGGAGTCTCTCTGCCGCCCAGGCTGAAGCGCAATGGTGCAATCTCGGCTCACTGCAACCTCTGCCTCCCGGATTCGAGCGATTCTCCTGCCTCAGCCTCCTGAGTAGCTGGGATTGCAGGCGCCCGCCACCACGCCTGGCTGATATTTGTATATTTAGTAGAGACGGGGTTTCACTACATTGGGCAGGCTGGTCTTGAACTCCTGACCTCATGATCCACCCACCTTGGCCTCCCAAAGTGCTGGGATTACCAGCGTGAGCCACCGCACCCGGCCTTTAGTTTTTTTTTTTGAGACGGAGTCTCGCTCTGTCACCAGGCTGGAGTGTAGTGGCACGATCTTGGCTCACTGCAAGCTCTGCCTCCCGGGTTCAAATGATTCCCCTGCCTCAGCCTCCCAAGTAGCTGGGACTACAGGTGCGTGCCACCACGCACAGGTAATTTTATTTTTTCTATTTTAGTAGAGACGGGGTTTCACCGTGTTGGCCAGGGTGGTCTCAATCTCCTGACCTTATGATCTGCCTGCCTTCGCCTCCCAAAGTGCTGGGATTACAGGCATGAGCCACCGTGCCCGGCCATTTTTTGTTTTTGTTTTTGTTTTTTTTAAAGTAAGACTTTTGAGAGTGCTCATATGTTGATGATGTGATAAGCAGTAGTAAAATGGGAGATTTTGCAACGTACAAAAGAAACAGGCCGGGTGCAGTGGCTCAAGCCTGTAATCCCAGCACTTTGGGGAGGCCAAGGTGGGCGGATCACGAGGTCAGGAGATCGAGACCATCCTGGCTAACATGGTGAAACCCCGTCTCTACTAAAAATACAAAAAATTAGCCGGGCGTGGTGGTGGGCGCCTGTAGTCCCAGCTACTCGGGAGGCTGAGGCAGGAGAATGGCGTGAATCCGGGAGGCAGCGAGTCGAGATCACGCCACTGCACTTCAGCCTGGGCGACAGAGCGAGACTACATCTCAAAAAAAAAAAGACAAGACATACCTTGGAAAATGGGGGGAATAGACAGATGATTTCTATGGATAGGAGGTTTATTTGTTCCATTATGCGAAGATGATGGGAAGAAAAGCTGTATGTGCAGATGCAGGTGAATTTGTGGATATATTAGAAGGAAGATGACAGGCAGTGATGGAGTGTTGAAGAGCTCAAACATTAGACAGTACTGGGTCTGAGTTCTGACTCTGCCTTTTGCAAGCTGTGCAACCATAGGCCAGTTATGAAACCTTAGTTATCAAGTTATAACTAATAGGATTGTGTTGAACACGAAATGACATGATAAACATATGTAAACTGCTTGGATCAGTTGCCCACTAGCTCTTGTTAGGAGCTAAAATGTTAGCTCTTGCTGAGGGTGCTGTCAAATGGCTTCTGTTTCTCATGGAGCAGAAATCTATAAGGTCATCCACTGGTAGTGGTGGGAGAAGGAAGAAGGTGCAGAAAGTTTTACAGATGTCTTGGAAAGGAAAGAAACCTGGTGAGGGAAATGTGGGCAGCATCAGAGGCCCACTTGAAGTCAGAGAAAAGGAGCATTGGGGCATGGAGGTGAGGGGGTACTTTCTTCAGCTTTTCTCTGAAGACAATTGTGCATGTGAAACAAGGGTTAAAATCAGATCTATTGCCCTCCTGGATTTATTGGCTTCGTTTGCTCTTTCTGGCTAATTTGATTGGAGTTCTGAAAGTAGAGAATATTAGAGGTTCCTTGGAAGGAAAATAAGCAACACTGAAGTCAAATCTTTATCATGTTTGCTGGAAATGTTATTAAAAAACAAAATTTATGGCCGGGTGCAGTGGCTTATGCCTGTAATCCCAACCCTTTGGGAGGCTGAGGTGAGTGGATCACTTGAGCTCAGGAGTGCGAGACCAGCTTGGGCAACATTTTGGGAATGTTGTAGAGAATGGGACAAAAAAATACAAAAGTTGCTGGGCGTGGTGGAGTAAGCCTGTGGTCTCAACTACTTGGGAGGCTGATGTGGGAGGTTTGCTTGAGCTCGGATTGCACCACTGCACTCTAGCCTGGGCGACAGTGTGAGACCCTTTTTCAAAACAACCAAGCAACTTTTTTTGAGCTACAGTATATTTAATGGTTTTAAATATGAGTGCAGAGTAAGAGGGAGTCCAGTCCATAAGATGACCCTTGCTTCTAATACTAGTTGCAAGTTTGGGGGTTCCCAAGACCACTCTTTTTTTTTTTTGAGACAGGGCCTCTCTCTGTCACCCAGGTGAGAGTGCAGTGGCATGATCACGGCTCACTGCGCCCTGAACTCCTCCCTCCCAGGTTCAGGCAGTCCTCCTACCTCAGCCACCTGAGTTGCTGGATCTGTGGGCACACACCACCTCGCCTGGCTAGTTTTTCTATATTTTTTAGAGACAGTTTCACCATATTGCCAGGCTGGTCTCAAACTCCTGAGCTGAAGTGATCCGCCTGCCTGGGCCTCCCGAAGTGCTGGGATTACAGGCTTGAGTCACTGTGCCTGGCCAAGACCACTCTTAGGTTGGATGATTTGCCAGGAGGACTCACTAGAACTCATTGAAAGCTCTCATACCCATGGTTAGAGTTTATTGCAGTTTAGGGATTCAGATTAGAACGAGCCAAGGGTAGAGGTGCATAGGGCAGAGTTCGGGGAAGTTCCAAATGTTGGAGTTTCTAATTGTCCTGTCCCTGTAGAGTTGTGAAAAATGACACCTTCCTGGTGGCACTGGTGTGCGACCATACTCATGGATTATTGCCAACCAGGGAAGCTCACTCTATTTTTTATGTCCAGCGTTTTTACTGGGGTTCCATGGTTGCATGCCCATGTGGCTAACCTTAGTCTCCAGCCCCACTGGAGGCCAAGCTGATCCATGTGACTCAAAGCCCCCACCATAAGCCACATTATTAGACTGTGCTGTGGCCTAAAGCCCCCAGATGAACAAGGACACTTTCCCCCACCGCCGCCCCCCCCCCCTTTTTTTTTGGAGATAGTCTTGCTCTGTTGCCCAGGCTGGAGTGCAGTGGCATGATCTCAGCTCACTGAAACCTCAGCCTCCTGAGTAGCTGGGATTATTACAGGTGCCCGTCACCATGCCTGGCTAATTTTTGTATTTTTAGTAGAGACAGTTTTCACCATGCTGGCCAGGCTGGTCTCAGAATCCTGACCTCAAGCGATCTGCCCGCCTTGGCCTCCCAAAGTGCTGGGATTACAGGTGTGAGCCACTGCTCCTGGCCAGGACCCTCTTATTAGGTATGACATTTCAAGAGTTTAGAGATTACCTTCCAGAATTCACAGGTAGAAGCCAGACCTCTCCTTGGTGAAGATACAATTCTTTACAATTTTACAATAGTTAAATATATTTTATCAGTCTATATTGGCTGTTTAGTTGACAGACAGTTAAAAATTGGTGACAGTCCAGATGTGGTCACTCATGCTTCTAATCCTAGCATTTTGGGAGGCTGAGGTGGGAGGATTGCTTGAGTCCAGGAATTTGAGAGCAGCCTGAGCAACATAATCAGACACCTGTCTCCAAAAAACATAAAAATAAAAAATTAGCTAAATGGAGTGGCATGCACCTGTGGTCCCAGCTGTTTGAGAGGCTGAACCCATGAGGTCGAGGCTGCACCCATGAGGTCGAGGCTGCAGTGAGCTATGGTCATGCCAGTGCACTCCAGCCTGGGTGACAGAGTGAGACCCTGTCTCAAAAAAGGAAACAAATCACCCATAAATGGATAATTAAGATTTGGTTATTATAGACACTTAATACTTAGGTAGCTAAGGTAGTTTTACCAATAAATTATATTAATTTAATATTTCAGTATTGCAAAACTGATGCATACTCATTTACAATTTTGACATGGAATGGTTCTGTTTTGTTTTATTAAATTTGAACTTAAAAGTTCTCTGCAAGAAGAGATTTGTATAATAAATTCTCTGAGCCTCTCAAATTAATATTTTAGCCATAGACTCATATTTAGAGCAGTGTTTCTAATGTAATGATACAAGGCCCAGGGTTATTCATAGTTTCACCGTTTCTCTTATTCCTCATTAAAGCATGTTTGAATCCAGGTAAGAGGCATTACAGGGGAAAACCTTGAATTTATTTTTGAAGGGTAAATCATTTCCAAGTGGTATTAACCATTAGTATGGAAAGCAACATATCCTATAACTGCTCTGTGACAGTGAGACTATCTTTGCTGCTTTAGAGAATAAGTACATTCCTACTTCATTGGCTTTAGTGCAAATCTCATTTCCTGGTTTATATCCATTACAAATTAGATCTCACCATGAGAGCAAAATCCCTTAATAAACCTAGGTAAAAGCAATTTGAAGTAATATGATGCTTACTCCAGTGACACCACTAGGTGTGGTGTTTGCATCAAGTCATTTTGGGGTGCTTTATGGAAATGCTTCCTAGTAGGGAATTCCCTGACTTCACACTTTCCAGAGATGATGCTCTCTCTCTTTTTCTCTCTAATACTTACAAGAATGGACTGCAAGGCTACATTTAGTCAGGCGATACCATCCCCAGCACATGGTGGCTTGTTGGTGTGAGGTCTAAGGATTCCGGTCATTTGAAACGAATGGCCTCCTAGATTTGTGGCATTTTTCTGTATATGGAGAATAGGTAACTAAAATAAGTGGTAACTGTATTTGCATGTGATTTGTATGTGATAGTTAACATTTAAATTCTCTTATGTACTAAAATTTTTTTGGTTGCCACATTAAGCCTCTTTATCCTGTAAGGCACAGAGTGTCTTTCCACCTCAATTTTTGCTTTAATGTATGAACCCTAATGGGACCATAGTTCAACTAAAGGCACCTAACTCATGAATGATATTTGCTCCATGTTTGAACAACAAATGTTTTAACCCACTGTCTTCACTAATATTGTAACTACTGTCTTACAGATTGACTTGATGCACAACATCACAAAGGCGATTTTTGAGGTATGAGCTTTAGAAACTTACCTCTCATGTGGCATGTACATCAGGCTTTAACTTCAGTTTGATCGTTTTGGGGAAATTTATGCATTTCTTTTTTTTTCTCTCCATGATATTTTTAGAATATTAAAGGGGCTGTAGAGGTATTTTTGGTTCCTTGCTAGGATTCTTAGACTTAACAGATAGATTTTCTTTTTTCACTAAATTGAGACACTAATTCTGGCAGATGATATCCCTTTCAGCTCTTCTAACTAACTAGCCTAACATTCATGCCTGCTTCTTGGAGTTCAAATCTGCAGTTTCTATTTTGTGGCTTTGATTGCCTCATTTTAAGTGCTCATTTCCGTTCTTCAACAGTTCTCTATTTATTGGACTGGGATGATCTTGTTGGTGCTAACAGCCTGACATTGACATTTTTTGAAACCTAAGCAGTCAAGATTGTATAAAAATAGAAATTTCTTATAAATGCTAAACCATTTTGTGCTTTTAGGTTCAGAATGCTTACAGCCTGAGTTCTGGTTGGGGATGCTTTGATCAATTTGTATTAAAATAATTTGGCAACTAGGGAGTTTTGAGGTATTTCTGAGACGGTGGCTCTATTCCAGTTTTTTTTGTTATATTTCTGAAAACACAGATTTTTTTTGGGAAAAAAATCTCAGTGTTCATAACTTAGGGGATTTAGAAACCTTATTTCTAACCAACGGGGAAGCTGCTCCTGGTTTTACAGTTTAGTTTGAAATCAGAGGCTTCCTAGTTGGAAACACATTGTTGGTAGCAACAGATTACCTGCTTTCTTCAGTGAAGTATTTAAGTTGCTCTATATTGACTGTAAAAACTTGTTTTGATTATATTCATATACTCATGAACTGTTTGTACATTGTCTTTTAGACTGGAAGCTTTGAGTTTATTTTGTATTATGGTCATAACAACTTTTAACATACCCTGCAAACTAAGTGTTTCTTTATAATTCATTATCTTATTTTAGCCTCACAACAACCTTACATGTTAGATAGGTATCATCCTCATTTTATGCAAGAGACAACCAAGGCTTGGAGATCAAGTAATTTGTGCAAAGGCACACATACTTTTCAGTGCTGGAGCTGGGATTTGAGCCCAGATCTTTTTTTAACTTGTATTCTCTGCTGCCTTATGGTACTACTGTGTCACCAGAAAATGATAGAAACATTTAACTCTTAATAGTAAAGGTAGTGTAGGAGATAAGTAAACATGATGAAAACAGGAAGTGAAGATACGTTTAAATATTGGCAGACTTCAGTTATCTTTGTGTTTCTGAATTAGTCAAGTGCTTATTTTATTCGCTCATCTAATAAGAGCTTACTGTGGCATACATATAAAGTTCAAACCCTGTCAGAAAAGATTATAAGCTCTCTTAACGTTTCAGTCTCCTTTCAGAAAGTAATGGTATGCTATGATTTATATAGACGCATGTTAAGTGTGCTATTTTTAGGTACATAAGGAATGTCTTTTCATTAGTTTAAAAAAGTTATGGTCCATTGAGTTAATATTTTAATGCTTATAGACTTAGTATACTCAGAAAATATTCTCATACATTTTTCTTGAAATTCCATAGATTTTATTTTCCCTTATGTTCGAAGTACTTAGCTTTATGAATAAGTGAACTCTGAATATTAGAAGATACTCCTTATGGAGCCTTAGTCATTTTAGTATGCTAGGTTTTGAATTTCATGAAGTTTCAGATTGAGATCCTTTATAAGTAATGACTTGTACCAGTTAGATATCCAAGTTTAATTGGACCTATTGTCTGCATTCTGTATTAACAGTGATTGCAGTAAGTGCAGATCAAGGTGTCCAACTGATTGAGCTCATGCAAAGTTTTATGTTTAGTATTTTTGGGAGCAAGGAAAGACTAATAAACTCTAAACGAAATATATACAGTATACAAACACTGCTGTCACTTTTACACCATAGAGGGAGGGGCAAAGCGTAGAGGAATAGGTTAGTTTCTGGCCTTGCCAGTGTCCTAAACTTTTCTAAAAGATTCAGGTTCTAAAAGGTTGAGAAAGCATTTTTAGTAAATATCATAGAAGTGATTTTCTTTTTCTTTTTCTTTTTTTTTTTCCTCAAAATTGTTCCTCTCAGGAGAAAATCAGTAGGGGAAGAACTTACTTGGATTTTTCATATGCTATAACAGATTATTTTGTTGTCTTCTTTCTTGATAGTTTATGATTGATGGCTGAAAGATTAACACTCATGAGAAGTCTTGTAACTCAGCTCTGTTTTACTTATGAGGCAGTTGAAGCATAGAGCAGATACTTAGATGAGGACACACTTTTACCCTTGGCTGTACCCTACTTGTTTACTAATAAGCATCAGGTATTATTCTAAACAGTACCTGAATTTTAAATAGATTACGAACTACAACTTTCTGATATAACTTTATTGCATTTCTGATACCTTTTATTTTCTTAAAATGTCTTCTTTTTTACTTTTTAAAATTTTGATTGCTACTCTTTACAATTAAGGCATCTTCAATGGGGTCTTCAATACTACAGTACCTAATCAGTACTTAGAAAATAACTTGGTAAGACATTGCCCGTCCCTGACATGCTGCCAGTGTTTTTTATTTTTATGACAGGAAAGGCTGAAATGTTTTGACTGATTAACCGTCTCCATGGGGGAGAATTTAGAAAGAATTATTCTTATTATCAAGTCATGTGAGGAGAACACTGGACCAGAGTAACCAATTGTCCTGTTTTGCCTGGGACAGGAGACTTTCAATGCTAAAACCAGCAAAGTCACCCTAATCCCAGTAGTTATTCATATTTCTGAATGGGTCTTTAGAACAGTAGAAGAGAGTGAAAAGTTGGCATTTCGTCCATTGAGACTCTCTTCCCAGTGAAAGACTTCTTATTAGACGGCTGAGTGCTTACATATAATATATAGTGCATATTACACTAAATACAATAGTAATGGTTAAATGTAAAATTTGGGAGAAGAGAGGCTTGTTTAAAGAAAGATTTATTTATGTTATTTAAAGTTCTAATCTTAAACTTTTCTCTTTTTATAGAACTGATAGTGCATCAGCCGACCCAGGTAATTTAAAATATTCTTCATCCAGAGATAGAGGTGGTTCTTCCTCTTACGGACTGCAACCTTCAAATTCAGCTGTGGTGTCTCGGCAAAGGCACGATGATACCAGAGTCCACGCTGACATACAGAATGACGAAAAGGGTATATATATTTTCTTATTGCTACAAGCATGTTTTTTGAACCTACCTATCCCACCTTCCTGCCTTCTTACACCCCCAACTTTCTCGCTTTCTTCTAATATATTTAAAATATGAATAACAAATGCAGTGTTATTTCTGAAAACTTCATAGGACGTTTATCCACTTTATTATTTTTAAAATTTAAAATTTTTCCATACATAATTCATCAATGCAGTTTTCTTACAAAAAAGATACAATACTATTTTTGTTTTTATTTTCAAAAATATTTAGCTAAGGTTGAAGTTCCTCTTGGCTACTGTCTCTAAACTTCAAGAAAGTTTTAAAACAAGGTGCAAAATTTGATTTAATTTAGTTTTCATTTCTTTGCTTATTTTCCAATGAAGGGATCAAAATAAAATTAATTTAACTTCAAAGGTGTATTAAAAGAAATGAAAATGATTTTCAAGGCAGACAGTACAGGAAAAAGGTAGGAGAAGCAAAGGCTGGTTGAGCTGCAGATTGAGTCATAAGATCCTGAGCTATCAGGAAATTGACTGAATGAAACGAACAATCATATTTAAATGACGTACACATGGCTGTTTGTAGGTGGCTACGGTGTCAATGGGGGATCTGGGGAAAATACTTATGGTCGGAAGTCATTGGGGCAAGAGCTGAGGGTTAACAATGTGACCAGCCCTGAGTTCACCAGTGTTCAGCATGGCAGTTGTGCTTTAGCCACCAAAGACATGAGGAAATCACAGGGTAAGGCTGGGAAAACGGGGACCAATCACATACACCTTCCAAAGACTTGTATCTCCTCTTATTCTGGATGCCTCTTACTAATGCCTTGCAAAGGCATAAGTTGATTAGTCTACTGTGCAGGTAAAAATTGTTTACATTCTTTTCCTGTGAATTGTTAATTTCCCACTAGAAAGGCTATAGTACATTTTAAAAGAGAATTCTCTTAAAACAAGATTAGAAGACTGGATAAGATCTTACAGAAAAGGTTTACCCAATTATCGTGGATATTGAATGTATAGTGCATAGTAGGCTCCTACTACAGCAAGTCCTTGAACTCTTGGGCCTGTGGAGGATATAGATATATGTAGAGAGGGGGTACTTTTCTGTCTTTTTTTTTTTTTTTTTTTTCTCTCTTTTAAGTTCAGGGTACATGTGCAGGATGTACAGGTTTGTTATGTAGGTAAACGTGTGCCATGGTAGTTTGCTGCACAGATCATCTCATCATCTAGGTATTAAACCCAGCATCCATTAAGCTATTCTTGCTGATGCTCTCCTTCCCCCCGCCCCCTAGAGTGGGTACTTTTCTGGTTTTTTTGTTGTTGTTGTTTTCAATATATTTTTTTGAGACAGAGTCTTGCTCTGTCACCCAGGCTGGAGCGCAGTGCTGCAATCTCTGCTCACTGCAACCTCCGCCTCCCAGGTTCAAGTGATTCTCATGCCTCAGCCTCCCAAGTAGCTGGGATTACAGGTGCATACCACCATACCCAGCTGATTTTTGCATTTTTAGTGGAGACAGGGTTTCACCATGTTGGCCAGGCTGGTCTCGAACTCCTGACCTCAAGTGATCACACGTGCTCATTACAGGCGTGAGCCACCGGGCCCTGCCTTGAGTGGGCACTTTTCTAAAGTTAAATACACTGATAGCATTTCTGCCTTATGACATAGCCTCACTGTATAGGTGAGTGCCTTGGAAGTTCAGAGGATTGGCCGGGTGCAGCGGCTCACGCCTGTAATCCCAGCACTTTGGGAGGCCGAGACGGGCAGATCACGAGGTCAGGAGATCGAGACCATCCTGGCTAACACGGTGAAACCCTGTCTCTACTGAAAATACAAAAAATTAGCTGGGCGCGGTGGCGGGCGCCTGTAGTCCCAGCTACTCGGGAGGCTGAGGCAGGAGAATGGTGTGAACCCGGGAGGCAGAGCTTGCAGTGAGCTGAGTGCGCCACTGCACTCCAGCCTGGGCGACAGAGCGAGACTCCGTCTCAAAAAAACAACAACAAAAAAGAAAGTTCAGAGGATTAGAGGTAATGATAATTTTTTTCCTTAAAGAGAAATTTATCGGTAAAGCTGAGTTATGGGCTTTGTCAGATGTAATTACTTTTTGGACGTTTAGTTTTTGACTTTTTTTTTTTATTTTTTATACTGTGTGTGTGCTTCGTGTATCTTGGTGAAAATCTTTGTGCCTGTAGCTTTTATTGTTGGTATATAACTTTTAAAAAACTGATTTCTTTTTATGTTTTCACAAGTGGAATGAATTCAAAGGCTATGTATGCTGTTTGTTAAAATAGAGTGTTTGAAGCCTTAGACTTATGATATTATAGAAGCTAAACAGCGACTCTAAAGTAGTTCAGTAGAGAATTCCTCTTCTTCAAAGGCTCAGGGTCATGTAGTTTGCTAGTGACAGAATTGTAAGTAGAGCCTAATTTCCCAGCTGGTAACTTGATGACATATTTGGTATCTGTCCTTATTGAAATACTCTATGGGCTACGGATTTGTAAAAATCCTATTCTTCTCTCAGTCATTGTAGTTTCTTTTTTTTTTTTTTTTTTTTAACTTAAATTCAGGATACAAGTGCAGATTTGTTACAGTGGTAAACTTGTGTCATGAGGGTTTGTAGTATAGATTATTTTATCACCCAGGTATTAAGCCTGGTACCCATTGGTTGTTTCTCTTGATCCTCTCCTTCCTCCCACCCCCCACCCTCCAAAAGGATCCAGTGTGTGTTGTTCCCCCTTGTAGTTATTTATTTATTTATGAGATGGAGTATCTCCCTGTCACCCAGGCTGGAGTGCAATGGCGCGATCTCAGGTCACTGCAGCCTCCACCTCCCAGATTAAAGTGATTCTCCTGCCTCAGCCTCCCGAGTAGCTGGGATTACAGGAGCGTGCCACCACGCCCGGCTAATTTTTTGTATCTTTAGTAGAGACGAGGTTCCACCATGTTGGCCAGGCAGGTCTCCAACTCCTGACCCCGTGATCTGCCCTCCTCGGCCTCCCAAAGTGCTGGGATTACAGGTGTGAGCCACCATGCCCAGCCTTCTGGTTTCTTTTATTATCAATTTTTTCTCATACCTTAGAAATGAAACTGTCAGACCCTTTGTGATTTGTTGTTTACGTATGTATTGGCTAATTATGGTAAATAGCACAGTTGAAAATGTTTTGCAAAAATTGAGTTTTTTGTTTTGTTTTGTTTTTTGAGACAGTCTCGCTCTGTCACCCAGGCTGGAATGCGCTAGTGTGATTTCACTGCAACCTTTGCTTCCCAGGCTAAAGCGATCCTCCCACCTCAGCCTCCTGAGTAGCTGGGATTACAGGCATGTGCCACTGTGCCCAGCTAATTTTTGTATTTTTCGTAGAGATGGGGTTGTACCATGTTGCCAAGGCTGGTCTCGAACTCCTGTGCTCAAGTGATCTGCCTGCCTTGGCCTTCCAAAGTGCTGGGTAATTACAGGCAAGAGCCACCTCGCCCAGCAAAAATCTAGTTTTTAAAGGCATCGTTAATATACTAATAGTATTCACTATTGTTTGCTTGTTCTTGTGATTAAAAAATAAAGGGAGAAAAGTTGTGGTTTGCTACCTTTCTAGTGGAGGCATGCCTTGCATGTGGTAGATGATAATTAGACATTTGTTGAACTAAATGTGTGATTATGGCTCCCCAAAACTTCATCCCAGGGAAATGATGATAATGTGAATAAGAGGCTTTCCTCCAGTGGGATACCTAGATGATAAGTAGAAGCCTATATCCTGTTTTTACTCGATTGAGACTTTATCCATACCCCTTGGAAGTTGTTTAATTTACCTACACCCGGGCTCTTTACCTGCATGTTGAAAACAGTTTGGAATGGACCCAAAGAAAGTTGTTACTAAGGCCTTTCTTTTTTCTCTCCCAGCCAGTCCTCTGGAATGAGGTGTTCAGTTGGCCTAGGGTTATTCATTTCTTGTTTCCTTCAGCAAATATTTTTTTGAGGGTCTGTTATGTGCCAGGCACTCTGCTGGGATTTGGAATACAGAGTTGAACAAAAGAGCGATAGGACCTATATTCCCTGAGCTTTTATTGACCAGTGGACTGTGACTTTTGATGTAATTTTATTTTTGAGAGAGGGTCTTGCTCTGTCACCCAGGCTGGAGTGCAATGGGGTGATCTTGGCTCACTGCAACCTCCGCCTCACGGGCTCCAGTGATTCTCCTGCCTCAGCCTCCCGAGTAGCTGGGACTACAGGTGCACCCCACCTTGGCTGGCTAGTTTATGTAATTTTTTGTGTGTCTGTGGAGACAGGGTTTCACCATGTTGCCCAGGCTGGTCTCAAACTCCTGAACTCATGTGATCTACCCGCCTTCCAAAGTACTGGGATTACAGGCATGAGCCCCCATAATAATTTAATTATTATTTAAATAATTTTTAATTTTAAAAATTTTAAAATTATTTTAAAATTTAAAATTTCCTTTGCTTATTTATACTCAGTGGACAACAAAATGTTTATATATTCACAGAGAGATCGATGTCTTATTGTGATGAGTCTCGACTGTCATATCTTCTTCGGAGGATCACCCGGGAAAACGACCGAGACCGAAGATTGGCTACTGTAAAGCAGTTGAAAGAATTTATTCAGCAACCAGAAAATAAGCTGGTAAGTATAGTATGTTTGGAAATATGAGGATTTTTGTGTTTCCATAATAAACTAGGTAATGCTACCTTGAGTAGTTTAAGAATGGGGAAAGTCTGTATTATGATGATCAAGAACTTAATGCTCTCTAATATGTAATTTCTTTTTCTTCTTAAAGACAAGATCTTGCTCTGTCGCCCAGGCTGGAGTGCAGTGGCACAGTCATAGCTCACTGCAGTCTCAAACTCCTGGATTCAAGCTATCCTCCCGCTGTGGCCTCCTGAGTAGCTGGGACTTCAGGCATGTGCCACTACACCTGGCTGAGGTGGAAGAATCACTTGAGCCCAGGAATTCAGGGTTGCAGTGAGATATGATCACACCTCTGCATGTCAACCTGGGCGACAGAGGGAGTCCTTGTCTCTTAAAACAACAACAGAAATGTAACAAAGTATAGGAAGGGTTAAATTTTTTTCTTCACTTTCTTTACACCAATTAAGAACTTGATATGGGCCAGGTGTGGTGGCTCATGCATGTAATCCCAGCATTTTGGGAGGCCAAGGTGGGTGGATCACCTGAGTTCAGGAGTTCGATACCAGCCTGCCCAACATAGTGAAGCCCCCATCTCTACTAAAAATACAAAATTAGCTGGGTGTGGTGGCACATGACCGTAATTCCAGCTACATGGGAGGCTGTGGCAGGAGAATCGCTTGAACCCAGGAGACGGAGGTTGCAGTGAGCTGAGATCACGCCATTGCACTCCAGCCTGGGCGAAAAGAGTGAAACTCCATCTTAAAAAAAAAAAAAGAACTTGACAATGAGCAGGAGAAAATTAATGAAAATGGTCTAGTGAGGCAGATGACACTTGGATCAAAGCAAGTTTCTCCTCCTTCCAAATTTTATTATGAGTAGTTTCAAATATATAGCAAGTTGAAAGAATTTGACATTGAATCTGTTAAACCCATCATCTAATTTTTGTCGTTAACATTTTACCCTAAATACTGCCTTGTCACATATCTCTCCATCTATCCCTCCATCCGTCAGTCAATTTTTCAAATGGATTTCAAAGTAAATGAAACAAGCTTTTTGAGTTTATTTTTTTGTTGATGATCACAGCTCTATGTTTCCAGTGGGTGAATTTCTTTCATAGGCTGAAAGGAAACATGACATTCCTGATACATGCTCATTGGGGAGTGGGAATAATAAAGAAAGTAAAGTACTGTTGAATTAGAATTTGGAGGGAAGACAAGTAAAAAAGTACACAATGCTATTCTTAAAAGTATAGGAATTTGAAGTTTTTATAAATGTGTTTTCTTTTAAAGGTACTAGTTAAACAATTGGATATCTTGGCTGCTGTACATGATGTGCTTAATGAAAGGTAAGTAACTAATAATGGTTCGGTTTAAATGACTTTAAAATATATTTTTAGAAATTACTTAACAATACACAAGAAGACAAACCCACTGGCTTTGTTTATGAACATTTATTGACATTTCAGTGGGTCTTGTCATTTTTATCTGCATTAATTATGTGTTAATTACGGTTGAATACAAATGGAATCCACTTGAAAAGAATATTTATTTTTTGAGCCGGAGTCTCACCCTGTCGCCCAGGCTGGAGTGCAGTGGTGCGATCTCAGCTCACTGCAACCTCCACCTCCCGGGTTCAAGTGATTCTCCTGCCTCAGCCTCCCGAGTAGCTGGGACTACAGGCGTGCACCACAACTGCCAGCTAATTTTTGTATTTTTAGTAGAGACAGGGTTTCACCATGTTGGCCAGGCTGGTCTGGAACTCCTGACCTCAGGTGATCCACCCACCTTAGCCTTCCAAAGTGTTGGGATTACAGGCATGAGCCACCGTGCCTGGCTGGAATATTTTATTTTTTTAATTTGCTAGTCTCACTGGATAACTGAGTCTTGACTTATGGAATGGCATAAACTCTTGATGCAGGCATGAAGAATAAAATTAGTTTTTGTAAACAAGAGAATTTGAAACTGCTTAGAGAATAGAGGTAAAAAGGAATTTCCTTCTTTGGGTAAGAGTGGATCCAAACCATATATTCTCTGGCTATTAGAGTCTCCAGAGGTGTGTGGTCATTTTTTGTTATGGTGATTCCCAAAGATTTGCAGTGTTGGCAAGTACCCAAAATTTATCTCAGCTGGTCATAAACCTTAGTGCCTTTTGATGGTTTTGTTTTATAGAGTTACTTATTAAAGTTCTATGTAAATCATTACTGTTATCCTTTTAAGTTTCTGTATTTAACTATTACCATTTTTTATTTTATAGTCATTACATATTGGATATTATGTAGAATGTAGTTATGTATAGAGTGTTTTATCTACTTATTTGTTGCTGCCCTTTTCTGAGAGTTATTTAATACAGTTTGAGATGGAATTTAGCATTTTTGGGCCTTCCCTCACTGTTTGTAAATAATTGATTTTGTAAAAAGAAAGTGATGTCAGACAGATACTTGAGGGCAATGCAGGCTAGACAGAATGTAGTATTTAGAGTGGAGAAAATTTCAACCTTTTATGTAGTTTGAATAGAAATTTAAAAAACCACTTAAGACATTCTTTTGTAAGATGTATTACTCGTGTCATCATAGAAAACTTAAGCCTTTTGTGTGTGTTTTTTGTTTGCATTAAAATAAACACAGTAGCAAATTGCTTCAGGAGTTGAGACAGGAGGGAGCTTGCTGTCTCGGCCTTCTTTGTGCTTCTCTGAGCTATGAGGCTGAGAAGATCTTCAAGTGGATTTTTAGCAAATTTAGCTCATCTGCAAAAGATGAAGTTAAACTCCTCTACTTATGTGCCACCTACAAAGCACTAGAGACTGTAGGAGAAAAGAAAGCCTTTTCATCTGTAATGCAGGTAAGAATGAAGGGGGAAAAAATGCATGATATACTTGGGAAGAAAATTGTCCCTTTAACACATGTCCTTGGAGGGGAGCTTGAAGAAGGGAATCATAGAATAGGGGTTATCTACTGATAGGAAATATGTTTTAAAAATTCCTCTTTCTCAGTTTGAGTAAAGGATACACTGTTCAAGGATCAGTGCTACATACATATATGCATATATGTGGAGAGAGAGGGAGAGATTTCTTCTAAAAAATTGGCTTACACGCCAGGCGTGGTGGCTCACGCCTGTAATCCCAGCACTTTGGGAGGCTGAGGCAGGCGGATCATGAGGTCAAGAGATCG